>NC_000004.12:1441552-1748048 GCF_000001405.40 Homo sapiens
ATTACATCTATATACACTCACTACTTTCCCCCGGTGACTATAATCATCATTACATCCATATACACTCACAACTTCCCCCGGTGTTATAATCATCATTACATCTATATACACTCACAACTTCCCCCGGTGTTATAATCATCATTACATCTGTATACACTCACAACTTCCCCCGGTGTTATAATCATCATTACATCTATATACACTCACAACTTCCCCCGGTGTTATAATCATCATTACATCTATATACACTCACAACTTCCCCCGGTGTTATAATCATCATTACATCTATATACACTCACAACTTCCCCCGGTGTTATAATCATCATTACATCTATATACACTCACAACTTCCCCCGGTGTTATAATCATCATTACATCTATATACACTCACAACATCCCCCGGTGTTATAATCATCATTACATCTATATACACTCACAACTTCCCCCGGTGTTACAATCATCATTACATCTGTATACACTCACAACTTCCCCCGGTGTTATAATCATCGTTACATCTATATACACTCACAACTTCCCCCGGTGTTATAATCATCGTTACACCTATATACACTCACAACTTCCCCCGGTGTTATAATCATCGTTACATCTATATACACTCACAACTTCCCCCGGTGTTATAATCATCATTACATCTATATACATTCATAATTTCATAATAATCATTATTACATCTATATACACTCATAACTTCCCCAGTGTTATGATTTTTGCCCTTAACTCATTACTCTCAGGTATCATGCATGCTTTAACAACGTAAGAAGAAAAAATATTTTACCTTCACCGATATATTTATATTTTCTGCAGTTCCAAGTTTCCTTCTGGAATCATTTCCATTCTGCCTGAAGAACCGTCTTTCACATTTCTATACTTTTCTTTTTTTTTTTTTTTTTTTTTGACAGAGTCTCGCTCTGTCACCCAGGGTAGAGTGCAATGGTGCAATCTTGGCTGACTGCAACCTCTGCCTCCCAGATCCAAGCGATTCTCCTGCCTCAGCCTCTTGAGTAGCTGGGACTACAGGCGCCCACCACCATGCCCGGCTAATTTTTTTTTTTAGTTTTTAGTAGACATGTGGTTTCACCATGTTGGCCAGGCTGGTCTCGAACTCCTGACCTCAAGTGATCCACCTGCCTTGGCCTCCCGAAGTGCTGGGATTACAGGTGTGAGCCACTGCGCCAGGCCCCACATTTCTTTTAGAACAAATCTGCAGTGAAAAATTCTCTTTATTTTCCCTCATTTGAGAATGTCTTTAGTTTACTTAATTCCTAAAGGACATTTTTGCTGTACAGACTTCTTGGTTGACAACTAGTTTTTTTTGTTTTTGTTTTTTGTTTTTGTTTTTTTTTGAGACGGAGTCTCGCTCTGTCACCCAGGCTGGAGTGCAGTGGTACAATCTCGCCTCACTGCAAGCTCCGCCTCCCAGGTTTGCGCCATTCTCCTGCCTCAGCCTCCCGAGTATCTGGGACTACAGGTGCCCGCCACCACGCCCGGCTAATTATTTTTTGTATTTTTAGTAGAGATGGGGTTTCACCGTGTTAGACAGGATTTTCTCGATCTCCTCACCTCGTGATCCACCCGCCTCGGCCTCCCGAAGTGCTGGGATTACAGGCGCAAGCCACTGCGCCCGGCCACTTTTTGTATTTTTAATGGAGACAGGGTTTCACCACGATGGGCAGCCTGGTCTCGAACTTCTGACCTCTAGTGATCCACCCACCTCAGGCTCCCAAAGTGCTGGGATTACAGGCGTGAGCCACCGTGCCCGGCCTGACCACTAGTTTCTTTTCGCACTTAACAACACTGGCCGACTGCCTTAGGCGCCCATGCTCTCTAATGAGAAATCCACAGGCTTTCAAACCCAAGTTTCCCTCTGGCCGTGCACCGTTCTTCTCTGGCTGCCTTCGAGGCATTTTCTTTGTCTTTGGTTTTTGGTAGTTTGATTGATGTTTCTGGGTATGGATTTTTCTGAGTTTATCCTCTCTGAAGTTCACTGAGCTTCTTTGAATCTATAAATTTATGACTTTTCAGCAGATTTTATACTCTATTTCTTTGAATATTTCTGTTTTCTCATTTCCTTCTGGGACTCCAGTGACACAAAACTTAGACCATTTCCTAGCATCATGTAGGACCCTGGGGCTCTGTTTATTTTATTTTATTTCACTTATTTTATTTTATTTTATTTCATTTCTGAGACAGGGTCTTAGACTCTTGCCCATGCTGGAGTGCAGTGGTGTGACCTTGGCTCACTGCAGCCTGGAACTCCTGGGCTCAAGCAATCCTCCCACCTCAGCCTGAGTAGCTGGGACTATAGGCATGCACCACTACACCTGGCTAATTTTTAACTATTTGTAGAGACACAGTGTTGCTATGTGGCCCAGATTGGTCTCAAACTCCTGGCCTCACATAATCCTCCCACCACAGCCTCCCCACATGTGCTGGGTTTATAGGCATAAGCCACTATGATCACCCAGCTGTTTATTTTTTTTTAATTTTTTTATTTTTAGATGGAGTCTCGCTCTGTTGCTCGGGCTGAAGTGCAGTGGCGTGATCTCAGCTCACTGCAAGCTCTGCCTCCCGGGTTCATGCCATTCTCCTGCCTCAACCTCCCGAGTAGCTGGGACTACAGGTGCCTGCCGCCATGCTGGGCTAATTTTTTGTATTTTTAGTAGAGACAGAGTTTCACCATGTTGGCCAGGATGGTCTCGATCTCCTGACCTCGTGATCTGCCTGCCTCAGCCTCCCAAAGTGCTGGGATTACAGGCGTGAGCCACCATGCCCGGCCAGCAGTTTATTTTTCAAGAATTTTTTTCTCTTTTATTAGACTGGATAATTTCCATTGCTCTTTCTAAAATTTCAGAATGATTTTCCTCCTTGTCATCTCCATTCTTCTTGTGAACTCACCCAGTGAATTTTTAATTTTGGTTATTGTATTTTTCTGTTCTAAAATTTCCATTTGATTCTTTTTTATAGCTTCTCTTTCTGGGATGAGACTTTCAATCTTTCCATTTTTTTCAATAGTGTTTTCCTTTACTTCTTAGAGCGTGATTATAATAATTGCTTTAAAATCTGTGTGATAGGACTAGGCACAGTGGCTCATGCCTGTAATCTCAGCACTTTGGGAGGCCAGGGCAGGAGGATTGCTTGTGCCCAGGAGGTTAACACCAGTCTGGGCAACATACTGAGACCCCATCTCTACAAAAAAAATTTAAAAATTAGCCAGGCATGGTGACACACACCTGGTAGTCCCAGCTACTTAGGAAGCTGAAGTGGGAGGATTGCTTGAGCCTGGGGAGGTGGAGGCTGCAGTCAGCGATGATCGCACCACTGTACTCCAGCCTGGGTGGCAGAGCAAGACTGTCTAAAAAAAAAAAGTGTGATAATTCCAACAACTGGGTCTTCTTGGGGGGTGATATCTGTTGATTGTCTTTCACCTTGATAATTTGTCAGACTTTTCCTGGTTCTTTGCATATTGAGTATTTTGGGATTGTATCCTGGTCATTTTGAATATGAAATTATGAGACTTTGGATCTTCTTTAAATCCTATGGAGATTTTTGTTTTATTTTGTGTCAGCAAGCAATACACCAGGTTAGGCCCTGTCTGATGCTGAGATTGACTTATGGGCTGAGGTGGTGGCAGTTGATAATTGTTGCCCCAATTCATTATTTTATAAAAGGTTACACAAAGATTTTTTTTCTAATTCATTATTTTCTTAGTCATTTATCTGCTGCAATTATATAAGGGAGAATTTTCCTTCGTAAATTGTTTGGTTACTCTGAAATATCACTTATTCAGGACAAACAGGATAAATGCTTGTTTTCTTCTCCTGTATTGATACATTTTTCAGAGTAACAAACTGGCACCCTAACCACCTCCAATGGTGCCCAGTGAGGTGTTCATTTGTTTTGTGTCATTACTGAGCCAAGGCTTGAGCCAGATTTGATGTGTTTCATTCATGGCAGTCCTTCTGCTCTTTGGAGCTGAACTTGTCCCATCCTGGGCCCTCAGCTGGCTCCTTTGCCCACACAGCCCCTGTTTATCCTTCGAATATGCCCAATTTGGCGATGCAGAGAGGACACCGTGCGTCCTCATCACTCGAACCATTCTTTCTTCTGTAAGGTTTAGTCCCGTCTGCTGTACAATTTTGTGGGTTGATTTTCTTCTTTTTAATCTGAGGGGTCCAGCTCCTTCCCCATGCCCCTCCGTGTGAAGCAATGCTTCCTTCAGCATTGGAGCCTGCCCTCGCCGAGTGTCTGTGGCCCAGGGTAGGATCCCATGAGCTTAGCTGTGGGAGCTGAAATGTGGGCCGCACCCCAAGGGCCTGCGTGGGCTCCCATCCAGGGGCTTCACCCACCACCCTGCTCTGGTTTGGGAGGGCGTTGTTCTGGGAGCACCAGTCAGTTGCTCATCAACAAACCATGGGGCATGGAGACGCCACCGTGAACACGTGTGGTGGGTCCTGCCCTGTGTGCTTGACCTTGATGGAGAAATGTGCCGGAACAACCAGGCAGGGCTCTGGTGGGCCCTGTGCAGAGGTGGGAGCTCTGTGTGGTGGTCTGGGCAGCCAGGGCAGCTCCTTGAGGAGGATGAGGTGACTGAGCTCCCACTGAGGGACCAGCAGGGTGGAGGCTGGAAAGGCGGGCCGGCAGCTCGGGGTCTCCTGGGCACATGGCTTGGGCCACAGGAGGGACGGGAGCCCGGCCGGGGTCCCAAGATCTTCTACAGCAACCTCTGGCTGATGGAGCCGACCAGGGCTGGAGCTGGGGTGGCCAGTGGCCTCGTGACAGAGGTGCAGGTGAGCCGAGATGCCACAAGGTGCTGAGTCTGGTGTGCGTGCCGAGGGCAAGCTGGTGGGGTTTGCTGAGGGCCTTGGTGGGTGCGCAGGATGGCGGTGGTGACAGCGAGGGCCAGCGCCTTTTTCTGGGAAAAAGAAGATGGATGATGGGCCAGAGAGGAACGGTTTGGTTTGATCACTTCAAGTGTCTTGATCAGCCACTTGGACGTGTTGAGGAGGCAGCTGGACAGGGTCTGGAGCCACGGTGAAGGTCGATGGCCGGGCAAGGCCACGTGGCTGCCCCTAATGAGCCCCCGTGGTAGTGGGTAGACGCGGAGCATCGAAGGGTCAGTCTGAGCCCCAGGTCCTCACAGTGGAGGCCCTGTCTGTCCTGCCAGCTGTTTGGGCAGACCCCAGCATCCTCCAATTTTACCCAATAACGCAGTCCCCCCTGCGCCATCCCCCACCCTGAGCCTCCCCGGCTCCCCCAGCACAGAGCAGGTGCTGGCCTCTCAGGGCAGGGACAAGACCCAAGTAAGCCCGGGTCCCCTGTGCCAGGCCAGGGTGTGAAGGCCACTGCCTCACAGGCCAGACCCTGCCCTCAGGGAGCTCCTAGCCCATGATGGTCGGCTTGGTTTGGTGAGGCTGCAGCCCCAACATCCCACCAAGCCCTCGCTAGGTGCTGTGTGGGGTGCGCTGCAGGTGTGGTTAACATCACCATCGGTCAGCTTTCAGTGAAGGAGATGACCCTCCCTAATATGCTGGGCCTCTTCTAACCAGGGCAGGGCCTGACGGGCAACACAGGCTTCCCAGAGAAGAAATTCTGTCTGAAGATGGCAGTGTCAGCCACCACCCGTTTCCAGTCTGTTGCTTACTCAGACGTGCCCAGCTGGACCCCACAATTGCATAAGCCAGTTCTGTGAAATCAATGTCTTAATGTGCAGGCCTCTCCCAGCGGTCCCATTTTTCTGGAGAACTGTGGCTGGCACAGGGTCCAGGGGTGCAGAAGAGAGTGAAACACCCTGGGGTCTGGAGGTTCAGACAGGACCCGTCATTCTGAGACCCTCAGATCAGGCAGCAGGAGGGGCACAGGGTCCTTGGCAGAGGGGACACCCCTCTCCCCCGCAGGCGTCTGGAAGGCCCCACCACCTGAGGGTCTCTGCTGCTGGTGGCAGTGCGGATGCCAGATGGGACTCTCATCTGTGTTTCCCAGGACGTGGAGCATTTATCTTGGGGACTTTCTGAAGGATGTGTGACAGAGGAGGGGTGTGTTTACACGGGGTCCCGTGTCCTAATCAATGCTGAACAGAACTGTTTTGATTTTCCAGTTACAGGAAGGACAATAAGTGAGACAGCAGAAGCAGGGCAAAGGCTCTAATTGATGGAGAAGCTATGAGGAGTCGATTCCAAGTCATCAATTCTCTGGGTGGAGGATCATGGCCTGGGGGCCGTTAGTGTTGGTGCCATTCCTAGCAAAGAGGAGGTCGGTACCAAAGCCAAGGTGGACTGGCCCCAGACTGCCACCCAGTGACAGGCCAGGCCTGCTGACGTGCACACTCAGAGGAGTTCACACTCAGACGAGTGCACACACAGAGGAGCTGACACTCAGACGAGCGCACACTCAGAGGAGCTCACACTCAGATGAGCGCACACTCAGAGGAGCTCACACTCAGAGGAGCACACACTCAGACAAGCACGCACTCAGAGGAGCACACAGTCAGAGGAGTGCACACTCAGAGGATCTCACACTCAGAGGAGTGCACACTCAGAGAAGCGCACTCAGAGGAGCGCACACTCACACAGACCCTGGTTTGACCCCCTGGCTTTGTTCTGTCCTCTTCAGGGCATAGTGGGATGGCAGCAGCCTTCTGACAGGGCTGCCAGGACAGAAGGAGGGTGGGATCCAGGCGCCCAGGGGCATCTGATGTGGGGCTCTGGATCTGAGTGGGCCTGGCACAGGGGCTGGGTCTCAGAAGGGAGGAGGCTGGGACATGAGGCCTCTTCCTCACCAGCCTGTGCTTTGTGGGTCTTCCTCTGCCCTGGGCGCTGCCTGCCCTCCTACTCTCCTCTGCTTCCTCATGTCCCGGCCCCTACCCCTTGGGGCCCCAGCCCAGGCTTTCCAGGGCAGCCCCTTTTCCCGAGCTCCAGGCTCTTCTGAGCGTCCCGAAGCCCAGAACCCCACTTCCAGCCCACACATCCCAAGAGACCCCTGGGTCCTCTGACAGCCCCTCCCCAGTCTGGGCGGTGTTGCCACACAGACGCTGATACCTCCCTGCCTCTCTCACCTCTGCTTTGACCAGCACTGGCCCCATGTGCTGAGACCCTCGACCGTGCCTGTGTGGGCCCTGCCTGGGGCTCCCCCAACAGCCAGGCCACCCCCATCTCCTTGCCACACTCCTAACACTCCGAGTGATGGCTCCACCCTCTTCGCCTTGGGCTTAAGTACGCTGAAGTCAGCCCCAGGCTCTTCCACAGTGCACTGTCCTCAGGGCTGGCCTCGCCTGTGTGCTGAGGTCTCACCCGGAGCTCCTCCGCTGTTCCGAGGGCAGGGCGGGGGCTGCAGAGCAAGCTAGACAAAGGAGGGCTGGGGAGCCCTCCGCGTCCGCTCCTCCTATCCCACCTGGGGTTGCAGGGTCTGGTGAGATGGGTCCTGCCCTGCGTGGACACACGGGTAGCCCCCTGGCTCCATCACTGCAACGCCTCAACCCGTCTGCTCGGTGCGTGTGGGTCAGGTGCCCAGAACGCGGGTCCCCAGGAGCCCCAGCCAGGGGGGCTTGGTAGCCCGTGGCGCCTGCTGCTGGGGCGTGAGGCACCATCCTTAGAGGACCTGGGGTCCTGGGAGAGGCTTTGTTAAGCCCGGGCTTACAGCGGACAAGAGCCTGCACAGAGCCTTGGGTGCAGAGCTGACTGCTTCCCTGGCTGCCTGCCCAGGGCCAGAGCCTAAAGAGTGGGCTGGTTAGGGTGAGTCTTCTTGTAAATGACATCTCCACACAACTGGGGAGCTACAAACAGGAGGCCACACGCCTGGCTTTTTTATTACAGTTGCCAGGAATAAGAGAAGGCCTTGGGAGTTGGGCCCTGGTTTGATGGGGATCGCAAATCCCCGTCTCTCCTTTAAGTGTCTGTCCCATTAAAAGCAAAATGCAGCTCCTCCCACACCCTGCAGGCTGATCTGGGCTGGGCCTGGCTCCCCCAAGCCTCCAGGCCTGTCTCCCACCTTCCTCCCTCCCGTTCTGTCAGGGGGCTTGGGTTTGGCCCCCCGATGGTGGTCAGGTTGCAGGAGACTGGAGCCCAACGTGGCCCAACTGAGCTGAGGCCTGGCCCGGGGAGCAGTGTTCTCGGCAGGCCTGTGGTCAGAGGGTGAGAGGAGCACGCCGGCACACAGGGAGTGGGGGGTTGGGGAAAAGGGAGGGACCCGCCTGTGGGGGTCCCCGGAGTCTTCCCGGAGGAGGAGGAGAGGAGCCGTGAGGGGGAGGAGGGAGGCGCCTTGGCCTCCACTCCCCGTGGGAAGCTGGGTCCTGCCCCTGGAGTTCTCCGCCATGGTGGAGAGGGGGCCGGAGTGGAGGCGGGGAGAGAGGAAGCCCCACTCTGGGTCCAAGCCAGGGGGTTGAGTGGGGGCATCAAAACCCCAGGTGGAGATGGGACCTGCCAGTGTTGTGCGAGGTCTGCTGGCACCAGGGGAGGGTCCGCCGGCCCTGGGCAGGGAGACAGCAGGCCCGCGAGTGGGGCCAAGTTCCTCTTCTCCCGTGGTGCCAGGTGGGGGAACAGGCCAGTGGGGGAGGTTGCAGACCCCAGGGTCCTCCGGAATATTGTGAAGGGCTCTGCCTGGGCTCCTGTGGAGGGTTCAGGGACCTCAGTCTGGAGTGTGTAGTAGTCCGAGGCAGAGGCCTCAGTGGGGCCTGGGGCGAGGACGAGGGGCTCAGACGGAGGGACCACGCACTGGGACCCTCAGGGCACAGCCCACCAAGTCCCCGGCAGGAGCAGGCAGGGGCCCTGAGCTCTGGGAAAGGGGAGGGAGCCAGCGTCCCCAGCGACTTTGGGCTTTGACTGGGCTGCAGGTGCCCAAAGATGCTGAGTTGGACCCAAGGGGTCGACTTTGGTCTCCGGTTCCTCTCCTGGGCGTCGTGAGGTCCCTTTTCTGCCGTCAGCGGTTGGGGGTGAGAGCTGGTGGACAGGTGTAGAAACGAGGGTGGGTGCGAGTCCCCCTGTGGTCAGACTGTCCTGCTCCTCCCCCACCCCTAGGCCGGGACAAGGGGACTCCGTGGCTGGGATCAGAGGGTGGAAGCTGGGGGCTCTGGGACTGGTTAGGAACTCGCACCCAGAACCTGGCTGGCACAGGCTTAAATCCCAGCCTGGCCTCCCCTCCCTCCTTCCGGGGCCCGGGCACAATCTGTCACCTCCATGCACCTCGTCTCTTGCACAAGGGAGCACTGGAAGGGTTGTAGTGAACACCCAGCCTTAGGATACAGCACTGCCATTTCCTTGACTTCCTCCTCAGAGTACAGGGCAGGAAGAGAAAGGTTTTGAGCAGATAGCAATTTCCAGTGGGCCCCGTCGGCTGAGCTCTGGTCCCACCTCACTCTCCCAGGTGCCCACACCATCCTGATGGTCTGGACACCCACGGGGCCCTGTCTAAGGCCCGTGGACCTCTTCCCTCCTTGGTGGGGGTAGGAGGGGGTCTCTGCAGCTCTTTCTGGGCAGCATGGAGTTTCAGAATCTTGGGGTTTCAGAATCACGGGGCCAGTGGGAGCCCGGTTTGCCCGTGGAACAGACTTTGGGCAGCCCCTCTGCCTGAGCCTGATTCCTCATCGGTTTGGGGATTTCCCTGGACTTCCCTGCGTTTCCTTGTGAGGACCAGGTGTGGACAGAGCAGGTGCTCGGGAGGGAGGGCTGCTCCTGTTTCCTGCCCTCGCCTTCTCAGCTCGGCCAGCTCTGAGGACATGGCTGGACGCAGCAGGTGCTCAGGGAATACTGGCTGAGTGAGTGAATGTACAATTGTCGGTTTGGTATAAATGGTACTAAATAAGGCTAAGTGCTGCCATTTTTGGCTTTGGAGGCCTAGGGTTAATTGGCTCCTGCCCAGCCACCCTCAGCTCCGTCCACGTTTGGCACTGCTTGGGGTCAGGGGTTCTAAGGGTGCCCCATGACTTGGAACTTCATGTCCGATGGTAGGTTTTGGCCAGGGAGGCTTTGGCTTGCCCCGGTCCGTGCACCACCCTCCATCTCTGTGACTCTGTGCCAAGCCCTGCTGGGGTGGGCTCAGGATGCAGCTTCCTTGAAGATGCTCCTGCAGCTCCCAGATGTCCTCTGGTGAAGGGCATTGGAGCCACGTGAGCCTCGGGCCCTCTCACCAGGGTGAGCACGTGTCCTGGTGTACGTCCAGGCACGAGTGTTATTCGAGCCCCCTGAAGAGTGTGTGAGCTGGCCTGTTGGGTAGTATATATGATCCCCACTTCTTATTATCGTCTGGCTGAAGGATGCCTCCCAGGGCATCCCATCACGAGCACCACCACCATCACCACAGGTGGTTCCCAAGGCCCTCTGGTGCATGGGAAGTCTCTGAGGCACACAAAGCAGAGTGAACCTGCCTGGCGAGTCCTCACTGGGGGCCCCTCCTCTTCTCCCTCCCCCACTTATGTCTCCTGTGTGTCCCTGGGGAGCCCAACAAGTCTTTGACACATCTCAAGCCCCCATCACTTGGAAAGGGAGCCTGGAGCCCAAGGAGGTTGAGGGGTAGGGTGTACCCATCTGTGTTCTGTGACCCTGAAAGGACAGGAAGGTGTGCCTTATGCCCCCCTTCTTTTGGAGAGAAGGATAACTTCTTGATGGCATTCAAACTGAAAATGGATGCCAACGGAAACATGAGTGCCAAGAGACTGTGAGCACGATGCTGTCACACATCTTCATGGCCGCAGCAACCAGAGGTTTTGCTCTTTGTTTAACTTTTCCCCACTAAATGCATCACCACCATTACCACTATCACCACCGTCATCATCATCACCTCACATCATCATCATCACTACTGCCATCACCATCATCACCATCACCACCACCAACACCACCACCATCAACACCATGATCACATCATCATCACCACCATTCTCCTCATCATCCCCATCACGTCATCACCACTGTCATCATCACCATCACTACCACCATCACCTTTATCATCACTAGCACCACCATCACCTCCATCCTCACTGTCACCACAGTCATCACCACCATCCTCATCACCATCACCTTCATCATATCACATTACCATCATCATCATCGTCACATCATCATCACCACCATCATTATCACCATCACCACCACCATCACCACCATTTTCACATCATCTTCACATCACATCATCATCACCAACATCATCACCATCACTACCACCATCACCATCATCATCATCACCACCACCATTGCCACCATTGCCACCATTATCACCATATCATCACCATCACTACCACCATCACCATTGTCATCACAATCACCATCATCATCATCTCACATTAGCATCATCATCACCATCATCATTACCATCACCATCATTACATCATAATCACCATAATGACCACCACCATCGTCGTCACCATCACCACCACCACATCACTATCACCACCATCGTCCTCACCACCACCATCATCTTCTCACCATGTCATCATTACCACCATCATTATTATCATCATAATCACCACTACCACCATCAACAGTACCCTATTATTATCACCATCACATCACTATCACCACCATCGTCCTCACCACCATCATCTTCTCACCATGTCATTATCACCATCATTATTATCATCATCACCACTACCACCATCAACAGTACCCTATTATCGTCACCATCACCACCATCATGATCATGATAATCATCATCACCATCACCATCATCACTACCAGCAACACCAGCATTACTACCACCACCACCATTGCCACCATCACCACCATTATGACCATCATGATCACTATCAATACCACCATCACCACTGTCATCACTATCACCACTGCTGTTGCCACCATCACAACCATTATCACATCAACATCACCACCATCCCCATCACCATCACCATCATTACCTCACATTATCATTATCATCACCATCACCATCATCATTACCATTATCTGCATCACCATTATCACCATCATCACATCACCATCACCACCACCATCATCATTGTCACCATCACTACCATCATAATCACCATACCCACCATTATCACCATCATTCCCACTATCAACTCTATCATCACAAGCACCACCACCATCACCACCATATCACCATCACCTCTGCTATCACCACCATCATCACCACCACAATCATCACCATCACATTTTTACCATCACCATCATCACCATCACCACCACCACCATCAACACCATCACCACCATTATCACATTGTCATCACCACCATTCTTATCGTCAACACTATTATCACTGTCACCACCATCATCACTACCACCATCACCATTATAATCATCACCACCATCGACACCATCACCACCACTATCACCATCATCATCATCACTAGCATCATCACCACCTTCATCAGCACCATCACCACCATCAACATTATTATCACCATTACCATCATTGTTTGACATCATCATTGTCATCATCACCATTATTACCATTATCAGTACCATCAGTATCACCATCACCACCATCATTTCATCACCATCACCACCATAATCTCACATTATCATTGTCACCATCATCACCACCACCAACAGCACTATCATCACATCACTATCACCACCACCATTATTACCATTATCATCATCACTATCATCATCATTATCATCACCATCACGATCATCGTCACCAACACAATCACTACCACAGTCATCACCATTACTATCATTACTATCATCACCCCATCAGGTGATGGTGATGCCTGATGGCAATGATGATAAAGCTTGATCAAGCATATCAAGTGTTTTTTGCATGCTAGATGCTTTGCACACTTCATTTCTTACCCTAATACAACCCAGACAGAGAAGTGCTATTCCCATTTTACAAATAAGGAAACTCAGGAGAGTAAAGTGCTCAAGGTCACACAGCTTTTCAGTGGAGGAATTTGGATTTGGATGCACATATGTTTCCTTGATCAAAAAGCATAGCTTCCCTGGCCCTGTAGCCTGTTCTGGGGCAGGAGTGCTTGAGCCCCTGCTCTTCATGTTATCCTACCATCATCAGTAGTGTAATGCTATGTTACCTTCCCTCCACTATCGAGAGGGAAGTGGGAGGTGCCAATGTGGGGACACCATTACAGATGTGGCTGCAGAGGTGCGGTGGGGGTCTTTGTGTGCTCTAGCAAGGATGAATGACCTCCTTGGAGACAGAGAGAGGGGAGTGGGAAGCCTTCTACCTCTGACACCTCTCCCTAGTAAAGGAGGCATGAATAATCTGATTGCTCAAACTGTAATCTACAAAATGCCAATTGGGCCTTGTCGACCAATGGGTGGGGCTGTGATTTGAAAGGTCACACATATGCATGGGTGCTCTCTCTTTTTCCCTCTCTGTGTGGCAGTGGTATGGGTGAGGGGACTGTCCTCTCTAAAGTCACATCTGCAGGCTGTACAGGAAGCATGGTGTTGGTATCTGCTTCTGGGGAGGCCTCAGGAAGCTTCCAGTCATGGTGGAGGGCAAAGGAGGAGCAGGTACATCACATGCCAGAAGAACAGAAAGACAGAGAGAATGGAGAGGAGGTGTCACACACTTTTAAATGACCAGATCTCATGTGAACTCAGAGGGAGAGTTCACTCATCACCAGGGTGAGAGTCCAGGCCATTCATGAGGGATCCATCCCCATGTTCCAACCCCTCCCACCAGGCCCCATCTCCAACTCCAACCTTAGGTATTACAATTCAATTTGAGATTTGGGCAGGACAAATATCTAAACTATATCAAAGATATACATTGGTTCAGCCCGAAAAGGTAGGAAATCTCAAAACAGAGGCTTACAAGTTTTACTAGTTTGTTTTCACACTGCTATGAAGAATTACCCAAGACTGGGAAATTTATAAAGGAAAGAGGTTTAATTGACTCACAGTTCTGCATGGCTGAAGGGGGCCTCAGGAAACTTACAATCATGGCAGAAGGGGAAGCAAACACATCCTTCTTCACATGGCAGCATGAGAGAGAAGTGCCAGCAGGGGAAATGCTAGACACTTATAATACCATCAGATCTTGTGAGGCTCACTCACTATCATGAGAACGTCATGAGGAAACTGCCCCCACGATCTCATCACCTCCCATGAGGTCCCTCCCCCAACATGTGGGGATTACAATTCAAATTACAATTCAAGATGAGATTTGGGTGGGGACAGAGAACTAGACCATATCATTCCAGCCCTGACTCCTCCCGAATCTCATTTTCTCACATTTCAAAACACAATTATGCCTTCCCAACAGTTCACCAAAGTCTTAACTCATTTCAGCATTAACTCAAAAGTCCAAGTCCATAGTCTCAACTGAGACAAGGCAGGTCCCTTCTGCCTATGAGCCTGTGAAATCAAAAGCAAGTTAGTCACTTCCTAGATACAGGGTGGGTACAGGCATTGGGTAAATACATTCATTCCAAATGGGAGAAATTGGCCAAAACAAGGGGCTGCAGGCCCATGCAAGTCTGAAATCCAGTAGGGCAGTCATTAAACCTTAAAGTTCCAAAATGATCTCCTTTGGCTCTATGTCTCACATCCAGGTCACGCTGACACAAGAGGTGGACTCCCACAGCCTTGGGGAGCTCTGCCTCTGTGGCTTTGCTGGGTAGAGCCTCCCTCCTGGCTGCTTTCATGGGCTGGTGTTGAGTGTCTGTGGCTTTTCCAGGTATATGGTGCAAGCTGTTGGGTGGATCTACCATTCTGGAGTCTGGAGGACAGTGGCCCTCTTCTCACAGCTCCACTAGGCAGTGCCCCAGCGGGGACTTTATGTGGGGGCTCCAAACCCACATTTCCCTTCTGCACTGCCCTAGCAGAGGTTCTCCGTGAGGGCTCTGCCCCCACAGCAAACTTTTGCCTGGACATCCAGGCATTTCCACACATCCCCTGAAACCTAGGTAGAGGTTTCCAAACATCAATTCTTGACTTCTGTGTACCCACAGGACAAATACCACATGGAAGCTGCCAAGGCTTGAGGCTTGAAACAATGGCCTGAGCTGTACCTTGGCCCCTCTTAGTTATGGCTCAGGTGGCTTGGATGCAGGGCACCAAGTCCTAGGCTGCACACGGCAGGGGGCCCTGGACCAAGCCCATGAAACCATTTTTTCCTCCTAGGTCTCCAAAACAATTTTTTGCTCCTAGCCTTCCAGGCCTGTGATGGGAGGGGCCGCCATGAAGGTCTTTAACATGCCCTGGAGACATTTTCTCCATTGTCTTGGAAATTAATATTCGGCTCCTTGTTATACAAATTTCTGCAGCCAGCTTGAATTTCTCCCCAGAAAATGGGGTTTTCTTTTCTACTGCATCATCTGGCTGCAAGTTTTCCAAACTTTAATGCTCTGTCACCTCTTGAACACTTTGCTGCTTAGAAATTTCTTCCTCCAGACACCCTAAATCATCTCTCTCAAGTTCAGAGTTCCACAGAGCTCCAGGGCAGGGGCAAAATGCCACCAGTCTCTTTGCTAAAACATAGCAAGAGTCACCTTTACTCCACTTCCCAACAAGTTCCTCATCTCCATCTGAGACCACCTCAGCCTAGACTTCATTGTCCATATCACTATCAGCATTCTATTCAAAGCTATCCAGCAAGTCTTTAGGAAGTTCCAAACTTTTCCACATTTTTCTTCTTCTTCTGAACCCTCCAAACTGTTGCAACCCCTGCCAGCTGGCCAGTTCCAACATCACTTTTATATTTTCAGGTATCCTTCTAGCAGTGCCCCAATCCTGGTACCAATTTACTGTATTAGTTCATTTTCACACTACTGTAAGAATTACCCAAGACTGGGTAATTTATAAAGGGAAGAAGTTTAATTGACTCACAGTTCTGTATGCCTGGGGAGATCTCAGGAAACTTAAAATCATGGTGGGAGGGGAAGCAAACACATCCTTCTTCACATGGTGGCAGGAGAGAGAAGTGCCATCAGGGGAAATGCCAGACACTTATAAAATCTGGTGAGACTCACTCACTATCAAAAGAACATCATGGGGGAACCTGCCCCATGATCTAATCACCTCCCACGAGGTCCCTCACCCAACATATGGGGATTACAATTTGAATTACAATTCAAGATAAGATTTGGGTGGGAACACAAAGCCAGACAATATCACGAGTCATAGGTAGATTCAGAGATCCTTTAATCTGCAATTGATTAAAGGAATAAAACTTTGTCAAAAACCAGAAAGGAGTGTTTAAGATAAGGATGGTATGTCAGTCAGCCACAATATGCCCTGCTTAGCAGGATCAATGGCCCGCAGGTGGGACTTACCCTTGCCTGGCGTAGCTTTTGAGACCTGTTTATAGTTTGATATCTTATTCCCATGAAGAGTCTGTTCTGCCAGTCATGTGATCTCCAGATCTCCAATGATCTCTAATGACCTCTAATGTTTAGGCACCAACATTAATGCCGGTCAGTTGTGGCTACACTCTAAAAAGGAGAAACTAAAACGGGGTGAGTTCCACCTCCCTTTCCATCATGGCTGGGAGCCAAGTCTTTAAGGTTTTGCTGGGGTTCCCTTGGATAGAGGGGCTCCATTTATTTGGTGAGGAGCTTAGGATTTTATTTTTAGTTTACACTCTGTCCTCTCTGTTCTCTGTTTGTCCTCTCTGTTCCCTGCTTGTCCTCTCTGTTCTCTGTTTGTCCTCTCTGTTCCCTGCTTGTCCTCTCTGTTCCCATTTGTCCTCTCTGTTCCACGTTTGTCCTCTCTGGTCCATGTTTGTCCTCTCTGTTCTGTGGTTTGTCCTCTCTGGTCCATGTTTGTCCTCTCTGTTCCCTGTTTGTCCTCTCTGGTCTCTGTTTGTCTTCTCTGGTCCCTGTTTGTTCTCTCTGGTCTCTGTCTGTCCTCTCTGGTCCCTGTTGGTCCTCTCTGTTCTGTGTTTGCCCTCTCTGTTCTGTGTTTGCCCTTTCTGTTCCCAGTTTGCTCTCTCTGTTCCCTGTTTGTCCTCGCTGGTCCGTGTTTGCACTCTCTGTTCTGTGTTTGCTCTCTCTGTTCCCTGTTTGCCCTCTCTGTTCCCTGTTTGCCCTCTCAGCTGTGTATTTGTCATCTCTGTTCCGTGTTTGTTCCCTCTGTTCCCTGTGTCTGGTTCAGCTTCCATGCTTGCCCTGTGCTATGCAAATCCCACCCGGCCCTGTAAGACCAGTCCTCCTCTTTCTCCCTGACACTTCCTAGATCCTACTCAAGAGGTCTCCCATCTCGGCTCCTCTGGGTGACTTTGCTTGTTTCCTCTCCCTCTCCAGCTCAGCCCCCCATGGCCTAGACCAGGGCCCCCACCCCAGGGAGTCCCTGTGGCTGTTCCTTTCATTTCATCCAGCTGGGTGCACAGTGGCCCGCTCTGCCCATAGGGTGGCCCCAGGGTCCTGTCCAGTGAGGTCAGGGTCCCTGGGAAGTCATGGAGTGTAAGGCAGAACCCCTCCCTGAGTCCAGGTGGCCCAGTAGAAGGGGGCTTGGAGGAAAGTGTGGGGGCTCTGGGGCCTTTAAGCCTCAGCTCCCTGCCTGGCAGGAGAGCCTTCCCCAGTGGTGTCTGACTTCTCCTCCATCACAGGGGACTAAACATCCTCTCCTGGCAGCGCTCTGGGGGGTGGTGAGTGACTGGGGGGGCCTGGCTGAGCAGCCTATCCTCCCCTAACAATGAGCCACATTGTCCTTCCCACAGGAGGGGCTCATGCAGGGCTGGGCCACCAGGACCCCAACATCTGCCCAGCTGGCCTGTGTGAGGTTCCTTCCGATCTGTCCTCAGCCTGGTGGAGAGGGGAGGAGGATGGAGACGGGGGAGGGAGGAGAGAGGGAGAGGAAGGACACTTTGGCCTCTGGAGGTCCTTCTGCCATGGATGCAGGTGGCTGAGGGGACCTTAAGGCCACACAGGAGAAGCTGCGGGCTGGTGCCCAGGCCTGGCTGGCAGGACCTGTGCCCAGCCCCCGGGACCTCCCAGCCCTTTCCGAGCCCACACAGTCTGTGTCAGCCACCAGAGCCCCCACCCACACTCACGACCATTGTTAATTAAGACTGTCTGCATTATAGGGCTAATTAACAATTAGCATAAACATAATTAGCCAGCGCTGACATTTAACTCATTACATTGTTTAAATAATTTTCGGAAATTGCCCCAGCGGCATTCTGTCAGCTCGCAATAAAGGCGCCACTTTGTCATGTAAATTAAATGACATTTGTGTTGTTGCTGTCCCACCGTGGGAGACGGTCGGCCACATCCCACCCTCGAGGCCTCCCGGTGCGATCTGGCACTCGTCCTGGTCCTGCCCCCACCCCCAACTGGTGGCGAGGTGGTGCAGCGGGAGCCCCCAGGCCGGGCTGCCAAGAGAACTCCAGGCCAGAGGACAGACCCGGGCTAGCCCTGCAGTCCCGGCCTCTGCCCCCCAGGACCCTGGCAAAGGAAGTTCCTGCAACCAGTGGGCAGCGTGGATCCCAGTCTCAGGACTGAGGGAGATCCTGGGTGTCGGAGAACGAGGAACCGAGGTCTGGGCCTGGAGAAGCCTGTGGACTCCACTTCCAGTCAGTTCCAGGCATCAGTGACAACCAGGACGTCCTGGACACCTGGCCGAGTGGCTTCTCCCTCAACCTCCCATGCGGACCCCCATCTCTGAGTGGCCCTGGGGCTGGGGTCCTGGAGGAGGTGGCCGTCACCTGTGGGGAGCTGCCCAGCCAGCCCCGCCCTGCTCTGGGGAGTCCTGGTCAGCAAGGGACCCTGATGACTAGGCCCTACGGCGACCCCCTCAGCCCCAACTTCCAGCAGCCCCTTCCTCTCCCGCAACTCCCCACCACCTTATGTCCCCGACTTCAACCCAGACACGCAGCCCCAGGATCCCTGGCTATCCCTGGGGTGGGGACAGCCCGCAGCCCAGCCAGTAATGGGCACAGAGCTGATCCAGGGGCACGAACATCAAGGTGCTTCCCCTTAACCCTGCCACTGAGTTCACCTCCACAGCGTTCACACTGACTGACTCTCCTCTCTCCCCGACGTCTGCACCCCAGGGCCCCAAATGCCCCCCATCAGACAAGGCCGACTTGGGGCAGCTGGAGGTTGGGTCTGAGCTCAGAAATGCTTCCCACTGTCTCTGGCTCTGGCCAGCCAGATGGGCACTCACGTTCACTCACTCAGCTACTCCTTCCTTCCCACCTTCCTTCCCTCCTCCCTCCTTGTTTTGTTAGTTCTCTCATTCATTCATTCATTCATCCATTCTCTCATTCCTTCCTATGTACTTTTTTTTTTTTTTTTTGAGACTGAGTGTTGCTCTCTCACCCAGGCTGGAGTGCAGTGGTGCAGTCTCGGCTCACTGCAACCTCCACCTCCCGGGTTCAAGCAATTCTCCTGCCTCAGCCTCCTGAGTAGCTGGGATTACAGGCATGCACCACCATGCCCAGCTAATTTTTGTATTTTTAGTAGAAACAGGGTTTCACCATGTTGGCAAGGCTGGTCTTGAACTCCTGACCTGAGGTGATCTGCTTGCCTCGGCCTCCCAAAGTGCTGGGATTATAGGCCTGAGCCACCGCACCCGGCCCCTTTGTGCTTTTGTTCAACCAATGGACAGCAGCTGTGGGCAGGGCTCAGCACAGCCCCCAGGCCTCCCTACCACTTGATCCTGACTGCCTGGGTGGGAGCCTTGCCTCACCTCCAGGGACAGGCACTGGTCAGCACTGGTTCCACCTGCCCCCCAGATGTCCTCTGCTGTGTTCATCCCGCAAGGCAGGCCTGGCCTTGCTCTGTGAGGTGGCAGGACGCCCTTTGCTGTGGGGCTCTGGGTGTCCACCTACTCTGGGTTGGGCCAGGTGAGCCCCAAGGCCCCTCTCACAGAAGGTGTGTGGACCCTTGACAAGGCCAAACGGGTCTCCCACCACCTACTCCCACTGGTAAGTACCCGCTGAGGGAATAGAGAAGGCAAACAGGGAACAGAGAAGGTGAACAGAGAACAGAGAGGGTGAACAGAGGGAACAGAGAGGGTGAACAGAGAACAGAGGATGAACAGAGGGTGAACAAGGAACAGAGAGGGTGAACAGGGGACAGAGAGGGTGAACAGGGAACAGAGGGTGAACAGAGCGGGTGCTGCTCTGTTGCCCATGACAGCGACGAGGCAGCGTCTGAGAGTCTCCAGCCCTGAGAATGATGATCAGAGCCTCAGATGAAGTCTGAAACTCCAGACGTGGCGGCCCACCACCCCCCTCCTTCCCCGTGCTTCCCAGACAGGGCAGAGTGGCCCACAGTGCCCGGGACGGCTAAATCAAATGGCCCCGAGAGTTGTGGGGCCGGTTCTGGCTGTTAAGTGCTTGTCAGCGCCCACAGGCCCTCTCACGACTCTATAAAATTCCCAAGAATTATAGGAGTGCCAGGGTCACATAATTCACTGCACAGTAGATTTCACCTGGCGGCCAGTAATTCATATTTGTGGCGACAATATTGTTTTCCACTTTCTAAGAGTTATCGCCGTGTCTCCCTTCCAGGTCACTATGGATATCAAAAATCAATTTGGAAAGATGGATACTGTCAGGGAATAAAGCATGAAGGCAGAGGCTGCCCTCTCGCCTCCATCCGTGCTCCTGAACCTTGGCGGGGGGCTCTGATTGCTTGCCGGGACTTGACTGGGAAATCGCCAGGGATTGTTCGCTTGCAAGGGTCAACTTCTCCCAGGAGGCTTCCCTCCCGCCCCGCCTCCCTCCAGTCCCAGCCTGCGCGATGCCGGCGGCCTCTGCATCCCGGTCCTGAGCACACTGGGGGTGACCTGACCTCGGTCTGTGCCCGGGGGGATCCGGGGGTCTTTGGAGGCTGCTCTCCGACTCCAAGTGGGGGGAGAAGCTGCTACCCAGGACCCCACTGAGCTGGCCCGAGGCTACCGGGCAGCCCCCAGTGGCCACCCACTGGGCTTCATGATACTGGATGTGGATTAAGGAATATTGATGTTTGCTCGTCACGGAGGACACACTGTGCACGTGTGGGGTCTCCAGAGGAAGGAGAGGCCCAGTCCCTGTGCTCAGGGCCCAGGTGCACACACACGTTGTCCCCCAGCCAGGGAAGGCCCCGAGACACTGTGTTCCAGCCACAGGGAGAGAACAGAATGTGCGCCATGTCCTATGCTGCTCCCGTCACTCCTGAGCCCGTCCCAGCCCAGAGGAGCCACACTCAGGGGAGGCGGGTGTCAGATCAGAAAGCACTGGAGTCCCCTGCGAATGGAGCGTGAGAAGGGGCTTGAGGTTTGATGTTCCAGCCCTGGAGCTGGGGAAAAGGAAAGGAGGCTTGGAGAAGGACCCCCGCCCCCAGCATCCTCCAGCCAAGGGCTGGCGGCAGCGTTTCATTGAGACTGCAGAGTTATCACGTCGCCCCCCCACAAGCCCCGCGTGGGTCAGTGTCCAGCATCCGCAGAGGACAGCCTGGTGGGCGGCCCCCGTGGGGCTGTGTACACAGGCGGTGGGAGTGGATGGAGCGTGAGCCAGCCAGGGAGCCAAGGCCTCCACCAGTGTGGGGGGTGGTCGTCTGTGTGCTGGTGGCGGGCTATGCAGGCGTGTGTGGGGAGTGCAGGTGTGTGTGGGAGGGTGTCAGGTGTGTGGGCATGTGTTGCTGGTTGTGAACCTCCCAGGGGCTGTAAGCGTGTGTTTTGGCAGCTCTCTGAAGCCCCTTGTGTGGGCTCCACATTCTGCTTGCAGTTGGGGTCCTGGGAATAAGCCGGGCCTTGTGGCGGCCGTGCTGGCAGGGCCTGAGAGGGCTCCGGCAGGGCCCCCTGGGTCAGGAGCCCAGAGCTGTCCTTCCCTCCGGCTCTCAGAGGGGCCAGCTCCTGTAGCCTGCAGCCAAGGCCGCAGAGCCTCCCCCGTGGGCCCCCAGCCTTTTCTCTCCTCCCTGGCCGCCGGCTTCCTGCGTACGCTCCAGCCACGCTGACCTCATCCCTGCCTGCTTCGGGCCTCTGCACATGCCATCTGCAGGGAGCACGAGACCCACAGCTGTGTGGAGCTCACTGCTCCCTTGCTGCGGCCTCAGCTCCAAGTCACTTCCTCAAAGTGGCCCCCATGCCGACCGAGCTGAACCGTTGCCCCCTCCTCGCCAGGCAGCCTGCCCTCTCCCGTCTGTGCCCCTCTCTCCCACCAGATTTCTGCTGCAGGAAGGCAGCGACTCAGTGCCCACAAAGCTTCATGAAATAAGTGCAGGAGTGGGGCTGGGGTCCCAGCTTTGTCTGGGCCTGGGTTCAAACCCAAGGATCTCTGTTGGAGGCAGTTTCTGGAAACCCAAGGTCCAGTCGGCGCGTACCTGATTCACCACTGTCGGTCTCTGGACCCCTGTGCTGTGGGCAGGCCCTGGGGGGTGGCTGGTGGTTGTGGGGTGCACCGTGTCCCCAGGCATCCCCAAGGGAGGGGGCAGCCGCAGCCCCCTGACCCCGTGGCCGACACGGCTCCCCCACCCCTGGTCCTCCTGCTGCCAGGCCTTCTGCCCCCTCCTACCTCGGGTGTCCCCTCCCCAGCCCCTGCCCTCCCTCCCCGGAGGGCCCCTCAGGCCCCTCACTCCTGCCACTGCCTCTGCAGGATCCAGTGTTCCCCCAGCCAACCCGAGAAGACCAGAAGGCCCTGGGAGACCCGAGGGAATGTGGGTGAAGGTTGGGATTTCTGCACTGTGCAGGACGGGGAGACACAGAGGCCCCGGAGTGCGGCTCAGGGGGCGCCGGCAGCCCCACAGCGTCAGCAGGAAAGGAGGCCATGGACACCAGACTGCCTGGCTGCTCCTTCCCTCTTCTGGGCGTCTGATTGCCCAGGGTGGGAGAGGTGGACAGTTAATTAAAAAGCAGCTAATAGCGGCCCTGGGGTCGGCTGCGTGGGTGCTGGGGATATTGGCCCATGGATCACTGTCCTGTGATTGCTGCTCGTGCCCACCCCGAGGGGTGAGGGTCCCTCTGGCTGGTCAGCGCGCCGGCTGCCCCCGCACCCTGAAAGGAATTTAATTCAGGCTACATTTAATTAGGAAAAGAGGGCTTACGGAGGATCATGAAGTTGAAACCTCTTTTAAGAATGGAAATAAACTCTTTCCTGGTCCTCGGCAAGCCAGACAGAGACCCTCAAAGTCAGGTGTCATCGGGCACTGGGTGGCCCGTAGGCTGTGTGGGAGGAAGGCCAGAGCTGGGCTGTTAGACGTCCTTGGTGAACCTGCCGCTGAGTGGAGGTGAGGGGCGGGTGGCCTGGCCGAGCCCAACCCTTCGCCTTCTGATTGGTGGGCAGTGTCCCCGCAGGGCTGGCTGGGGCCACCTCCCTCTGCCAGCATCAGGTCCTTACGTATCAGGATCCGAGGGCCTCTGGTCCTGCTCCCCCCACCCTCTGGGACTCACCCGTTGAGCCCACACCAAGGGTGGCCTGTGTCAGCTCTGCCTCCGGCTGGACCCTGACGGACACAGGAATTGGCTGTCTCCTGTGGGTCACCAGGCTCCGTGCTGGGTCCCAGGGCACAGGCGGTTGACTCCAGCCCCTGCTGCAGGCTGTCTTGAAGAGGATTCTGAGCAGCTGGGCAGGGAGGGAGCTCTGAGCGGGAGTGGAGAGGCTGGGGTGGAAGGGCCTCAGGTGGAGCCTCTCCCAGGCTGCAGCGGCCTCCCCAGGTTGGTGCTGTGGTCCCCACCCCACCACATGGGACAAGCCCTGCAGGCCTGAGGCCAGGCCAGGGCCTAGCAGAAGCCAAAACTCACACACATGGGTGGAAATGTAACAGTTTACATCCAGAAGGGGCCTTTCCCTTAGGGGCTGTAGCCAGCGGGCAGCTCCTGCCTCACCCCTGCCCCTGCCCTCTAAGCCTGCTCTCTGGACTAAAGCCGGACCTGGCAGCCAGACTGTGCGGTGCTGGGGAGGAGACGCCGGGCACTGTGGTGGAGGGGGCCAGGAGAAGGGATGTCAGAGGGCGGGGAGATCTGTGGGGGCAGCCTCAAAAACAGCTGGACAGACAGCCCAGTGCAGGGGGAGCCGCCGAGGCCTTGAGGGAGGAGACTGGGCCAGAGCAAGGGGCAGGAGAGGGAGGATGCGTCCGTGGTGGTGACCAGTGAGAAGGTCCCTGAGTGGCCAGGCAGACTCGGCAGGGGTCCCCCAGAGTGGACAAGTGGGCGGGGCCGAGGTCTGTTTTGGGGACGAGGAGGACAGGGCAAGCCGCGCAACCTTGAGTATGAGGACCACTCTCATCTGTAGAAGGAGCACTGTGGTCCCTGCCTCACAGGGTGCTGAGGAGGAGGAGGCGGGGAGGAGCCCAGTGTGGCCTCAGCCCCTGGGGGCATTTCCAATCCTGCCTCTGGAGCTCGGCCACCCCGAGCTCGGCCCAGCACCCCAGCTCTGCTCCCTGCAGACTCTCCTGCCCTGGCTCCGTGCTGCTTTCTCTGTCTCTCCAGGCCCCATCCTCTAACTGTGGGCACCCGGTGCTGCCCTGACCCCTCCCTGCCCTGTCTGCACTCATCCCTCATCCACACATTGAGGACCCCAAGTGGGTGCCTCCAGCTCCACTGGCTCTTCTGAGCTTGATGACCCCCACGGCTGGCCCCTCACCCTCACGTCAGTGCCCCCCACCACCCCATCTTCACAGACCTCTCAGTCTCTGTCCTTGGCGTGTTTCTGGAATCCACTCATCTGCCCCCACGGCCTCCCAGGGCCTGGTCCCTGCACCTGCCACGGCCTCCTCGGGGCCCTCCCGCCCCACTGCCCACACCCTGTGCCAGCTCCTTCCCAGTTTGCTCCAAGTGCAGCAGGCCGGCCTCCCTGCCTTGGTGTGGGCTCTATGCCGTTCACTTCCTGGGCCCCAGAGCCCAGGACAGGACCCTGCAGGTGGGTGCCCCTCGGTGCCCACCCGCTAAGCAGTGAGCAAGGGCCCTGAAGCTTGTGTGGTCCAGAGAGTCCACGCGTGGCCACTGAGTGCCACCCTGGGACTAGGGACAGGATGTGGGGTGGCCGCTGGGGAGGGGAGTCCAGTGCTCCACAGGGACTTACTTCACCTTCCATGAAGTTAAAGGTGGAGTGGGGAAGGCAGAGGTCCCTGGCCGGGGTGGGGAGAGTGGGCAAAGGATACCGGCCCGGGTGGGGAGAACCCTTTCTGATCCTCCTCACAGACCCCAGGCCCCACCTGGGGGCTTCTGTCCATTGGCTTCGGAGCTGCAGCCTGAGACCTTGGCCTCACGGCCCACTCTGGAGTCCCCCCACTGCAGCCTCCCCCCTGCCCCACCTCCGCCACACACACAATCACCTCTGGGACTGTGGCTGTTTCCAAAATTCCTGGGACCCAGGGAGGCCACAGCACTGGAGGACAGCCACCAGCAGGTGGGAAGCGGGCTTGGCCGGGGCGCTGCCCGTCCCGCCCCATTGGTTCGTGTGCAAGCAGCTCTTGAGTCCACCCCTCCAGGGGCCTGCAAGTTCATTTGCTTGTCTTACACCTGGCAGCCCTGAGCACTGAGGCTTGATGAGGCTAAGGAGAGCTGGAGGAAGACCCTATTGATTTTAATTACCCAGAAACAGCCCACAGGGACAAAGGACTTTGGCAGTTTATTTAGCCAGGCTGCGCTGCGCTATTGTGGAAGGAGAGGTCAAATCAGCCGCCCTCATTATAACTATAATAATAAGGCCAAAACGCTGCTCGGGGCTGAGGGCCTTTTTTTTTTAAAGCAATAACCTCACTGCCCCACCCCCTCACGCCCCTCTTCAGCAGGCTTGAACAACCAGGAGCAATTACATGCTGTCGATATTAATTCAATTAAATCCAGGTTATTTATTGGGTATTATGGAAAAGGATTCTCTGGCCTTACAGAGATGGGGCATGACTGAGGGAGTGAGCAGGATACAGAAGCCTCAAGCAGAATTGACTGTGGGCATGGGCCAGAAAATCAGCACATCTCCAGGAGGAAGGTAGAGAGCGTAGGGCACTGTGGGGGCTGCTTGCGTGGCATTTCTTCTGGGACTGGTACAGAAGAAGATCAGAAGGTGTTTGAGTGTTTGAACCCTTCTAAAAAGTGGCCTTGTAGAAGACCGAGTGGCCTTCAGCAAGTCATTCAGTGCTTCTCTTTACCTTTGACTTTGCAGCTGAAAATTGGTTTTGGATGATGATGATGATGATGATGATGATGATGACAGTCATGGTGGTGATAAAGGAGATAACGAAAGGGTTGATGGCAGTGACAATAATGGTGATGATGATGGATGATTGTGAAGATAATGAAGAAGATCATCATTGGGTTGACAATAGTGACAATGGTGATGGTGATAATGGTGTTGATTGTGATGATGGTGGTGATGATGGTGATTATGGTGATGGTGATGATGATGGTGGTAGTGATGATGGTGGTGATGGTGATGATGATAGTGATGATGATGGTGGTGATGGTGGTGATGATAGTGATGATGGTGGTGATGGTGATGGTGGTGGTGGTGATGATAGTGATGATGGTGGTGATGGTGGTGATGATGGTGATGATGGTGGTGATGGTGGTGATTATGGTGATGATGATGGTGGTAGTGATGATGGTGAAGATGATGGTGATGGTAATGATGGTGGTGATGGTGATGATGATGGTGGTGATGGTGGTGATTATGATGATGGTGATGGTGGTGACCATGGTGATGACGATGATGGTAGGGATGATGGTGATAGTAATGGTGATGCTGCTGCTGATGGTGATGGTGATGGTGATGATGATGGTGAAGATGATGGTGATGGTGATGATGATGGTGACTGTGATGATGATGATGGTGATGGTGATGATGATGGTGACTGTGATGATGATGATGGTGATGGTGATAATGATGGTGGTGGTGATCGTGGTGACCATGGTGATGACAATGGTGGTGATGATTGTGATGATGGTAGGGATAATGATGATGATAGTGATGGTGATGGTGATGGTGATGCTACTGATGATGGTGATGATGATGATGATGGTGACGTTGATGATAATGGCGATGTTGATGATAATGGTGATGATTATGTTAATGCTGACAGTGATGATGCGATGCTGCTGCTGATGGTGGTGATGGTGGTGATAATGTTGGTGGGGATGGTGTGAATGATGATAATAATGATGGTGATAGTGATGATGGGGATGATGATAATGGTGATGATTATGGTGGTGATGATGGGTGAATATGAGCAATGATGATGTGAGAGATAATGGGAAAGACATCTGCCTTGCTGACATCAAACTGTTGCCATTAGATTAAATGGGATAATGGGTTTTTGAAACCTTGGTAGAGCACACAAGTACAAGAGGCTGTGAATGAAATAGGAGACACCAGGTGGAAGGCCACGGATGAGCATCAGTGCCTGTGGCAGGAGGGCCATAAAGGACCCCACATTTGGCGCCCAACCTTAAAGGGAGAGCAGGCCACCGGTACTGGTGACACCTTCCACTCTAGGCTGAGAATGCAGGGTCCAGAGGAGGCCCCCAGTGGCTGTCAATATCAAGGGACAGAGAAAAGTGCCTGCTGAGTGCCCACTAAGGGCTGGGCACTGTGCAAAGAGAGCTTTACCCATTTAGTCCTCACAATGACCCTTGGGGCTAGGGACATTTCAGGGACCTGGTTCTCCTGGATAATTCCTGTCCACACTGGCTGACCAGGCATCGTTTTTACACACCTGCTTCCACTCTTTCCTTTGGATGATAGAGCGCAGGCCACCTCAGCAGTGGGAGTTTCGCCCCTATTTTACAGATGCAAGCACTGAGGCTCCCAGAGGTGGAGGCTGTGGAGCTAGGTCTGCGGATGGCTCTAAGCGCTGCACCCTGCTCCTGCTGAGTTTCGGGCTGACTGGCAAGGGGGGAAGGTTCAGGGTCTTGGGACCCTGAAGGGCATTGCAGAGCCCTGCTGCCTGGCTTTGAGGAGGCCCCCAGGGTAGGGAGTGGAGATCACAGGGGGCTGGCCCCTGTTTGATGACATGGCTGGGACTGACATAAGATTCTCAGTGGATTCAAGTGACCTCTGAACATCAGGGTATAGCTGTGGGTACCCCAAAGGGCCATGAGAAGGGTAGGAGGCTTGGAGGGGAGGTGGTGGGAGGTGGGCAGAAGCTGTGGGCCTAGGGACCAACCAGAGATTTTGCCAACACAGTGGGCACACCAATGTCCTGTGGCTGCCATAACAAAGTGCCCCAACCCGAGGGGCTAACAATGCCAGAAGTGCGTCCTCTCACAGGCTGGAGCCCAGAAGCCTGAAACCCAGGTGCTGGCAGAGCTACACTCTCTGCAGTCTCCAGGGGAGGACCCTTCCTGCGTCTCCCCAGATTCCTGGGCTGCTGGCCTTCCTGGATGCCATCCTCTTGGCTTGTAGCAGCACACTCCACCTGCCTCTGTCTTCACATGGCCATCTCCCTGCGTGGGTGTCTCCGTGTCTCTGTTTTCTCTTCTTACAAGGACACCAGTCATTGGATTAGGGCCCGCCCTACCCATGTGACTCCATTTTACCTTGAGTACATCTGCAAAGCCTGTTTCTGAATGAGTCACACTCATGGGTACTGATGTACAGGAATTTCAGAGGGATGCTGTTCCACCCAGTGCACTACAGCACACAGGCCTGCAGCCAGTGGGCCGGGGGCCGCGGCACCTACTGCCAGAGCTGCTGGGTGGCCTGGTGGCCAGTCGCTGGTGACCCTTCCCAAGGCCACCACCCTCGTGTCCATGCCTGACCGCGCCCTGCATGCTGACAGTGTCCTGGCCCTGACTCACAGCCAGAGCCCAGTATCATCAAGACGCTGGTGGCGGCCACGACCCCAGGGCTGTGCGTGTTGCCTCTGGCTCCTGAGGCGGGCTCCGCGGCCTCATGCTGGACACCGTGTCTAACCGGCCAAGATTGACCTGTTTGGGGCTCCTCACTGCAGCTGAGCGATTTGATCTGAGACCCAGACAGCAGTCAGGGCAGTAATTGGATGTTATGAGATCGGAGGGCCACTCTCCGAGGAGGGGGCAGCTGAGCGGCCGTGGGCAGCTGGAGGAGGGGGCTGCGGCTGGCAGTGGGGGTGGGGCAGCCCCTGTCCGCTGGAGATAAGCCCCTCATCTTCAGCCCCTAATCTCCTGCTGGGGTCATGGACAGAGCCCGAGGCAAGATGGAATGAATATGGCCACTGTCCAGCCACTGCCTGGCACTGCTGCCCCGAGGGTGCTGTACAATTAGTTTTAAATATCAATTTCACGGCTGCTCAGGGGAGAGAACAAGCAGGCAGGCAGGCTTCACCCAAAGCAAACCAGGTGTTTCCTACAGGCTTCAACTTTGTAAGAAAAGGCAAAAGCCATCAAGGACATGTCCAGCTGAGCTGACGCCAATGCAACTTCTCTGGGTCCTTCAAAAATCGGCCCCAAGTCCCCCACACTGCTCCTCCCCTGGACCTGCTCCATCCTGACCCCAATGCTGTAACCAGCCCTCCTAGCACCCTTGTCCCTGCGAATCCCTCTCAGGCTCTGTCTCCTCCTCCAGGAACCCCTCGCCGAGAGCTCCTTCTCAGACCCCAGGCCCTGGCGTGGGCCCAGCTCTGCCCAGGCTCCAGGCCAGTGCTTCTCCTTCCCCCGGAGACCCGGCCAGCCCAGCCCTACTGCCCTCACAGGCAGCTCTAGCTGGCCAGGTGGGGATGTGTCTAGGAAGCAGGAGGGGCCGAGGCCTGGGAGGGTTTGTGGGAGTGGGTCAGGGCATCTGCTGGGACCAATGCTGACCATGGGTAGAGGACCCGAGGGCACCGCCCAACAGGGCAGGAGAGTGAGGCACAGGGGTTAAGATGGCGCTGGAAGTCAGGGGAGTGAGGCCTGAGAAGGCCCCAAGGAGGAAGGGGCTTTAACTCTGACTTTAAAACAGGGGCCAATCTGGCTAGGAGGAGGGGTGGTGAAGGGGCCCTCTTGTGGGGTCCCTCATGAGCAGGGGACAGGGAAATCCTGGGGAGGTTCCCCAGGAGGGCAGCTCCCAGTGTCCCCACCCAGCTGTCTGACTCCACATGGCCAGCGTCACCCATCACACCCCGGCCAGACCTGGGGCTGGCTGAGCTGTCAGGGCGCAGAGGGTGGGTGTAGTCCCAAGTGGACGTCACTGCTGAGCTTGGCAGGGCGCATGTGGTTCCCAGAGGGACTCACTATTGGGCCTGGCAGAGTGGGCGTGGTCCTGAGTGGGGCTCACTGCTGAGCCTGGCCAGCCCCTTCTGGAACCAGGTGGCTGATCCCTGCAGGAGCTCATCGCACACAGCCAGTGCCTGCACCTCGGGCGCTCTAGAGGGGTTTATTGAAGAAAGGAACTTGCACGCATCAGGCATTCGCCCTCTCAGTCAGGCGCAGCTGGACACCTCGGGTGGGGACCGTGTGGGGAACACGGCTGCGCTCCGGGCTCCGGGCGGCTCCTTGGCGCCGGCTGGCCGGGTGGGCTTTCCATGGACCCCACGCAAGCTCCCTGCCCGGTGTCTCGGGGGTGTGGGGGTTGGGGGAGCCGCCGGGGGCGGGGTCCCCGCCTGCCCAGGCCGGACCCATGTCAGCGGACGTCACTGCGGGAAGCGCGGCCGGCGGGGGCGACCCGGGGTCTGCGCGGCTCTCACCCGGTGGCGCGCCGCAGCCGCAGGCAATTTATCTCCGTCTCCCCGCTCTTAAAACACTTTTATCAAAATTGGCGGTCACACCGCGCTGAACCGTGGTGGCCTCAATCTTAAACGCCGCGCTGCAGATTTTAATTTGGGGAAGATTAATGCGCTCGCGGCGTCGGCGGCGCCGCGCCCGTTATCGCGCCTGACGGGTGTCAGCGGCCACCGCGCCCCGTGTCCCGCGGGGCAGCCGGAGCCCGGGTGAGTGTCGGGGCCGGCCGGGCCTGCCCTCCGTCCGCTGCAGGCTTCACGCGTCCTCCCGCCCCCAAGATCTCGCACCCGGGGCTCGGCGTCCAGCCCCTGCGGGCATCTCCACTCCGCTGCTCCAGCTGGGACCCCGGCCCACCCCGCACGAGCCGTCCCCCGAGGCTGGGACCCCCCCACTCCTGGTCCCACCCGGGTGGCAGCTCCTCCCGGCTCCACCTCCCGGATCTCCCCAGAGGTGCCCCCAGCCCCGCCGCGCTCCTGCTGTCTGGCTGCGCCTGTCAAGACCCGCAACCCCTCACCCTGACCTCCATTCGCTGTTCTCCACCAAGACGCCAGTCTGGTCAGCGAGTCTGGTCAGCCTCGCCTCTTCCCTGCGGTGCCTGCAAGGCCTCCGAGCCCTCTGGTCAAGCCCACCCTGCCCGGCTGCTCCTCCACCTCCTCTTTTGGACCGGGAAGGCTCCTCCTCAGGTGGCCACGCCGGGATCCCCGTCAGGCTCTCGCTGTCACCTGGGCGAGGAGGCCTCTCCTGACCTCTGGATTAAACTCTTGGCCCCCTCCCCCCAATCCGTCTCTGTCCCCTCCTTTGCTTGCGTTTGTTCCCAGCAGCCACTGACATGCCCATGGGATCTGTCATCCCTCTGTCTCCTACTAGATAGGGGAGGCCCCAGCTCCTGGAGCAAGAGGGCAGGCAGGTGCTAGGAAGATCTGCACACCCCCACCTGTCACACTCCCACCTGCCACACCCCCACCTGCCACGCACCCCACCTGCCCACTCCCCACCTGCCCACCTCCCACCTGCCCACTCCCTACCTGCCACATCCCCACCTGCCCACCCCCCACCTGCCCACCCTGCCACCTGGAAATGGGATGGCTGCCAGGCCAGGGTGGGCGGGGTGCAAAGGAGATGACAGCCTGGCCTGCAGTGGGTGGAGAAGAAGGGCCAGGAGGAGGCAGCCACTAGGGTGGAGGACTGGGTGGGTAGGGGGAGGTCAGAAGGTCAAGAGTTGGTGGGGGCACCCTCTTGCGCACTGGCCAGTAAAGTGGACTGCTCAGGATTCTGGACCCACCCTACCCTCACCCTGGAACAGCAGCACCTGCTGCTGGCAACTCTGCCACCCCGATGACAGCAGGGCCTCCCCAGTGCTCCCGCACCGCCCCGGCCTTCCTCCCTGTCTCCTCTGGGCGGGAGCCAGCCACAGGCAGCAGGACAGGGGGAGCATCAGGGGACCTCCAGCCCTGACCCAGGAGCACAGGCCTGACCGACAAGGCTGGAACTCTCAGCCCAGCAGCTCCATATGGCCAAGTGCCCACCTTCCCTGGCACCACAGAATCCACTCCCGTGGGACCTCAAAGCATAGCTGCATTTTGTCCTATTATTTAAAAATAGTGAGCATGGGAACCATGCAGCTGAGGTGTACTACTGACTCCCGTCCATTCGTTCATTCATTTGTTCAGTGATATTCATTGAATTCTGCTACTGGGGTTGCCTCGGGAGCAGCAAAAAGGCCCTGTCCCTGCCTGTGAGCCCTGGGTGGCAGCACACGGTGACCAGCGCTGAGGAGAAGGGGCAGAAAGCTAGCAGTGCAGGGCTCCGGGCGGGTGGGAGGAAAAGGTGCCCCGGGCAGAGGGCACTGCGGGCACCAGCAGTAGGTGGTGGGGCAGCCACGGGGCTGAGGGGCTCTGGAGGCTGCTGGGCTGAGCAGGGAAGATGAGAGGCCCTGGGGGGCATGAGGCTGGGCCATGGAGAGGATGGGAAGGGTAGCATCCACACAGAGAAGAACATGCCCAAAGTGGCCTTTGCTGAGGCTGCTCTGGCTGTGGGGTGGAAGCAGGTGGGACAGTGAGAGGCCATGCAGAGGCCCCTTCATTGGTTTAGGCCTGGCCCAGGGTGTGCAGATGGGAGAGCTGTTCACCATGAAATGGTGCCCTGGTGATGGAGGGGTGAGGGACGGGGGAGGACTCTTAACTGCTGGCCTGAGTGCAGGAGCTTGGGGAGTACTTTGCCAGGATTGGGGCAAGTGAGGGGGAAGGGCAGGCATCCAGGCCTGGGCATATTCCACTGGGCAGGCGTGGGCAGGACCGTCTCATCCCCCAGTGTCCCTAGAGGTGCAGGAGGGACCCACCAGGGGAGCCAGGCATGTGCTCTTCACCTGGCTGGGCACCAGCAGGGAAGGCAGGAGGTACCAGAGCAAGAAGCCAGATCTGCAGGGTACAGGACAGCCCCAGAGGACTACCTTCACGGATGGAGGGAGGGCAGAGCTTCCCCAGGTGGGCCCAGCAGAGCGGGTGGGCCATGGCCTGAATGCACCCGGCCGCTGCTCACAGTCAAGATGCCTGGCACTTGCAGATACCCCCAGCCCTGCCCAGGGGTCCAGAGAGGGCTTCCTGGGGGAGGATGCCTGTGAAGGAGAGGGAGCTCACCAGAGTAAGAACTGGGGAAAGGATGTCTAGGGGCAAGGACAGGAAGGTCAAAGGCAAGGAAGGACGAAAGCAACACGCTGGCATGACTGCTATTGGAGGGCGAGGGCACACAGGGTGCGGAGGTGGTGCAGGAGCTGTTGGGGCTTCAGCCTGTGCTGAAGGCTGAGCTTTACCGTGAAGTGACAGGAGCCACTGAGGGCATCAAGCAGGGTGACTGGTCACATCCGTGGCTTAGGACCCCCTGCTGGTGTGTGTCAGGAGAGAAGGTGGGGGCAGCCTCATGGGGAGGTCACATAAAGCCAGATTCACACCTTGTTGCTCCTTGGCTCTCAGTTTCTGATGCCTCTTGTGTTACCCAGGGAAGGGATCAAGACCTTCTATGGTCCTGAGACCATGTCCCGTGCTCACCCCCCCAGTCACCTGGCCCCCGGGCTGCTTCTCTAACAGTCCTCGAAGCTCCACATCACACTGCCCTCACCTCCTCAGGCTGAGGCTGTAATGCTGCCCCTGTACCCCACCAGCTTTCAGCACCTGGCCCCTTTCCCTGCACTATTTTTTTCATAGTGTGTATTGACAAGACATGCTACATGTTTTCCAAATTTACGTTTTATTATCTATCTTGCCTACCAGCCTCACCTAAGGATGTGAAAAACCTGAGGGCTCCAAGCCCTGCCTGTCCTGTTCTGTGCTCAGCTCTGACATGTGGCAGGCACTCAGTGTGCACTTGCTGAGAGGATGAGAGGGTGGGTGGAAGGATGGATGATGAACAGGCGAATGGTGAGTGGATAGATGGGTGGGGAATGGATGGATGGTGGGTGGATGGATGGGGTGGGTGGATGGGGAATGGATGGGTGCATTGGTAGGTTGGTGGATGAATGGATAATGGATCAGTGGTGTGTGGATGGGTGGATGAATGTATAACTGATGGACTGATTGATAGGTAGATGAATGGATAGATGGATGATGAATTGGTGGATGATGTATAGATGATGGGTGAATGATGGATGGGTGGATTGATAGGTAAATAGATGGATGGGTAGGTGATGGCTGAGTGGATGAATGGATGGATGAATGGATGGAAGGATGATGGATGGGTGGGTAGATGGCTGGATGTGTGGATGGATGTATAGATGATGGAAGAATGATGGATTGATTGATAGGTAGATGAATGGATAGATGGATGATGATTTGGTAGATTATGTATAGATGATGGATGAATGATGTATGGGTGGACTGATAAGTAAATAGATGGATGGATAGGTGGTGGCTGGGTGGATGAATAGATGGGTGGATGATGGATGGGTGGGTGGATGGATGATAGATGAGTGGATAGATGGGTGGGTGGATAGATAGATGGATGGGTGGTGGGTGGGAGAGTGGATGGATAATAGATATATGAGTGGCTGGTGAGTAGATGGATATATAGATGATGGATGAATGATGATGGATGGATTGATAGGTAAATTGGTGGATGGATGGATGGATGGATGGATGGATGGATGGATGGTTGGGTGGGTGAGTGGGTCAGTGGATGGATTGGTGGTGGGTGGCTGGGTGGGTAGATGGCTGAATGAATGATGGATGGGTAGATGGATGGATGGTGGACAGATGACACATGGATGGATGGATGGGTGGGTGGGCGGATGACGCATGGGTGCTGAATAGTTGGGTGGGTTGGTGGGCAGATGGATGAGTGAATGATGGGTGGGTGGGTGGATAGATTGATGGGTGGGTTGGTGGCTGGGTGGGTGAGTGGATGGGTAGATGGATGAGTGGATGGATGGATGTATGGGTGAATGATAAATGGGTGGGTGGATGGTTGGGTGGGTTGGTGGGTGAGTGGGTGGGTAGATGGATGATGGATGTGTGCTGGATGGTTGGGTGGATTAGGGGGTGAATGGATGGGTAGGTGAATGGGTCACTGGGTGAGTGGATGGATGAATGGATGGGAAGATGGATGGATGGTTGAGTGGATGACGGATGGGTGGGTGGATGGATGGTTGCATGTGTGGATGGGTGGGTGGGGAGGTATCTATTCCCAGTTTCCCTGAAAGGTTCTCAGGGCCCATCCTTCCTTCTTGCACAATCAAGATCCATGTTTTCCTTGATGTCAAGGAAGGACAGTAACTGATGACTCCTCCCTAGCCCCATTATGGCCTGGCTCAGAGAAGAGGCACCAGCAAGATGGGCTTCCTGGCTCAGTGGAATTGGGAACCTTCAACTCACAGAAGAAGGCTCAGGTCCTTTGCCAGGAGTCAGTCCCATTGGCCTCATATCTCTCTCCCTCCCTCCCCTGCCCAGGCTGCTTGGCATGGCCCATATGCGCAGAGCCCTCAGTCTGGGCAGACACCTTTTCCTGAGCATGAGACCCACACCTGGAGGCCTTGTCTAGCCTCTGCCCACTGGCCCATCCGTGCCCCTCCAGGGGCTCTTAGAGGGGACGGAGTCAATACCAACATAGCCGGGTGACTTGGAGCCCAAGTGAGAGTTTCTCTGGGGCAGAAATACCCCCGCCCCAGCAGGACTCACCAGGTCCAGCTTTCCCTCAACCTCTCCCGAGGGGCCCAGGGAGCCTGGCCTCAGGGGCCACCTGCATGGCTGGTGAGATGTGTGGGGTACAGTGCAGTGTCCAGGTGATCCTGGTGGGCCCTCCTGACCTCCCCGGGTAGAGATTTGCACAAGCATGGCGGTGGGTCCTACCAGAACCAGTGAGGCCGTGGGCGGGTCCACCTGGGGAATGCAGGGTGAGCATTTTTTTGCCCAGGCTGGGTTTTTCTAGGTGTTCCTCCTGAATTCTGTCTTCTTTCTGCTTCCCTTGGGGAAGACGGCTTGGGCTATTCCCTCTCCTGGCTGGCTCTGGCTGGGTCAGCCACTCTGTGTCCCCATTGCTCACTGTCACTTGCTCTGAGGACCCTCTTTGCCATGACTCTGGAGGCCGGCCTGGGCCTGTATGAATCACTCTCTGGCTCCTTGTGTGGCCGGGAGAGGCCCATGCGGTCCCCAGGGCCCGGGAGACTGTTCAGCGGCCTCCTTCCCTCTGTGTGATTATGGAGTTCACAGACCAGTTGAGTGAATAGTTGGCCATGCCCGAGGCCTCAGCTTGCTCCTCCACAGTGCGGGTTCGATCCCAGGCCTCAGCTTGCTCCTCCACAGTGCAGGGCCCATCAGTAGGATTCTTGGTCTCAAATCACAGACACCACAGCTGTCTTGGGTCCCAGGTGATTATTGGAAGGGATGGTGCAAAAGGTGGGCAGCAGGCTGGGCTTGGATGGTCTGGGTCCCCAGCACTTCAGGGTCCATCTATCTGGCCTGGCTGCTGTTGCAATTTTACCAGGAACTGGTAGGGCACATCTAATTGAAGGAGATTAGTGCCCCCTGGGCACAGCCAGGGTGGGGGCACCAGGCCTCCAAGGTGGAAGGAGGATTGTTGGAAGTTGCTCTCATCCGGCACAGGAAAGGCTCTTTCCCCATGAACCCAGGTGGCTGCTGGGAGGAGGCAATGGCATCCAAGGGCTCCCTGGCCCTGGCACCCGGGCCTGATTCTCAGGCCTTCACACTCGGAACTCAGAAGGGACCCCTGCCCCACCTCCACCCCCACCGAAGGCCACCAAGATGCTTATGTTGGGAAAATGACGTCCAGCAAGAACCATGGGAGTCATACATGGACTTAACTTGGTGGAGAAAGCCCATTTGTGTCTTCCAAGATTATTCATGAAATCCCTACATACAATTTAAGAACCTAATAACTCATTAGAAGTGTAACAAATAATAGACTTGTAGGCTCAGCTAAAGCCCTTGACAGCTTAGCTCCCCTAGCCTGCCAAGAGCCAAGGGGTTGGGGCAGAGATGGCCCCGTCCCCTCATCAGAAGGCAAGGCCACCTTCAGAGTGGGGAGTTACCAAGTGTGGCAGAATCAGGCTCAGTGAAATGAATTCGGCATCTTTCAGGGAACAGAATCATTGAGCTTACAGACTAAATTTAACAGCCTAATAGAAATATGCAGGTGAAGGTACAATTAATTTTAATTACTAGACTATACATTGTTGGTTGCACAGCCATGAGTAAAATTAAAATGGCAATCACAATTAGAAAATTGCAACCTCATTGTGCAACAAATTAGTCACAAATTAAAAGTGCGGGGCCATTATGCCTTTCCTTATTGCTTTAGCTCCGTTCCTGCTCCAGGCGGCCTTTGTCCCTCAGGCCCATCCTCTGCCTGGGAATTTATCTCAGCTGAGATTACTGGCGCCATCCCAGGAGCATCTGCAGGAGCGGGAAGGGGGACTTCCTGTCACCATAGCCTGGGGCTGATTTCCCTTGGTGCTGGCTGTGTAGGGGCGAGGAGGACGTGTGAATTCACAGGGCAGCCTGGGAACCTAGCCCAGGTAAGGACGGGACCGCTCCCTAGGCCAACACCCCCTGGAAAGGCATGCAGCTGAGCCTCCACCCAAGGCCGACTCTTCACCCTTCCCTTCCAGGGCTCTTGTCCACAGAAGTGCTTGGCTTCCCCATCAGGAGCAGGGCTCTAAGGATGCCCTTTCAGGGGGCACAGCCTTGTCAAGGAGGGAGCCTACCTGGGTGGCTGCCAGCCCCAGCAGAGGAGGAAGGGACAGTTTAAGGCTGCCTTCAATGTCCTCCATGGCTTGGGGATGGATGGGGGTGCCCATTTAGAAAAAGAAGGAGCCACTGGTGAAAGGGAAGCCATCAGCCAATGGACCCCCCTCCTGGCTGCTGGCTCTGCCATCATCCACTTTCCAATCAGTCCCTATTTAGGGCACCTCTTACCCACCTAGGCCTGAGAGAACGGGTGGCATAGGGCCTACGGAGAGTCTTCAGAGACTGGCTCCTAACTTCAGGGCAGATGTGGCCTTGCTCTGCCAGAGAAGCTGCCAGACAAGCTCCAAACTGCCCCCAAACCCAATCCCAACCTCCAGGAGGGGACTGCCCCTGCCTTCAGTGGAATAGAGAAGAGTGGAATCTGCACGGACCAGCACGTGCCCGTCTCCAGCGCCGATGCTGTAATGGGTGGACCCAGATGGTGACCTGGAGGGGGTGCTGCAGCCAGGTAGTGCTCATTCCTGTGAGTATCCAGTGTGGGCAGAGAGCCATGAGGGGGATCCCAGGTAGAGATCACATGGGGGCGTCGTGTTGCCTGGTCTGTTCCAGAGGCCTGTCAGTCCTGCTGCCGTGGGCTGCACCTCTCCATGCCTGTCACTGATGCTTGACACTAGCTCCCACTTCCAGCTGCTCTCCTCTGGCCAAGATTTTGAATCTGTTGGGGTGAGCTGACTCATGGCCCCTCACGTGGCTTGTTCCATTCTACCCCAGGCTAGACTATGGGTGTCTGCGATGTGATCACAGTCCCAGTTGGCAGAGAGAGGGGGTGAGTTAACAGACTGCAGACAGGAAGAGGGAAGAGTTTATTCTTCCAAGGAGCTACTAGCACGTTATTTGTGCCAGTATGTACCAGGACCCCAGCAGCAATGGGGCAGCCATGGTCCATGCCCTCCCAAAGATGCCAATCCCCAGCCAGAAGGCACTGGGGCTGCCCCTGGGAGCAACACTGTGTGGGAAACACAGAAATGCCCAAGGTAGAGGGCTTCCCTGTGTTGGAAGCTCACAATACAGTGGTCCAGCTGCTGCTGGGTTCTCCACCCAGCTGGTCCATCTAATCAGCAAGTGACAGAAACAGCCTAGTTTTATCATCTTTGTGTTTTCTTCTCCTTCATAGAATCATTTGTTCATTGACTGTTGTCTTAGTCCTGCTATAACAAAATATCACAGACTGGGCAATTTATAAATAACAGAAATTCACTTTCCACAGTTCTGGGGGCTGGGAAGTCCAAGATCAAGCATCAGCAGGTTTGATGTCCGGTGAGGGCTGCTCTCTGCTCACAAAATGGCCCTCTGTTGCTGGGTCCTCACATGGTGGAAGAACAGAATAGAGCAAAACCACTCCCTCAATCCCTCTTATAATATAAGGGCCCTAATCCCATCCATGAGGGCTCCATCCTCCTGATTTAATCCCCTCATAAAGACCCTACCTCTTAATACAATTGCATTGGTGACTAAGTTTCAACACAAGAATTTTGCAGTCACATTCAGAACATAGCACCTGTCTTTGCTCCTAGCCCATACCCTCCATGGGTAGGGGGGGTCATTCAGTCTTGATTCCTACTGGACCCAGCCACCCAGGCTACACACACACCAGGTAGCCACAAGGAAACCCACTGGGGGTGGCAAAGCCCCAGGGCTGGCCACAGGGTGGGCTTGATGGATGAGGGCAGGAAGCTGTCACCAGGGCCAGGGAAAGGGGAGGCTACCCTGTAGGAGCTGGCCTTTGGCAAAAGTTTCCTGCCACCCAGTGTAGAAGGGGGTGAGAGAGAAACACGCACAATACTGAATGTGGTTGTTGTGGCTGTTGATGGATGAACTAATGCAAAGTCTGAACTTCAGCTCGTACTGTATTAATTGTTGTAGCTTTACAATAAGTCTTGAAGTCAGGTAGTGTAAGTCTTCCCATTTTGAACTTATTTTACAAAGTTATTTTGACTATTTTAGATTCTTTGAATCAGCTTGTCAATTTCCACCAAAAAAATGCTGGCCAGGCGTGGTGGCTCATGCCTGTAATCCCAGCACTTTGGGACACCAAGGCAAGTGGATCATGAGGTCAGGAGATCAAGACCATCCTGCCCAACATGGTGAAACCCCATCTCTACTAAAAATACAAAAATTAGCTGGGCATGGTGGCATGTGCTTGTAATCCCAGCTACTTGGGAGGCTGAGGCAGCAGAATCACTTGAACCAGGGAGTCGGAGGTTGCAGTGAGCTGAGATTGTGCCACTGCACTCCAGCCTGGTGACAGAGCGAGATTCTATCTCAAAAAAGAAAAAAAAACCTGCTGGAATTTTAATTTAGATGTCATTGAATCCATGGATGAATTCAAAGATAATTGACAACTTACAATATTGAGTCTTCTGATCCATGAATATGGTATATCTCTTCATTTATTTAGGCCTTCCATGATTTCTCTAGGCAATGTTTTACATTAATAGTTTTCAGTGTACAGCTCCTATGCACATTTTGTCAGACTTATTCCTATGCATCTCATATTTTTTGTGGCATTGTAAATACTATTTAAAATTTTTAATTGCCAATTTTTTGTTGCTAGTATATAGAAATACAATTGACTTTCATATAATAATCTTGTATCCAGCAACCTTGCAAAACTCACTTAAGTATTGGCTCTGTTTTTGTTTTTGTTTTCCTAAGGTGAGATCTTCCTCTATTGCCCAGGCTGGAGTGCAGTAGTGCAGACTTACTGCAGCCACCACCTCCTGGGCTCAAGTGATCCTCTCACCTCAGCCTCCCACACAGCTGGGACCACAGGTACATGCTACCGTGCACAGCTATTTTTAAAATCTTTTTTTTGTAGACATAGGGTTTTGCCATGTTGCCCAGGCTGGTCTCAAACTCCTGGGCTTAAGCAATCTTCCTGCCTCAGCCTCTCAAAGTGTTGGGATTACAGGTGTGAGCCACCATACCCAACAAAGTATTATTTCTATTAGCCTTTGTATATTCCATATCTTTTTTGGTAGATTCCATAGGATTTTCTGTGTAGATGATCATGCTCTGTATGAATAAAGTATTACTTATTCCTTTCCAGTATGGGTGCTTTTTATTTTTGCCTTATTGCATTGGCTAGAATACCTGGCACAATGTTGAATAGAAGGTTAAGAACAAACATCCTTGCCTTTTTCCTAACCTTAGGGAGAAAGCATTCTGTCTTTCACCATTCAGCGGTATTAGCTGTGGGTTTTTCAGAGATGTCCTTTCTCAAGTTGAGGAAGTTCTCTTCTACTCCTATTTTGCTAAGTTTTATCTTTTTAAAATCAGAAACAATTGTTGGATTTTGTCAAATGATTTTTCTGTATCTAAATAGTCATAAGGTTTTTCTTTTTAGGCTGTTAATATGGTGAATTACATTGATTGATTTTTTAAATATTAAACTAACTTTGCATTCCACAGATAAACCCCACTTGATCATGATGTATTATCCTTTAACAATATTGTTGGATTCTATTTGCTAAAATCTAAGAATTTTGCATTTATGTTCATAATGGATGTTGGTACGTAGTTTTCTTTAATGTCATTTTTTTTGCCTGGTTTTGGCATCAGGGTAATGCTTGTCTCATTCAGTGAATTAGAAATTATTTCCTTCTCTTCAATTTTCTGGAAGAGTTTGTATACAATTGGTATTATTTCTTCCTTAAAACCTATTTGGTCTTGAAGTTTTCTTTTGGGAAGATTTTTAGCTACAAATTCAATCTTTAATAGCTAAAGGACTATCCATATTTAAAATTTCTTCTTGAATGAGGTTTGATAGTTTGTATCTTCTGAGAAATTTGTCCATTTCATCTAAATTGTTAAATTCATTGGCATAAACTGTCTACAATGTTCTATTATCCTTTTCATACATGTAGAATCTAAAATGATGTCACCTTTTTAATGTCCTGAAATTGGTCATCTGTGTCTTCTCATTTTTATTCCTGATTAGCCTGGATCATCAATATTATTAATCTTCTCAAAGAACCAACTTTTGGTTTCATTGATTTTCCTCTATTACTTTTCTGTTTTCTATTTTATCAATTTCCACTTAATGGTTATAATTTTATTTCTTCTGTTTGAGTTTTATTTGCTTTTTTCTTTCCTGGTTTTGTAAGGTGGAAGCTGAGATCATTGATTTAAGATCTTTCTTTTTTCCTAATATGAATGTTTAGTGCTATAAATTTCCCTCTAAGTACTACATTGCTTTAGCAGCATCCAAAAATTTTTGACATGTTATATGTTCCTTTTCACTCAGTTCACAATACTTTCTCATTCTCTTTTTTATTTCTTCTTTGATCAAGGGGCTATTTGGAGGTGGGTTATTTAGTTTTCGTATATTTGGAAAATTTTCAGATATTTGTGTTATTGATCTTTAGTTTAATTCCATTGTGGTTGTACAACATATGTATGTTATATATTGCATGACTTGAATACTTTTAAGTTTATTGAGACTTATTTTCTGGTGCAGAATATGGTGTTTCTTGATAAATGTTCCTTGTGAACTTGAAAGGATAGAACTCGTACTGTCATTGGCCAGAGTATTCTGTACATCAATGAGATCAAATTGGTTGATAGCATTTAAATCTTCTGTAGTCTTGGTGGTATTCTCCCTACTTGTCCTATCAATTATTGAGAGAAGGATGTTGAAATCTCTGACTATATCAGTGGGCTTGTCTATGTTTTCTTGTGATTTTCTCAGTTTTTAGTTAATGTATTTTGTAGGTCCCTTGTTGGGTGCATAAATATTTAGAATCTTTTGTCCTCTTGATAAATTAACACTTTAGCATTTTAAAATGACCCTCATATCCCTGGTAATATTCTACACTCTGAAATCTACTTTGTCTGATATTAATATGGCCCCTCCAGATTTATTTTGATTAGTATTAACATGATTTATTTTTTCCATCCTTTTACTTTTAATCAATTTGTGTCTTTAAAGTGAGTTTCTCATAAGAAGCATATAGTTGGGTCTTGACATTTTTACCGAATCAGAAAATTTCTGCCTTCTAATTGGAGTGTTTAGGCAATTTGCATTTGATGTAAATATTAATCTATCTGGATTTAATATATGGTTTTGCTTTTTGTTTCTCATTTGTCCCACCTATCCTTTGTTCCTTTGTTTTCTTTCTGTCTTCCTTTGGATTCAGGAAGTTTTCCTACAGGTCACCGGTGCCCTTTTCACTGCTCCCCTTGGGTTCCCCCTCCCTGTACCATGGTCTGGAAATTTCTCAAGGCAGTAAACTGGGGAAATCCTAGGGTTTGCCTCATTTTTTCCTTGTCTCATTTTTTATGATTTCATTTTCTCTCCTTTTGCTGTATTAACTATAGTTGTTTGTTTTCTTATTTTAGTGGTTGCTTTAGGTTTTAGAGTATACCTCTTTAATTTGTCGTGGTCTGCTTTCAAGTGATATTATAGTGTGGCATAGACAGCATATGAACTTACACTGACATACTTCAATTTCCCCCTTCCTGGTCTTGGTGCTGTTGTCATACATTTTACTTCTACACATGTTATAAACCCCACAATATATTTTGCTTTTACTTTTTTGCTTGAAACAGAAAATTGTCACAGCTGCCATTTCTGATGCTCTTTATTCTTCTGTGTATTCACCTGTTATCATTTTCCTTCTGTTGAGTAAGATCCTTTAACACTTCCTGTAGTGTGAATCTCCTGGTGATTAATTCTTTCGGCTTTCCTTATGTCTGAAAAATTCTTTATTTTGCCTTTGTTTTGTGTGTGTGCATGCATGTGTGTGTAAGTGTGTGTGTGTTTTTTTATTTTTAGAGATGGTCTCTCTCTGTCACCCAGGCTGGAGTGCAGTGATGCAATCACAACTCACTGTGACCTTGAACTCCTGGGCTTAAGGGATCCTCCCACTTCAGCATCCCGGGTAGCTGGGCCCACAAGCATGCATCACCACACCTGGCTAAGCTTTTTTACTTTTTTTAGAGATGGGGTCTCACTATGTTGGCCAGGCTGGTCTTGAACTCCTGGTGTCAAGAGACCCTCCCACCTTAGCCTCTCAAAGCACTGAGTTTAGAGGTGTGAGCCACCATGCCTGGTCATGCCTTTGTTTTTGAAAGATATTTTCCACTGTGTAAAGAATATTAGGTTGACAGTGTTTTTTTTTTCCTTCAGCACCTTAAAAATGTTGTTCCATTCTCTCCCAGCTTGCATTGTTTCCAATTAGAAATCTGCTGTCACCCTCATCTTTGTTTCTTTGCACATTGTGTGTGTGTGTGTGTGTGTGACAGTCTAGCTGCTTTTAAGATTTTCCCTTTATCACTGGTTTTAATGAACCATGCTTGATATTTGTTGAGTTTCTTAGACCTGTAGATTTATAGTTTTCATCTTATTTGGAAAAGTTTTGGCCATGATTTCTTGAAGTATTTTTTCTGTCCTCCCTCCCCCTTGAAGAGCTCCAATCACACATATACAACTGTCCCTCTGTATCCATCAGGGGTTTGGGCCCAGGATTCCCCAGAGACACCAAAATCCATGGAGTTAAGTCCCTTATATAAAAGGGTGTAGTATTTGTATTTAACCTACACCCATCCTCCAAATACTGTAAATCATCTCTAGATTACTTATAATAATACACTGTAAATGCTGCATAAATAGTTGTTATACTGTATTGTTTAGGGAGTAATGACAAGAAAAAATTCTGTACATGTTCAGCACAGATGCTTTCTTTTCTTAAATGTTTTTGATTTGTGGTTTGTTGAATCCTCAGATGCTGAACCCACAGATAAAAAGGGCCCACTGCTTGAATATTAGGTTGACAGTGCTGCATGAAGTTGTCCCGGAGGTCACTGGTGCTCTTTTCACTGCTCCACCTGGGTTCCCCCTCCCTGCACCATGGTCTGGAAACTTCTCAAGGCAGTAAACTGGGAAAATCCTAAGGTTCGCCTCATTTTTTCCATGTCTCTGACATAATTTTCCTTCATTGCCTGATGTTCAATGTCTGTAGATCCATTGGTTCATTTATCTTTTTTAGTTGTTTCAGGTGGGAGGGTAAATCCAAATCCTCTCACTTCATCTTGTCCATAAATAGAGCTCATTATTTTTAAGTCCACTCCAATCAGGTTTTCTTCCTTATTGTTCCATGAAAATTGCTCTTGTCAAGATCACCAGGGACTTCCACATTTGAAAATCACATGGTCGGTTCTCAGTCCTCACCTTACCCCAAGCAGCATCTCTCCCTCCTCTTGGAGACACTTTCCTCAATGGCTTCCAGATAATTCATGCCCCTGGCTTCCCCCCTCCCCAAATGTTTCTTCTCATGTCCTTTGCTGGCTTCCCCTCATCTGTCTGACCTCTTAATGATGGGTGTCCTCAGGCTACAGCCTTGGCCCTCCTCTTGTTTCTATCATTCCCTGGGTGATCTCATTGGCTCATGTAGCTTAAAACCCATCTCCACACAATGACTCATATCTCTCTCTCCAGCCCAGAGCTCTCTCTGAACTTCTCATAAAACCTGCTGCTGTCAGCACTGGCACTCAGATGCCCAATTGACGTGCTCGGAACTGAGTTCCTGACCTCCCTCCCACAGCCCTGCTCTCCTCCAGCCTTCTCTACTCAGGTGCAAGCAGCTCCCAGCTTTGAGTTGTTCATATCAAAATTTTGAATTTGTCTTTGACTCATCTCATCCAATTCATTAACAAGTCCTGTTGGCTCTACTTTTTTTTTTTTTTTTTGAGACAGAGTCTTGCTCTGCCGCCCAGGCTAGAGTGCAATGGCAAAATCTCAGCTCACTGCAACCTCCGCCTCCCAGGTTCAAGTGATTCTCCTGCCTCAGCCTCCCGAGTAGCTGGGATTACAGGCACATACCACCATGCCCGGCTAATTTTTGTTTTTTTGGTAGAGACGGGGTTTCACCATCTTGGTCAGGCCGGTCTCGACCTCCTTACCTCAGGTGATCTGCCCACCTCGGCCTCCCAAAGGGCTGGATTACAGGCATGAGCCACCAAGCCTAGCCAGCTCTACTTTCAAAATATGTTCTGAACATGTCCCTCATCTCCAACCCATTATCCAGGACTGGCCACCGTCATCTCCCAGCTGCTTCCCTGCAGGGGCTTCCTCCCGCCGTTCCTGGTTCCACCTGGGCCCTGCAGTCTATTCTGCACCTCAGTCAAGGTGATCCTTTTAAAACACACATCAGATCCTCGTTCCTCTCCACCAGACCTTTCAGTGGCTTCCTTCACTACAGCCAGGTGAAGGCCCTTGAGAGGTCTCAGATCCACGTGCTCTACTCCATGATTTCTCAGACCTCACCCTCTTCAGCCTTCTGCCAGCTTCCTTACTGTCCTGAGGGGGTCAGGCAGGCCTTGGCCTACAGGGTCTTTGCACTGGCTGTTCCCCTTGTGGGAAATGCTGTTCCTGCCCTTATTGCCTTCCAGGTTTTGCTACCCGCCCAGCCCATCCTACTGAAAATAGCAAATGTACCTCCAGCCTACTTGGAATTTGTACCCCACCCCCCCTGCCAATGTTTAACTTCCGTGCAGTTGTCACTTTCTAACCTCAAAATTTACCTCCGTATTGTGTTTAGTGACCGTCTCTGTCCCTGGGATGCCAGGTCCATGAGGACAGGAGTTCTTGAGTCTCTTTTCCCCAGCACAATGCCAGGCATGCGGCAGGTGCTCAGTAAATGTTTTCTGAGTGACGGGAGAGACAGTGAGGAAGTACCCACCTGCCAAGGGAGCACCACGCCAGCTCAGTCCCACCGAGAGCTCTCAGGGGCCTAGGGGAACAAACAGAAAGGTTTGTAAATAAGGTTTAAACCAGACTGAGTTTTATTTTACTTTTTATTTTTTTAGAGACAGGGTCTTGCTCTCTCACCTAGGCTGGAGTGCAGTGGTATCATCACAGCTCACTGCAGCTTCGAAATTCTGAGCTCAAGGGATCCTCCTGCCTCAGCTTCCTAAGTAGCTGGGACTACAGGCAGATGCCACCATGCCTGGCTGATTGTTATTTTTTGTAGAGATGGGGTCTCACTGTGTTGCCCAGGCTGGTCTCAAATTCCCAGGCTCAAGCGATCCTCCTGCCTCAGGCTCCCAAGGTGCTGGGATTATGGGCATGCACCACCGTGCCCAGTTCAGACTGAGTTTTCGGAGCCAAATGTGACCAGAAACTCAAGACATCTGCTCCACAGTCATCAAGGGACAAAGCAGGAGCTTTGACGGAAGTCACCAAGTATCCAGACCCAGCCGAGGCTACCCCACAAGCCAGTGCCCCACCAAGGAGCCACAGCTTCTCCTGGACCCACGCTGGCCTTCAGCTGCTGCCACGAGCCCCCGGGCCCTACACTGTTGTGGCGGTCCCCACCTCAGTGCCTTGGAACCCAGGCCTGGGCTCCTAGCCTGTGGGCACTAGGCAGGCCCTGACCATTTTCTTCTTTTCTTTCTTTTTTATTTGAGACAGGGTCTCAGTCTGTCACCCAGGCTGGAGTGCAGAGGTGCCATCACAGCTCACTGCAGGCTCAACCTCCTGGACTCAGGTGATCCTCCTGCCTCAGTCTCCCAAGTAGCTGAGCCTACAGGTGTGTGCACCACCACGCCTGGCTCCTCCAACAGTTTTCCATGAGAACAGAGGCTCCTGGGACAGCCAGGCTCTGCGGGACACAAGGAACCTGGCCCCCGACTCTCTGCACAGTCTCAGCCCAAGCTGACGGGCAGCTGTGGGCTGCAAAGTGAGAGTGAGATTCAGGCCACGGGATGGGGCCAAGATTGCAGACACTTGGCTGTCAGGTCGAAACGGCCATGCATGGGGACGTGGGGCCATGGGGCCCTGGGGCTCCAGTGTCTGTGGGATGCTGGCCTCAGCACCTGGGGTGGGGCTGAGAGACCCCAGGGCACCTCCACCGGGCAGAGCACTCGGCAGCCCCAGAGCAGCTCCTGCAGAGGCGTCTGTGAATGAGGAGGGGCAGCGCAAAGATTAAATGGAAAGGGGGCCGCAGCCCGGGCTGCACTCCATCTCCATTCTGTCAAGCGTGTTCGCAGACACGCACGAGGGGGCACGGGAGGAAGTAACTCCGGCTGTGTCAGAGGCATCCACACTTCCATCACGAACCTGCCGCCTCCCACCTCCCCAGGGCGCTTCCGGGAGCTGGACGCAGCTGCCCGTCCAGGCTGTGTCTCTGCTTGGATGGCTTCTGTCCACATGGGAGGTCATGCCCTTGGGAATGACAGGTGGGGGTTTCCTGGGGACCCCAGCCCCTACTTCCAGGACAGGCTTTTGCCCTGGGGTGTGGGCTTCAAGCAGGAGCGGGGGCAGTGGATGATGGCCATCGTCAGTCACGGGACACAGGGCCAGGGCAATTCACTCACAGGGGGCTTGGGCATCCCTTTCCAGGGTCCATGGCAGGCCCACCCTCTCCTGCCCCTGCCAGGTGCTCTGCAGGAAGGAGCCAGGTGCTGGGGGATTCCTGGGCGCCCTGGATGCTAAGCCAAGTCCCGATCAGCTCTCTGCCCTGGCAGGTCCCTCCCCTGGGAAGGGGGACCAGCTCCCAGCTCTACCACCTGGAAGGTGGGAGGGGGTTAGATCTGAGCTCACTCCCAGCTCCCGACTCTCAGAACCCCGGGGTGGGGTCATTGGCCAGCAGACCCGCCCCATGAGAAGCATGGCAGGCCATGAGCCTGGCTGGGGCACGTCTGCAGGCTGGAGGTGGAGGGGGCTCCGCCACACAGGAAGGGACATGGACGGATCGTAGGTGGGTGGGGTGCAGGAGCCCCCTTTTTACAAGCTGACGTGAGCCTCTCATCCCAATCACCCTGTCCCTGGGTCTCGAGCCAAGGAGCCTTGGACTCCACTGTCCCACAGGAACACCCAGAGCAAAGGAGGGCACAGCTCAGGCCTCAGTGTCCTGGGTCTGTGAAATGGGCCCGTCCCGTGGGATGGCGGGTATGGGAAGGCCAAGAGGCCACGGAGGCAGGGGTCGCTGACCGTGGAGCTGGAGCTGTTCCGGGGCCCTGGACCTGCCGGGCTGGGGACAGCCTCTGTGGGTGCCGGGGGTGCTTTGGCGGCTGAGCGGGTCTCTTGGTGCGACGCCGCCTCCCGCCTCCCGGAGCCCCGGCCCCCACCCCGGCACACACACAACTATTTAATTTTGCTCTGGCAAGGAATAATAGAGTCCTGTGTATCTATTACAGATGCGGGGAGATTGGGCCGCCACAGGCTGCACAGCACATTCAGAGGCCTCACAAAGCCGGCTGCAATCGACTCGGCCTGCCATTATCCATTCAGCGGGCGTAATGAATGAGCGGGCGCAGGCTGCCATATACCACCCGGCCCAGATAACGGCTGAAAGGAGAAAATTAAATTTTGCTTTTGTTGAAACATTATGATTTATGTATTTGTAATGTAGGCTGTGGTGGGCGACTGGGGGAAGCCTGCTTCCTCAGGGTCACTGATGGCCCGCCGGCCACTAAGCGCTCAGCCCACTCCTCTGTGGGCAGGAACAACTCCCCCACCTGCTCATCCGCAGGAGGAGCCGGGGGCTGGCACACGGACCCCGGGCAGGCGCGGCCGGCCCCCTCTCCCAGGACGCTGGGCTTGGCTCTCGGAGCAGGCAGGGGGCGGCTTCTGTGTGGCTTGGACCCAGGACCTGGCATTCTGATCACCCCGTGCCCTGTCTGGACCTGTAAAAATAATTAACTTCTCCTGGCTGGCCCTGGAGAGACAGACACGTGAGAACATCCCCTGTAATTTATAGCCTAGCGGTCCTGTCCCTTAATGCAGCAATCAGCGCGGGCTTATCACGTTGTGGAAGGTAATAAACTTGCTTCCTCCCAGCTCGCGGGCTCCTGAGCCAGGGTCTGGCAGTGCGGCACCCCCTCAGAGGGCCGATGGCTGGCGTAGAGGAGTGGGCAGGGGGCTCCCCTACAAACGGACCACCAGGGAGCTGAGGGCCCCTCCCATTACAGGACAGGGCAGTGCCTGGCGGCCCGAGGCCCGGGTGGCCGTGTGGCTGCAGGGAGGCCCCGCCCCAGGCTGTGTGGTGAGAGCCAAGGACAAGCCTGGGTGACAGACTGGGCCCTTCCCGGCGTGCTGAGGGCCCTGGCAGAATCTTCCCCCCCAGGGCCAGTGCGTGCCCAGCCGAGGACCCCCGAGTGCAGCTGCAGTGCTGGACCTCACCTCCTCACCTCCGATGCTCCTTCAGAGCCCGAATAGCCCCCCGGGAGCTCACATGTGACGCCTTATCACACTGGACGGGCGCATTCCCACACAGATGGAAAAACTGAGGCTCACAGAGGCTAAGCAGCCCCAGGGCACCAGTGTCAAGCCGACTCAGGGGTGTCCACCCCCACACTGACCCCTGCCTGCAGAGAGGGGCCATCCTCACCCCCTCACCTGAGGCCTCCTGCAAGCTGTGGTCACAGCTGGGGCAGCCCCTCCTCTTCCACCTGGGGAAGGAGTGGGGCTTCACGGCATACATGCTGAGCATGGGAGACTCAGCTGTGCCACCATCAGGGTGTCTCCCTCGGGCCTCTGCGTCCCCCTGACCGCCGTCCTCCTGGGGCACAACGGTGTCTCCCTCGGGCCTCTGCACCCCCTTGACCGGCTGTCCTCCTGGGGGACAGTGCCCATCTCAGCTGCCATCTGTTCCCAGGGTCCAGCACAACCTAGATGGAGCCCTCTCCTCCCGCTCCCCTGCTCCCCTCCAGGGCCCACCTGAGTATCCAGCAGCCTGGGGTGCAAGCTGGGACTGGGTCTCACTGCCTCTGCCCCCCAGAAAGGCCTCTGAGCCACCCCGACAGGCAGAAGCAGCCTGGTCTCTGCTTTGAGATGCTGGATCCAACCATGCCTGAAGCAGGCAGGTCACAGCCCACTTGGCTGTGTGAGCAGGCAGTTGCCCGTGATGCTTTGTGAGTGCGGGCTCCTGTTACCAGCAGCACAGGGGCCTGGCAGTGCCTCTGTCTCCCTCTGGAGCCACATGCTCTCCCTTTGTGAGCTGGTGGCACACCCTCCTCCTGAGGCATACCAGCTCCCAAACTGGCCTTCCTGGCTCCCACCCTGCCTGCCTCTCAGCTGTGTGCGGCTGCACCCCAGGAGCAGGAACGTGGTGGTCTCAGCTCAGTCAGGCACCCATCCTGGAGCTCAGTGGGCCACCGAGGTTGGAGGTGGGCTACATCAGCACCTGACGCCTGAGGGTGGGAGGGCAGGCTCCCACGGTGCCTCTGACAGGGCAGATTTGATTGTACCCATTTTCCAGTTGGGGAATTTGGGCCACAGAGATGAAGTCAGGTATGGAGGTCCAGAGTGCCTGCGGGAACCAAGATCTGAACTCCCCTCTTCCTCTCTTCTACTTCCCTCTCCAGCCCCTCTGCTAGCCTCAATGTCTCTTGGCCCCTGGAACCCTCCCCAGGAGGCTGCCCAGCTGCTGGGCTCAGTCCACCAGGCAGGCAAGTTGTGACGGCCAGCGGCACATGGTCTCTCTCCTCATGAGTCAGGAGAAGGCCCTTGGTCCCTGCGGCAGAGGCGGAATCTGCTTTGGGGGCAGATTCTTTGTTCTGCTGGTTCATCACTGTCATGGGATTGCTGCAGTTCCGTGGGGCCGGGCGCACGTCGGTGGTGTGGGCACCGCCGGGCCCCTCCTGGGAACAGACCTCTCCCCTCATCGCCGAAGCACGAGGAGGTTTTCGCACGCACAGAGGGTGCCGAGCCGAGCCACGGTAATCTTATTAAGAGATTTATTTTACGTCTGATGCTGCTTCCTCCAGTGCGGCTCCATCCCCCGTGGCAGCTGTGCTGGCGAACGGGGCCTCTGCCAGCTGGGGGCTCGCCAGGCAGAGAGCCCCATCTCCGTCCTTTGCCTTTCTGGTGGATCCCTGCCTGGGCTTTGCCTCTGCAGCCCCCCGCCCCACAGGTTCACACCTCGGGTCTTCTCCACCGCTGCCACACGCCAGAGCCTGTAGCGGGGCCTCAGAGTCTGGGAGGTGGGACTCCTGCACCTCAGCCATCATCAGACCCATGGGGCCACCCAGGGAACCTTGGCAGGGACCATTACCAGTGACCTGCCGAGGCCCCGGACTCTGCCAGCCAGCTGTGCCGGCCACCCTGCCCCGGACAGTGCCGGTTCATGTGGGAACTAGGGGACGATGTGGTTCTTCGCATCTGATGATGAAGGCCCTGGGCCACTTGGCACGGGCGGGCGCTCCCGAGATGGATATGAGGAGCCCCCTCTGCCCAACTCCCAGAAAGGCCGAGGCTCTGCAGCGGGAGGAAGTCCTGCGATGTCCTGGGGGGCAGCAGCGCAGGGCACAGGGACAGCCCCCCTCCACAGCTCTTCCTGGCCAGCCCTCCCCACTATCTGCCAGGAGGTTGCTTCTTCCAGGAGGCTTTTCCCGACCAGCCCAGGGGTCCAGGGTCTGGGGCTCCCAGCTGCTGTGAGTGCTGCACATTCTCTTGAGGACAGCCCCCTCCCTCCCCCACCCACTTCTGGTGCCCACTGTGGCCACAGCAAGCACTGGGGCCTGCACTCAGGGACCTCGGGGCCTCCTGGGGAGCTGCTGACCCTAGGCAGAGAGATTGCACATCCCTAAGAGTCTACAGACACCCCAGTGTTTGCCAGTGTTTGCCCGTGTTCACCAGTGTTTGCCAGTGTTTGCCAGTATTTGCTCGCCAGTGTTCGCCACTTGTCCCTCTGGCTGCAAGAGTGACTGGGTTTGGGCGGGAAGTTGCAGGTCCCTCCAGGACAGTTGGCCGATGACGTGGAGACAGACCCACCCCCCAATCCTGGCTCCCTGCAGGACGCGGGGCCCCCCGAGATCCTGGCGGTGCTCAGCACGACGGGCACCTCCGTGTTCACCAGTCCAATGGGCACGGAGCGTGGCTTTATTTGCATGTCTGGATTCCTAACGACTTCAGCCTCTGCACCTCCTGGGTTTTCCCTGCTGCAAATTGCCATTTGGCGTCGTCCCCAATTTCCGGCCAAGGCCGCGTCGTCGTGCTGCTGTGTAATTTGATGTGTGGAGTTCTAGATACCAAGTGTCTGTCGGTTTTAGACATCGCAAACGTCCTTCCCAGTGTGGCCCGTCCATTCGCTTCTGTGCAGCAAAATCTTTAATTATTTGATGGCATCAAAATGTGTGTCCAGTTTTACCTTCTAGTTTATACTTTCGAACATTTGTTTGAGAAATCTTTCTCCCACCTGTGGCTGATAGTGACGTCTTCTAACTTCCCATTTACTATGTTACATTCAGACCCATCATCTTCAGGAAGACGCTTGTGTGCGAGACGGGTATGAGGCCCCCACACCCCGCCTCAGGACCACTGTCCATGGTTCCACCCCTGACCCCGGACTCCGCTCCCCAGACCTCCTAAGTGAAGCCACCTCCACGGAGGGGCCCTCCCCGCCATCACCCCCCAGCCCGGCACCCAGCATCAAATCTGCATGTCTTGTATGTTGGGGAAAACGCTTGTTTATGCTTACGTTTGAGGTCTGCGACCTCACGGGCCCCTCTCCCCAGAGCTTGGAGAGCAAGCATCAGAGCCACGCAGGGTGTCTGGCTTGAGAGGGAGGTGGGCAGCGGTTCCACGCCCACCTTGGAGGGCCACCTCGCCTGGCCAATGGCCCATAGGCCAGCCTCACCAGCCTCCCTGAGCACCAGGAGCCTTTCTGCCCCTGCCATCAACAGGGTCCCTCCAGGCCTCTGACTGTGTGTGAGCCGGCGGAGCTCTGACTGTGTGAGGGGGACAGGATAGGGCCACAGAGCCGTGCATGTCACTGGAGCCACCAAACTGCCCTACAGTGTGACCCTCACGCGGGCCCAGCCCTCCAGAGCTGGCGCAGGGTGGGTGTGCAGGCACCAGGTTCTCATCAGCCCCGGGAGCCCGGTGGAGTGGACATCCAGGGCAGGGCGGACCCCAATGGGAGGCCCAGCACGGCTCCTGTCGGGGACCTACCCGTTCCCAGAATTCCCCCGGGAGCCCCTCGCGGGTTTGTCTGTTGCTGCTGGAGGCACGGCCTGAGGATTTTGCGGTCCCGTTTCATCTGCTGGGAGTAGAGACACATAAATAACGGGTCTGATAAGATTGAGATATTGAGTGTTTTCTAAGAAGAAAGCAGGAGTGATGGAAGTTTTTCGGGTTTTAGGTTATTCTGGGCAGGGGCGGGAGGCGAGCGTGTCTGGGAGACTGACGGTGCGGCCTAGGGGAGCCGGGCAGCAGACAAATGTCGTTATGAAGAGCATGAAATTTATACAGCACACACTCTCCCCTGATCACTCGGGACTCCTCCTGCATTTCAAGGTCACTGTGTGTGAAGGAGGCTCACGGTGAGGCTGCAGCCCGGGTCTCAGTGCGACTGCCGGGTGGGCATGGAGGGCACCGTGCGACGGCCGAGGATCAGGGATCCCAGGGCCCGGCCCCACCACGACCCAGAACGCGCTCTTGCCTCGCCCCCTCCACCGCCCCCGAGGTCAGAGGCTGCAGCTTGGACAGGCGGGGGCAGGGGCCCTTCTGTGGCCCTGAGGCCGTAGCCAACCCTGCCTTGGAGTGTGGAGACCCTAGGGCTGCTCAGGGAGGGGCCCACAGCCTGGTCCTTGCGACCCAGACAGGTGCAGAGCAGTGACAGGCTGCCACGAGCCGGGTTCAGCCACGACACCGGGTCAGGGAGTGTGAGTGCCTCCACATGTGTGGCCACAGTGGATGTGGGGAGGCTGCCCTGCCCTGCCAGGGAGGATGGACAGTTCCTCTGGCTGTGGGCGCCGCTTCCCGAACCTGTTTTCATCTACACAGTGGGATGAGAGCCGTGCTGGGCCTACCTGTCCGGCTGGGCTGCGTGAGGTCTTCCAGGGAAGGCGTGGGAAGGCCCTGCCATCCTTAGCCATCGTGCGGGGCCAGCTCAGGGGCGGGAGGTCTTCCTTGGCTGCATGTCCTGAGTTCTGCCTCCTCACCCCCAATGTCCCTCGTGGTGAGGCCCCTGATGAAAAGCTCAGCCCAGCCTGGGTGCTGGAGGCTGGCTGGGGCTCAAGGCTTTTCCTTCTGAGGAGCCACAGCCTCTGTGGGTCCAGAGACAGCTCAGCCACTGCTAGAGGGGCTTCGGGCTCCCGCTTCCCCCCCAGCTCCACCCCACCGCAGGGCAGAGGGAGTCCGGAGACACATGGGGAACACGAACTGCTTCCATGTGGCCTTGCTTTATTGTAGCTTACAGAACATATGGGCCTTGCAGCCCAGCCCCCAGGGAGCCAAACCTGGCCTGGAAGGGTGGGAGACAACAAAAGGGGCAGTGAGTGGGAAGAAGGAAAGGGACCTGCCCACAGCCCAGACCCAGCTCGACAGGCAGCCCGGGACACCATTCCTGAACTGAGTGGTCTAAGATACAGTCCAGGATGTGGGGGAATGGTGGAGAGCTGGTGCTCAGCCTCTAGCAACCACAGAGACACAAAGAGTGCTGCGCATCATGACCACAGTGTCACCCTCCACATTTACTCACTTGTACCCTCTGTTCACCTGGGACTTTAATCCTCTTCCAGGGCAGGAACAGTGTCCTGTCCTTCATACCATTCCCTAGAATGGAGGAGGGGTGAGATATGTGTGATGGATGGAAGAGCAGATGGATGAATGAGTGGATGGATGGGTGGATGGAAGGATGGATAGACGGATGAATGGAGAGCTGAATGGACAGATGTATGGATGGATAGGTAGAGGATGGATGGATGGATGGATAATGGATGGATGGATGAGAGATAAATGAATAGACAGATGTATGGATGGATGTGTAAATGATGGGTGGATGGATGGATGGAAGAAATGGGTGTATGGATAGATGCTGGATGGATAATGGGTGGATGGAGAGATAAATGAATGGACAGATGTATGGATGGATGTGTAGATGATGGATGGATGGATGGATGGAGAGATAAATGAATGGACAGATGTGTGGATGGATGTGTAAATGATGGGTGGATGGATGGATGGAAGAAATGGGTGTATGGATAGATGGATGGATGGATAATGGGTGGATGGAGAGATAAATGAATGACAGATATATGGATGGATGTGTAGATGATGGATGGATGGATGGATAATGGATGGATGGATGGAGAGATAAATGAATGGACAGATGTATGGATGGATGTGTAAATGATGGATGGATGAATGGATGGATGAAATGGGTGTATGTATGGAAGAAATGGGTGTATGGACGGATGGATGGATAATGGATGGATGGAGAGATAAATGAATGGACAGACATATGGATGGATGTGTAGATGATGGATGGATGGATGGGTGGGTGGATGGAAGGATAGATGGACGGATGGATGGGTGGATGATAGAGGATGGATGAAGATATGGATGATGGATGAAGAAATGGATGGATGGATGGGTGAGTGGGTGGATGGAAGGACGGATGGGTGAGTGGGTGGATGGAAGGGTGGATGATGGATGGGTGGATGAAGAAATAAATAAGATAGATAGATAGTTATGAAATGGGCGTGTTCCCTGATCCCCCTCACAGGACATGCAACAGGGGTGTGGCTCGTATGTTCGGCCGCTGTGCACTCAAATCTCTTATGGGAGGGGGAACATGCAGCTGAGCAGCTGCAGGAGCTGGAGCAAATGCTTTTGGGTTTCAACCCCACAGTAGCATCTAGGGATGGTGCCTGCACGGAAGCCCCAGTGAGTGTGTCACAGGGCTCCTTTAGCTCTGCCATCCACAGACAGCTTAAGTGTTAACCAGCTCAGTGCCCTCTTGGTACCCAGGTTCTTGTCGGGCATCCAGGAAGAATCAGGTCACATGGACAAATTGAAGGATGGTAAATGTGGGGGATTTTATTGCCAGATGGAGGTGGCTCTCCATGAGATGGATGGGAAGCTGGAAAAGAGACGGAGTGGGAAGATGATCTACCCCTGGAGTTCAGCTGTCCCGCGGCTGATCTCCTCTCCCACCGTCCCCAGCCAAGCTCCTCTTGACGTTCAGATGTTCCTTCTCTTCTCTCCTTCTCTACGGCACCACTCTGCTGTTTCTCTGCTCTTCTGCTCATCTGCTTGTGGAGCCTTGGGTTTGGGGTTTACATGAGTACAGGATAGGGTCGTGCGGTGGGCCACAAAGCAGCATTTGGGTGAAAAAACAGGAATGCCTGTTCCCATTTAAGGCTTCAGTTTTCCAGGCTTGAGGGTGGGGTCTTTGCCAGGGAACCACTCTCTTCCACTCAGTATTTCCCTGTCTCCTGTCTGCATCAGTTGAGGGGGGTGGGTGATGGATGGACAGATGAAGAGATGAACAAGTGGATAAATGTATAGATTGATAGATGAATGGATGGGTGGATGGACAGGTGGGTGGGTGAGTGGATAGATGGATGGAAGAATGAGGGGTGGGCAGGTGGATGGGGGTGTGGCTGGATGGGTGGATGAATAGGTAGGGGGATGGATGATGGATTGGGTAGATGGATGGATAGGTGGGTCAATGTGTAGATGAACTTGAGCAGCGGAATGTGGCTGCACACAAACACACAATCACACAAACACACAAACACACAATCATGCTGAACTTGGGTAAATCTACGGCCACGAGCCTCCGGGGGCTGCTTAACACTGCCCAGCAATCCTGCTCCTTTTCTCTTCCTCACTCGCACTCTTGCTTTCAGGGACACTTCTCCCCTCACCAGTCTCTTCTTTCCTTAAACTGCTAACACCCTCTGCTTACTCTTCAATCTCAGCTGCTGACCTTACTTCTTCACTCACTGAAATCCAGGATAACCAAAAAGAGAAGTTCCTCATTCTCCCATTAAAGGCTCTGCACCTGGACCTGGGTGAAGGTATGTGCTCCTGGTGAAGGCAGGCATCGCCTCATGGGCACCAGACTCCAGCCCCTGTCACATAAATGGGCCAATTGAGTGATGGAGAAATGGATGCATGGGTAAGTGTATGAATTGATGAACGAGCAGGTGGACGGATATATGAATATACAGAGGTGGATGGAGGCTTGGTGGGCGGATGGACAGGTGAATAGATAGACATACGGAAGAGCTGATGAGCTAATGAATGAGTGAATGGATAAATTTATAGTTTGATGGATGAATGTATAAGGGGCGAACAGATGGTATGAGCGCACGGTGGATAAAAGGAGAGAGGATCATGAATTGGTGGCAGGTAGGTGGAAGGATGAACAACCTCTGCCTGGAACCAGCTGAGGTTGTTTCCACCCCTAAGGCCTATGGTTTGGGCCCCACAGTGTGTGTCAAGGCCTCCATCCCCATCCCAGTGCTGAGCGGCCCCCTGACCACACCTGCCTCTGGCAGCCTGGCCAGTTGAGGCCCCTGAAAGGGTGGTGTACAGGCCAGCGGCTCTCAGGAGCTCCATTCCTGGACCTCCACCCCTTGGACTGGCCCTGGTGGCCACGCCTCCCCCTGGGACAGGCCACCGCTGGTCACAGTTGTTCCAGCCTTGAGGCAGGCCCGGCTTCCTCCACCCCTGGGCTCTGGGGCTCCTCAGGGCTGGGCCTGGACCCTCCAAGCCCCTCTGCTATTGGTGGCCTGTCCCCATCTGCAGACTCAGCTGCTGTCCCAGACCAGCCAGGCCCCTGCTCCACAGTCAGCACCCATGCCTGGGCCCAGCCCTTCACACTCGCAGCACGGTGAGTGTACATGTCTGAGTGTGCATGTGTGTGTGCGCATGCACTTGTGTTCGTGTGTGTCCAAGTACTCAGGTGTGCTCTTGTTACCATACTCGTGTTTGTGTGTAACTGTGCATACGTGTGTCCATGTGCATGAGTATATAGGCATCGTATGTGTGTGTTTGCATGTGCCAATGTGTGTGCAGCTGTGCAGGGCCTGGCCTGTCCCCCAATCACCCCATGAAGGCACCTCGATACCACCATCCAGAGGTCTCAGTCCCACCCTGGGTGTGTCTCTGAGCTCCAGCTGTGTGCAAGGCTGGGCTTGCAGGGAGAGCTCCCTGGTGGCTTTCTCCTGCCCCTGCCATCCTCCTGCCACCCTGGGGACAAGGCCGTGCTGGGTGCTCAGGGTAGGGGTGGGGACACCTTCCTGGGGGATAACTATAGGATCTAAGGGATGAGCTGGGATTTACCCGGGAGACACACTGAGATCCGCACCTGTAGCTGGGGGACCGTGTAGGCGGGGGCCTGGTTCTGGGAAGAGCCTAGCACTGGGACTGGGGCAGAGTAGGGGAGCCCCTTGGGGACAGGCTGTGACCTGCAGGCTGTGAGTGGAAGCCAGGCTGAGGAACCACCAGGGGGCACGGGTATAGCACCTGGGTGCCCCACGGACCCCCCTACCTGCCTGATGGACACCCTGACAGCAGGAGGCCACTGTGACTGCTTCCTGATCTGCAACCCACCTGCCCAGCCCGCCACCCGCATCAGCAGCTGGGGACAGGTGTGCGTGTGGGCATGGGAGGTGAGGGCAGGAGAGGCAGACTGGCCCAGGAGAGGGCCTGGCCTGACTAGTCCTAGCACCCACCTCTCCCTCTCAGAGATGAGATGCTCCCTCTGCCTGGGATCCCCTTCCTGCCCGTGTGCTGGTCACGTCCCCTCTGCATCCACACCTCTGCTTGGCCGACTCCCTCAGGACCCCCCGACCGCTCAAGGCTCCAGCCACCCTCACGGTGCACACCCGCACTTGGCATGACCTGATTGATGCCAGGCAGCTCTAGGGAGGGCAGAGGCCTCGTCTGCCAGGTCTTGGCTATCCCAGAACCTGGCACGGGGTGTGACCCCAGGAGGGGAGAAGGAAGTTCCACCCCTCCTCCAACCCCGGGAAGGTAATGGGGGTGCTTCGAAAGCAAGGGGCTCCTGCTCACACTGATCTGGAGAACTCAGGACTCAAACCAAGTCATGTTCTTTACAACAGCACTTGTCAGTGCCTTTGGTGACTGGCATCGAGTGCCCCTCTGCCCCTGCCCTGAGCGAAGCCTGCAGGAACGTCCTTGGCACGTTTGACCCCATGGCTCCGACATCTTGCAGAGAAGTGATATTGAAAAGGGGCAATTCCTCCTGCAGGGAAGAGAGGAGTGGGGAGAAAGGGAGTGGGCACCAGCCGAGCCCTGGGGGCTTCTGCCGCAAGCCCCTTGCCTCCAGAGGGCCAGGGAGGAGTTCAGAGAGTTTTCAGTCCCTCCTGCAGCACCTCCCCAAGCAAGGGCACACTCATGTCAGGGGCTGGAGAGGGACAGGGCTGGGTCTGGGCCTACTGGGGCACCACGAAGGTCACTGACACCTGGCCCTCTGGGCCTCGAGTCCAAAGCCCGTGTGTGATCAGGAGACTGGCCTGGAGGCCCAGCTCGGCCCCAGAGCTCTCCCTGGCCTGGGAAGGGGTGTGTGCTGGGGGCCCTGGAAGGCTACAGGGAAGCCACCATTTCAATCCCGACCACTCACGACCCTTGTGGGACTCCAGGTGTGGATGCCCACCTGGAACAGCCACACTGAGTCAGTGGGGGACCACAGTCCCAGGCCCCAAGGGTCCCCATCCTGCCACATTCTTAGAGGGGAGCCACTCTTGAGGGACCCCCAGGGTCTCCCAGGCCAGAACCTTGAGGCTGCACGAGGACCCTTCAGCCCACTCAGGCCCGGACCACTCCAAGGCTGGCCAAGGAACAGGGGAATAGGGTGCTGCCCGAGGCCAACTGAGGGACTTCCAGGGGCCCTCCAGGAGAAGCTGGCTGGTGGGCTACGTGCCCAGCCTCTGGAGGGCGAGGGGATGGAGAGCTCGTGGCCTCCGACCCCCTGTCCTCACCCCAGGACCAGGCCACAGGATGCAGTGAGTCAGAGGATCCCGGAGGCAGTGCCTGGCTCCCCACCTCCCTGGCCGACCCCCACCCTGTTCCCCCACCTGCTGCCCCAGCCCAATAAGAAGTTGGCCACAGGCACCCCCAGCCCAGTGCCTGTGAACAGCTCCATGGCAGACATGGTGGCTCCAGAGGTGTCCCTGCTCCCTGGGAGCCAGCTGCAGGAGCTGGGGGCACGGCAGGCGCGCCGGGGGGCTCTGTGGCACGCAGCGAAGGCTATTTAAATGCTCCGTTGGAGAGGGATTAAAGTTTACGCAAGGTCACTGAGGATGTGATAATTATAATCACAGGTTTTTGGCTCCACAATGACAGCCATTTGTTATTTCCGCTCGGGCGGCTCCCGCGGCCCAGAGCTGGTGACAAGCGTGGACTGATTTAGTGGCCAGAGCCCATGCCCCTCCCCTCCCACTGCAGTCCCAGCAGCCCCCACTCCTGGGGGCTACCAAGGGCTCCACCCCCAGGGGACCAAGAGAGTCTCATGATGAGATGGGAGGGGGGAGTGGTGACGGAGAGGGATGGTGGCAGAGGCAGGGGATGGGTGGGGACAGGGCCAGGGGCGTCCCCACCTGGGGGTGGAGGGACCGTTGATGTACAGGCTGCCCATCAGGGTGTGAGCCTGCCTGGCCCAGGCCTCAGTTTCTCCATTTATGGGTCTCCATGCACCGCCTGTGCCCCGAGGATCCTGGCTCCGCCTCCGGCTACGTTCAGTCTTGTCTCTATTGCCCACATTCGCAAGTCCACGGCGGCCAACGCACCTGACAGGAAAAGGTCTGTCCACTCCCCACCGTCTCCGACTACAATCGCTGCTCTGTATTTCAACATTTCCCTGGAATTGGGTCCGTTTCTCCAGGTGAAAGAGTCTGCCCTGGGTCCATCACAACTATGCCGTTTCCCCATCCTAACACGGAGGCCACGGGGCCCCAGCTCCCTGGAAAGGAAAGCCAGAACCAGGCCCCGCCTTGAGTGAGGTAGGGGGCTCCCTGAACTGGGGGTCCCTAAGCCCCAGACCACCTGTGCCTAGGCAGTCTCAGCAGGCAGTACCTGCTGGGACAGGGTGGCCGTGATGGGTTCGGAGATCTGTCAGGAAGTGGTGCCAGGCCGCCGTGTCTTCTTGAACTCTTGCTGGCTACAGGCCAAGCCCTCTGTGCCTTGTGTCCTCTGCACCGCGATGGCTTCGCTGGGGGAGGGAGTGGGGAGAGCTGGCCTGCCCACGGGGCATCGCTGCACGTGGTAGGGGGTGACCTGGGCCGAAGGAGGATACCGGGCCTCTGCTAGGGCAGGGAGGCCAAGGGAGTTTGGGCCGGAGGGGACACCCTGAGCGCCCCACCTGCCTCCCGACTGTTGCCGGCCTGTGATTGATGCAGTTTTTTTTTGTTTGTTTTGGCAATCAGAGGTGTGAGCGCTTTAATATATATTAAATGGTGATAAATAAGGGGTCCAGGCAGCCGGCCTGACACGGCATTTGTCTTGGAGGGAGCAGAGATTGATATCTCGTGGGTGGCATTAAAAACTCCCGCCACAGTGGCGTGGGGGGCCCCGGGGCAGCCGCGCTCCTCCCCGGGCAGGGCGGGGACCACCCTCAGCGGCTGCCCCCAGCCCCACACCCTCACCCAAACCGCTGCCTGCAAGCCTGCGGCCCCTGCACGCCAGGACCCACCCGCGGGTGACCGGCCCCGAAAGTCCCCTAAGGCCCCGGCAGCCCCAGGACTCGATCACCCGGACACCCCGGGCTCCCCCGGCTCCCCGGGGTCCTCCTGTTCGCCCCTCGGCCGGCGCCCTCCTCCCACAGCCCACTCGCACGGGCCCGAGGGGCTGCTGCGCTTCTGCAGGAGCCCAGGCTGGCCTGAGAGGCACCAGGAATGAGGGCACAGGGTCCCTGGGCCGGCCCAGTCCCGTCGCCCTCGAAGGCCTCAGTGCCAGTGTCCAGCCTGGGGCAGCTGCATCCTCCACCCTCGGCCTCACCACGGCCTGCCCTCATCTGATTGGATGGGCCGAGGTCAGGTGTGCCTCAGCCAATCCTCAGAGCTGGGGCCATGCACCGCCTCTGATTTGAGCCAATCACGGCTCACTTGGTGGGCAGGGACTTCTGCAGCTCAGCGGGTGGGAGGGGCCTCCACCAGGGTCACCTTGACCTCTAGCTGACCTCTGCCTGACTTCTGGTTGACCTCTGCCCTCCCCCCAGGAAGAATGCCCCAGGGTGAAGACAAGGTGGCTGCCAGGCTGTGCTGTCCATGTGGCCACAGGAGGCCTGGACCTGGAGCTGGGACCTGGAGGCTCCTGGGGTCCTTGGGGTGGGGTCACTGGGCAGTGGACACTGCGGGCATTGGGATGGGGGCACAGGGGAGCTCCAGAAGGTGGGATCTGGGGAACATGGGGAAGGGGCACAGGAGGGTGGGCGCTGGCGCCATGAGGTGGAGGCACTGGAGTGGGAAGAGGAGTGGGCACGCTGGTCGCTGTGAGGTGACCACTGGGGGTGCTGGGGCCATTGCAGGGGGTGGGGGGGGAATTGGTGATGCAGGACGGGCAAGCCCCAAAGTCGAGGCCATAACTTGGGAGGGTTCTTGGCTTCCCCCAGGAAAGAATCCAAGGGCAGGGGTCACAGCAGAGGCAGAGGCGCCCCTCCTCGCAGACCAGGGCTTCGCATGGGCAGTGCATCCAGAGTGGCGGCTCAGATGCAGCTCTGTGCTCATTATGCCCACTTTTAATGATATGCAAATTAAGGGGTGGTTTATGCAGAATTCTCCAGAATGAGGGCGGTGACATCTGGGCTGTCAGTGGTTGCCATGGAAAGGGGCGGTAACTTCTGGTCCTTGCCATGGCAGTGGTGACTGACATGACACACTGGTGAGTGTGTCTTATTGGGAGATGCTTCTGCCCCAGATCTGTTGTGGCTAGTCCTCGATTTGGTCCAGTGTCCAAGCCCCACCTCTGGAGTTGAGTTCTGCCTCCTAGCTCACTGAGAAAGTGGGCACTGGTGTCACTGTGGGGGCACTAGAGTCACTGGGGGGTGGGTACTGAAGGAGTGGAGAGTGGGCACTGGGGTTGCTGTAGAGTGGCCTCTGGGGCCACTGGCACGTGGGTACTGGGAGTACTGGGGTGCTGGAGAGGGGCACTAGAGTGGGCAGCACACACCCGAAGGTGAAGTCACAGGCCACAGGGCAATTGGAGCAGGGAGGCCCCGGGTCCGCAGGCCCCCCAGTTTTTCCCCCTGCCCTGCCTCCTGATGTCATGGCTGGCAGCAGGGCACTGGGGCCAGGCCTGGTGGGGCCTTTGGGCTGACCCCTCCCTGGGGGACTGGAGCCACAGCCTCTCGGAGTGCAGTGGGGTGGAAGCCAGCCCCCACGGAGTAGGTCAGATCAGCCTTGGCGGACGAGACTCAGGAGAGGGGCTCTGTCCGGGTCCCAGAGGGCCAGGAGAAGAGGGGAGCGTATTTTCATATGTTTAGAGTATCCTTGTGACCACTGTGGAGAAAACTCCCTTTTTTCTCATTTTTCCAACGTGGGCCTCAGCTGGGCTTTCTGGATACTGGTTGCACCTTCAGATTCAGCCATAGCAAGAGGAAATGCCACCTGCCCCCTGCCCTGTCACTGACCTGGCAGCGGCCTCGTGGGCCAGGATTACTGCAGGTGAGACTGAGACCCGGCTCCCTTTGCTTTTCTCCCCCGTGCACAGCCCTGGCATGAGAAGTGTCACAAAACATGCAAATGCCACAGGCTCTGTTGTCCTCCATAGCCTCCCAAGAAAAATGCCACTTCTGGGGCAGTACCCGACTGGGTGCCAGGCATCCTGCTGCAGTGCCCACCGCCTGTGCTGGCAGAATTGAGGGACACCCCAGTGAGGTGCGAAGGCATCCTGTCTACTCAGTTCATCAAAGTGTGTTTTCTGTAAAACACTCGCAGAGCTGACAGCAGCTGCAGGCGGCACCCTGGGGAACAGGGCTGGCTTCTGGGGATGGGGCAGCTCCCTGGCCAGAGGCCCCTGTGCCCTCCAGAAGCAGGGTCCCGAGGGCCTCTGTCCCCCCAGGAGGGCTGCCTGGAACAGCCTCAGCCATGGAGGCTGGCGTTGCTTCCAGAACAGTGTCCCCACGAGGCCTCGGAGAACATCAGCTGCGCACAGGGGCAGGAGCTCCAGCATTTACGTGCCTGGTGCTGCCTGGGAGGGATATAATAGGGGCTCAGGAGGCGTCCGTGCCACCCTCCCCCTGCTCTCAGGTTGACAATTCTGGCTTAACCCTCCCCCATGAACGTGCTGTGCCCTGAGAGGACAGAGATGGCTTCGGCAGGGCCAAAGACTGGGAGACTTGGGGGTCCTGAGTGGGATAGACTCAGAGGGGTGGGACTCCAGAGGGGAGCAGGGGCGAGACATCCCGTCCCACTGTGGGGGGTCCAGACCCTGCATCTGCACTCCTGCCTATGCTGGTTTGCTCTTCCATCGCCGTCTCTTTCTTTCTTTTTGGGAGAGTTTTTTGAGGACATTAGCCTTTTACTCCTCTCACGTGTTGCAATCCCCCCGCCCCCGTTCGTCTTTTTCTCCTGGGAAGGCAACTTCTGCCATTTAGAAATACGTGATTTTGGCTGGGTGCAGTGACTCACACCTGTAATCCCAACACTGTGGGAGTCCAGACGGTCGGATCACTTGAGGTCAGGAGTTCGAGACCAGCATGGCCAACTTGGCGAAACTTCATCTTTACTAAAAATACAAAAATGAGCTGGGCGTGGTAGCTGGCACCTGTAATCCCAGTTACTTGGGAGGTTGAGGCAAGAGAATCGCTTGAACTCGGGAGGCGGAGGTTGCAGTGAGCAATCATGCCACTGCATTCCAGCCCGGGAACAGGACTCTGTCTCAAAAATGAAAAAAAAAAAAAAAAAAGAAATACATGATTTTACATTAGTCAAATGTATCCATCTTTTATAGTGTTTGTTTGCATAGAAAAGTTTTGTCTCCTCTGAGATTACGTCTATAGTTTAATTTGATTGCAAGTGAACTAGGTACCAAGGGGTCACCAGGCACTCACTCCATCTTCTGCTTTCTCCGTTGAGAAGGTGCCTGCAGCACGTATTCTCTTTTGTAGACTCACTGCTGGGCTTTGTGCTGAGTCCTTTGTGCCATGGCGGCTCCCTGTAGCTCTGTGATCTATTCTCCTATCTGGATGCCGAAGCCCACGCGTGCCTTCTCTGGGCTTCCCGCTGTTCTTGCAAGCTTACTTTCTGCACAACTTCAGACTCAGCTTGTCTGGTTCTGAATGATCCTGTTGTTTTTTTATTGGCAATGACTTCAGGGATGAAGCTCCGTTTAGTCTTTCCATCCTGGGATGGGCTGCTTTTTGTGTCCCCCAGCAGAACTTGAAAGCTTTCTTGGTACAGGGCTCACATCTTTTACTAAGTTATTTATTTATTTATTTTTCTCCTTTTTGAGACAAGGTCTTGCTCTGTTCCCAGGCTGGAGTGCAATGGCGCAGTCTCAGCTCACTGCAACCTCCACCTCCCAGGCTCAAGCAATTCTCCTGCCTCCTCCCACCTCGGCCTCCCAAGTAGCTGGGACCACAAATGCACGCCACCACACCCAGCTAGTTTTCGTATTTTTGGTAGAGATGGGGCTTTGCCATGTTGCCCAGGCTGGTCTCAAACTCCTGGGCTCAAGCAATCTGCCTGCCTCAGCCTCCCAAAGTACTAGGATTACAGTTGTGAGCCACTGCCATCTGGCCAGCTTCATAAGCATTTTATAATTTTCTTTCTTTCTGGTTGTTGTGGATTTGGGCTTATTTATTTTGTTCCCAGCCTCCTTACTGACGTACGCTTTTGCTATAGGTGGTTTTCAGTTGATTTTGCAGGGATACAGCCACATCATCCGTTTAAAAATGGCCATTTCCCCTCCACTTTTCCACATGGACTCCTGTGTTAGTCAGCTCGCTGCCATGATGGAAATAGCACACTGGGCAGCTCACACACACACATTTATTTTCCCACACTTCTGGAGGCTGGAAGTCCAAGACTCCAGTGCCAGCAGGTTTGGTTTCTCCTGAGGCCTCTCTCTCTGGCTTGTAGGTGGCATCTTCTCACTGGGTCCTCACCTCCTGAGGTCTCTCTCTCCTTGCAGGGACACCCATCACTTCAGATGACAGTCCCTCAGGGTCCCTGTCTCCAGGTAGCCTGGCACTGGGGGTCAGGTCTTCAACACAGGAATCCCAGGATTGGGGGGGTGATTCCATCTGTAGCAGCACCTGACTCTCTCTTCCTAACTGCAGGACGCCCAAGTGGTAAGTGCTGGCACTGGCATGGCGTCTGCCCCTGAGCCGAGAAACAGCCCTTGCAGGTCCTCGCTGTCCCCAGGGTGGCTAGGGCCGGGCCGGCGTCTGTGAGGGATGTGAGGTCACGTAGTTGAGGTTGAGGGGCAGCAGAGGCGGGAGGCTGGCGTGCTCTAGAGAGGCTTGTTATCTTGGGGTGGGGGGGCATGGGAGGGTCAGCAGGGACAGGGCAGGGTGGGGGAAGAGCTGTGGGAGGTGCTGGAAGGGCACAGGTCCCTGGACCGCAGGCAGCGGTGCATAGGGGGAGCCTGAGAGAGCCATGTGGAGTCACCCCCCATGCCCAGCCGGGCTCTGCCCACCCTGGGTCCTCCCAGGCTCATGGGGGAGCCTCCTGGGGCCCAGGTGTGTGGCCCCAGCAGCTGTGGCACGGGTATCTGGCCAGTGGCCCTGACCCAGCCTGGTGAAATGCACTATATAAATGTAAATTTCCCTGCAAACTGCTCGCTCACTCATTCAACAAGCAATCAGTGCAGCGCTGTCACTCCAATTTTCCACACTTTGTGTCTCTGTTCTCTGTCTGGGGCAATCCTGTTTCCCTGGGCTGTGGCAGGCTGGCAGCTGGAAAAGTTCAGCTTCTCAGATGCAGACAGGACCACCCAGCGGGCCGCCACTGAAGGGTGGGGCACAGCTGCAGGTGGCTGAACCAGGCAGGGTGTCCCAGCGAGGTCTCTCCAGGCTCGGGGATTGGGTCGGTCGCCTGAGGCTCGGGGATTGGGTCGGTCGCCTGGGATGGGGAGTGGATTTGGGAAGAGAAGAGCCTGATTGGTGGGCCCTGGGGAGAGGGAGATGCACGCCCATCTTCTCTGGGCAGATGGGGGTGAGGGAGGAAGAAGTGGGGGAGCTCCGTTTAGGGCTCTCCCTCCCTCCCTTCCTCAGGGAGCTCCTGGGTACCTGGGCCTCCGGGCCTCCTCTGCACTCCACCTGGAGGGACAGCAGCACAGGGGCTGTCTCTGGAGCACCGTGGCAGCCTCAAACAAGATGTTCCCTCCAGCAGCAGCTTGCTTGCCTCCCATTGGTCAAGAGCAGACAGCCCATGGGGTCTCCTTTTAAAAGCAGGGAAACTGAGGCCAGGGAGTGAGGTATATACTCCCCCAGGGCAAGTAGCAGACCTGAGGCTCGAGGCCGGCCCTGGGCCACATCCGTGGCACCCTGGAGGTGGAGACAGCAGGCAGGGCACAGGCATCAGGGGCTGGGCATGGATAGTGGAAGGGGGAGACCATGCTCAGAGCCCAGGCCCTGCCCCAGAGGCCCACACACCAGACCTGACCCTCCCCCGTCTCAGCCACTGTGCAGTCCTGGCTGCCCCCATCCTCTGTGGGCTCCGTGCTGCCCCTCGTCCCCGGGGTGTTCCCTGCCCATGCCTGCTGGCTGGGATTCATTTATCTCGGTATCTGCACATCCCCTAGCTTTTGGGGCTCGGGAGGGAGGCCCAGCTTCAGTGCCAGGGAGGAGTGGAGAGGCTCAAGGCCTTCCAAGGGCTGCGGGTTCATCCAGTGCTCACCTGCCTGTCCTATGAAGGGACACGAGCAGCTGACCAGGGACAGCAGGGCAGCCCCAGGGATGGGCTCCTTTTAAAAAAACAGCTTTATCAAAGTATCATTGGCATACAACAAACCTCACATATTTAACATGTACAATGTTATGGGTTTTGACATGTGTCCATGCGTCCATGCCAGCAAGAACATCCCCAGGACCCAGGACACAAACATTCTGGTCACCCCCAGAAGTCATTTCTGTCCCTTCCTGACACCTCCTCTCCACCTTTCCTCTGAGCCCGGCAACCACTCATCTTTAGTCACTGTAGATTAAGTTTCACTGTCTAGAATTTTGTACAAATGTACACTTTTCCCCTCTGGCTTCTCTCACGCAGCACAATTATTTTGTAATCCATTCATGTCGTCTTGAGTAACAGTAGTTCTGTTTTGTTGCTGAGCTGAGCAGTACTCCATTGTGTGGTTATGATACACAGTGATACAGTTTACAATTCACCTTTTGATGGACATATGGGTAGTTCCAGTTTGGGGCTGTTACAGATAAAGTTCAATGCACTTCAAGTATAAGTCTTTGTGTGGACATGCACTTTCATTTCCCCTGGGTAAATGCCTAGGAGTGGAATGGTGAAATTGTAGGGTAGATGTATATGTAATTTTTAAAGAAACAGCCGAGCTGGTTTCTAAACTGGCGGTTCGACTTTACTCCCCACCGCGATGCACGCACACTCCCCCGTGTCCTCACCTGCACTTGGCAAGGTTGGTCTTTGTAATTTCAGCTGCTCCAATAGGTGCACAGTGGCAGCTTTGTGCGGTTTTAACCTGCGTTTTCCTGATAATTAGCAATGTCGAGCATCTTTTCATGTATTCACTTACCAGCTGTGTATCTTCTCTGGTAAGAACGTCTCCTCAAATCTTTGGTGTGTTTTGAATTGGGTTGTTTCTCTTAGTATTAATTCGTAAGAAATTTTCCACTGCTTTTTCAAATTGAACTATAACATGACATTAACCATTTTAAAGCATGCAATTCTGTGATTTTTAGTGTATTTATAAGGTTGTGAAACCATCATCGCGGCCTAATTCCAGAACATTTTCCTCACCCTGTGAAAGTTGATCTTACAAATTGGGTCATTCTTGTCACACCCAACTACATGAGAGTAGGAGGCTGAGGGAAAAGCACTCGGGGTGCAAGACATTCCTCTAGGAATGTGATTCTCTGCAAGTCCAGCTGCTGAAACTGCTGTCACCTGAAGGCAGCCTCATCTGCAGCAACTGCGATCAGGGCCGCAACTCCGGGGCCGACTTTGCCCGGCCTGGCCCAGCAGTGGGGACTTGCGGGCCCGAGCTTTTCCAATGCCCGACGTCCTCGGGGCCACAGGTGACCTTCCTGTTTCCTGAGCTGCAGCCTTGTTTTTATTCTCAGATGGGGAGCGCCCCTGGTCTGAGTGTGTGCCCCGAACTGCAATTCCTTCCTCTCAAATAAAACACACGAAACATAGAGATTCATCTACGTTTTATTTTGACTTCGACAAAGAGGAAGCCCTGTTCCCATTCCGCAGTCGCTGCCTGCTCTCCGCCCCAGTCCCTGCCACCAGGAGTCTGCACTGGGCCTCCGGAGACCACAGCCACTTGGGAACCGGAAAGGAAGGGGGACAGAACAGGAATGGCCATCCCGGAGCTGGGACTGGCTGTCGCTGGGCCCGAGGTTTTCAAGGGTTCCGGAGCGCGGCCTCCGTGGCTGGGCCTCAGAGACTAACAGACTCAGGCTGCCCGCGCCCCAGCTCAGCGCCCAGGGTCCCACGACCGCCATCAAGGCAGCTGGGGCGGCCTCGACCCCTGCCCCATTGGATGCTGTGGCTCCCGCCCCAGAGCGGTCCCCCAGCCCCGTCAGGAGGGCCGCCAATCACAGTGCCCCATCTCTCCCACCGCAGGGATTGGTCTAGGGCCAGGCACATGGCCTAAGCTGTCCAATCACAGTACCCCATCTTTACGACCACAGTGATTGGTCCAGGAGTGGGCACATGGCCCAGGCCATCCAATCATAGTGCTCCATATGTCTAACCACAGTGATTGGTCCAGGGACAGACACATGGCCTAGGCTGTCCAATCATGGTGCCCCATCTGTCTAACTATAGTAATTGGTCCACACATGGGCACATGGCCTAGGCTGTCCAATCATAGCTCCATAGGGAGGAGGAACAGAGCGGGCATAGGGAGGAAGGGAGTAGGGGAGGAGAGGGAAGGCGAAGGAGAGAGGGAGGAGAGGAAGGGTGGGGGGTGGATGGGGGAGGTGAGAGGGAATGAGGGAGGAAGGGCAGGGTAGCGGGACAGGGGAGGGTGGGTGCTTTGCAATTTAATAGGGTGCCAGCACCCAAGGCCTCCCGAAACTCTCCTTTCCAGGGCAGAGACCGTGGCTCCAGCCCACACAGGCCCCGAGGGAGTTCTGGGCGCAGCCCTCCCATCCACGCCCCTGCAGGGCAGCCAGCCACCTGCCAAAGTGGGGCTTCGCCCACCCTCAGGGCCTGATTTATAAGGTGTCTTGCTGCTGGTCATTTGCTTTCTCCAAAGCCTACAGAAATCTAATTGCTGTTTGAAGAAAAAAAAAATGCCCTAAATAAAGCAGTTAATTGCAAGCAGCAGCTCCTTTAGGCGCAGCCTTGCGGTCCTGGAGCTGCCGGCCATGGACCCCGAGCGGGGCGCCGGGGTGGGGCCTGGGCCGCAGACAGATCGGGGATCGGGCCGGGGGCAGCTGGGGTGGGCTCAGCAGAGCAGTCCCTGGCCCCGCGGTTAATTGAAATAACCGGGTCAATACACGGCCGCCGGGACCCAGCCCCATTTGATCTCTCTCCTGGGCAGATTAATTAAGTGTTATCAATTAGCGGCCCTGGGTAAAGGGCCACACTGTCAGGCCTGATGGGGACCGAGCGCGCCACAGGTCCGGGCCGATGTCCGTGGGGGCGACAGGCCTGCCAGGCGGGCTTCAGCGGGGAAGCCAGGGGTCAGGGACCAGGTCCCTGGGGCAGCGCCAGTGCGGGCAGTCCCCGAGCCTTGGACAGCCCAGCACGGGTCCAGCCCCGGCCCCAGCACGGCTCCTGCACCGCCCCAGGACGTCCCCTGCATAGCCCAGGACAGCCCAACGCCGCCCAGCAGGGCCCCAGGACAGCTCCAGGACGGCCCCAGCATAGCCCAGCACGGCCCCAGCCCGGCCCCCGCACCCCCTCCCCCCGACCCGCCCAGCACCGCCCAGGAGGGTCCCAGCACCGCCCAGGAGGGTCCCAGCACCGCCCAGGAGGGTCCCAGCACCGCCCCAGGAGGGTCCCAGCACGGCCGCAGGGCACGCGGCGCTGTGGAGCGCATGAGCGGGGTGCGCCCTAGGGTGCGGCCCGCGCTGGCAGCCCCAGCCCGACTGCCGACCGCCGCTGCCGTAGAAACTGGGCCCATCCGCGGTGCCGGTGCAAGGTGCGGCCGTGGGGAGGCGGCGGGGCCGGGCCGCCGGGAGCTGGGAGCCGCGGCCACATCGGTGGAGCAGGGCGAGGCGCCACCTGGCGGCGGGCCCTCCCCTCCCGTGCGCGGCGCCGGAGCCGCTGGGGCCCCTTCCCGCTGCCGCAGCCCGCCTGGAGGTCCCCGCCCTCCAAGTCCCTGCCCGCCAGCCTCTTCTCCCATCATGGCGCCGTCGCCTGCAGCCTCTCTGGACACTGAACGTCATGTTCAGCCTGGACACTCACAAATGGTCTGGCTCCCCACACCCCAGGCTGCCCACACAGGCACCCCTGCTGACCCCGGCAGGGCCCGGGCTTCCGGCCTTCTTTATAGGACCAGAACAGCGAGGGGGACTGAGGAGTGAGGGCTGCCTGAGCCCGGCCTTCTTTATAGGACCAGAACATGGAGGGGGTCTGGGGAGTGAGGGCTGCCTGAGCCGGGTCTCTGGAAAGCAGTCCTTGAGGCTCAAGGGTGAGGCTGGGAGGAAGCTCTTCCCTCATCACCCCACCCTTCCTACCTCTCTTTGCTGGTCCCAGCTGGGTGGCCATACTCTTCCATCTTGGACTAAAGAGCCCTCCAGGGAACATGGGCCAGCACACGCCTGTCCTGAGCCTTGGAGCAGCTGGAGTTCGACAGACTTGGCCTCAGCTCGGTTTTTGCCATGTCTGCTGGGTGGCCGTAAGGAAGTTGCTCCAGCTCTGAGTCCCAGTTTCCTCCTCTTGCATGACTGTTCTGATTATTAAGAGACCAGATGTGAAAAGAGCTGTGGACCAGGAAGAAAGGAGATGATGATTATGGCAATGGCTATGGTGGAGGTGATGAGGATGATGGTGGTGGTGATGGTGATGATGGTGATGCTGGTGGTGATGATGATGGTTGATGATGATGGTGATGGTGATGATGGTTATGGCTGATGGTGATGGTCATGATGGTGATGGTGGTGATGGTGATGATGGTGATATGGTAATGGTCATGATGGTTATGGTGGTGATGATGGTGATAGTGACAATGATGATGGAGGTGACGTTGGTAATGATGGTGGTAGTGATGGTAGTGATGATGGTGATGGTGGTTGATGGTGATGGCAGTTGATGGTGATGGTCATGATGGTGATGGTGGTGATGGTGATGATGGTGATATGGTAATGGTCATGACGGTTATGGTGGTGATGATAGTGATAGTGACAATGATGATGGAGGTGATGTTGGTAATGATGGTGGTAGTGATGGTAGTGATGGTGGTGGTGGTTGGTGGTGATAGTGGTGATGGTGATGATGGTGATGGTGGTGACACTGAGGTGATGGTGGTGGTAGTGGTCATGATGGTGGTGGTGATGGTGGTGATGATGGTAATGGTAGTCATGGTGATGGTGATGGTGATGGTGGTGATGATAAAGGTAGTGGTGATGGTGGTGGTGATGACAATGATGGTGATGGTGATGATAGTGGTGATGGTGGTAATAGTGATGACGATGGTGGTGGTGATGATGGTAACAATGGTGATGGTGGAGATGGTGATGGTGGTGATGGGGATGATAGTGGTAGTGACGATGGTGGTGGTGATGATGATGGTGATGATGATAGTGACAGTGATGATGGTGATGGTATTGGTGATGGTGATGATGGTGATAGTGATGGTGGTGATAGTGATGGTGGTGGTGGAGATATGATGGTGATGGTGATGGCGGTGATGTTATTGATGGTGATGGTGACAAAGATGACACTGGTGATGGTGGTGATGACGGTGATGATTATACTGATGTGATGATGTGATATTGATGGTAGTGACGATCATGGTGGTGGAGATGATGGTGATGGCGGTGATGATGGTGATGGATGGTGGTGGTGGTGATGGTGATGATGGTGATGGTGGAGATGATGGTGATGGTGATGGTAATAATGACAGTGGTGATGGTGGTGACAATGGTGGTGATTGTGATGGTGGTGGTGGTGGTGGAGATGATGGTGCTGGTGATAATAATGACAGTGGTGATGGTGGTGATGATGGTGATGACTGTGATGGTGATGATGGTGATGATTGTGATGGTGATGATGATGATGATTGTGATGGTGGTGATGGTGATGATTGTGATGGTGATGGTGATGATGGTGATGACTGTGATAGTGATGGTGATGATTGTGATGGTGATGGTTGTGATGGTGGTGATGATGGTGATGGTGATGATGGTCATGATGATTATGGTGGTTAGTTGTATTACTTATCTATTGCTGTATAACAAATTGCCTGAAAACATAGTAACTAAAAATCACAAATATTTATTATCCTGCGCGGTTACTGAGGGACCCTCGGAAACTTGAGAGCAGCCTAACTGTGTAGTTCTGGCTCAAGGTCTCTGGTGAAACTGCAGTCAAGTTGTCAGCCATGGTTGTAGGCATCTCAAAGCCTGACTGGTGGTAGATTCATTCCCAAGAACATCCCGAGGCTGTTGGCAAGCCACCGACGTTCACTGCCTATACCCCAGGGATGTCGGTTTCCTGCCTCTATGGGCTTCTCCATAGGCTGTCTGAGTGGACTCACTCCAGCCACTGGCTTCCCCCAAGGGGAAGTGATGAGAGAGAGATAGGGTCAGGGAGGGGAGGAAGGCGAGGGAGAAATCCAGCCAGCACCCAAGACAGAGGCATGCTCTTTTCTACAGCCTCCTCTCAGAGGAGCTGCCTCCCCACCTGCCACATCACCCAGAAGCATTGCTAGGCGCAGCCCCGCTCCAGGGGAGGGGACTCCGTAGGGGTGTGCATCCCTGGGGCCATCTCAGAGCTGCCAGGCAGACACTGTGATGAGGAGAATGCAGAAGGAGCAGAGAGTGTCTTCTGGCTTCAGCCCCCTCCAGCCAGGAGGAAGAGGTCAGAGACCCCACACAGTCCCTGTGGACTCCAGGTCTCACACCTGACTTAGAAAAAAGAGAAATTCTTGGGCCACACCAGGGGCTTCTTGTGATTTGCTTCTTCCTGCTGGGGCCTGAGTCCCTCTGAAGTGTTCTGTGAGTTGTGGCTGTGTTCACGTCTCTCCGTCAGCCAGACTGTGGGTGCCGTGTCCCTGAGCCTGGGCCTCCCTCCGGCCTTTTGCGATCTGTGCATTCCCTCCAGACGGCAGCTCCTCACTCCCAGGGCCCCTCTACTGGGGCACCAGCAAGGAGGGAGGCAGAGGGGCCAGGCACTGAGTAGGGGAGGGGCTGGCAGGGACCCTCTACCTGGCCCCTTGGGAAGGACACAGACCCAGATGGAGCCTGTCCCCTCGACACCTGGCCTGGGCCCCTCCCCAGCTCTGCTGGAATAAATCCTCCTGTAACAACCTCCCGCTGCTGTCCCAGCGTCTGAAGAATGAACACAGCTCCCCATAACTTTCCAGGCGCTATCCGATGGGACAGTTTGTAATAAAATTGCTTCTAAAAACATATTTGCAAGTCGCCACCACATTTTTTAAGCAGAACAATCTCTCGCAGAGGCTCTTCGTCTCCGTGATTAAGTAGCCGGCTTTCTTACATAGATTTTGCTATATGCGTCTTCACCAGGCTGAGGAAACGCTGTCTCTTCAGCGGTTTCCTTTAAAAAGTGTTTTGACGTGTGATTTACGGGGTTATCTGATGCGTCCTCTCCTGGAGTGGGTCAACAGTGAGGGAAGGGGTGCCCTCGGGGTGTATCTGTAAGCCAGGCTGGCTGGGCCAGGACTCACCTGAGGCTTGAGGGGTTCAGCATGTGGGGTTCAGGTCCCCTGCTCCTGGTGTCCCGCTGGCCTTCTCCCTCTCAGCCCCAGGCATCTTCCTGGGCCCTCTGCCACCCCTCCTCAGGGGAGGGAGGCAGCGGGGAGTATAGTATAGCATCTCTGCACCTAGCTGTGTCTGAGGCCACCGCTGGCCTTGGGTAACAGCGACGATCCTGCCCCTGGAGCTGGACCACGGGAGGGTCCGCGCCCTTCTCCCATGCAGTGAAGTCAGCCAGCAGTGGCCAGAACAGGCTCCAGCCCTCCGCCCACCAGCAGCCACAGGTGCCACCCACCTGGGCTAGCCCTGGGTGGAGACGCTTGCTCTCTGCAGTGTCAGGCACTGCGGCTGTTCAGGGCTGTCCTGGGCATCTAGGCAGAACCCCCCGGCACACCCACACCATGGTGGCTCTGGGGAGCGACTGGCCCCCAGTGGGTGACTGGGGTCAGACCCTGTGGCCACTGTGACCCACAGAGCTCCCACCAGGGGTCTCAGGGACACCCACCACCTGTCACTGGGTCGCTGATATTTGCTTCTGTAAAAGTGTCAGCCAGTTGAAATGAAACTTTTGTTTCTCGCCCTGTCTTCACGACATCTTCTCAGACCCCTCACTCACTCCTGTGGGACAAAAACTGCTCCTCACAGATGAGCCCCCCACCCCCTGGCCGACAGTTAGGGCTGAGCCCAGAGACCCGGGTGTTGAGGACTGTGATGTACGAGCAGCCCCATCCACACCAGAGGGCTGTGAACGGTCTGTCTGGGAGCAACATAGGTCCTCTGGTGGGCAGACTACACCCCTGCCTCGAGCTCACCAGTCACAGGGGCAGTCAGTGAGCCTCTCCGGTGGCACCAGCCCCTGGACGGGCAGCACTTGGTGAATTTGAGCCTACGGCCTTTCCAGGGCTGTTGTCTGTGTGGAGGCTGTCCTAGGGAGGCCAAGCAGACCAGGCCCTCGTCCTGCCCAGCCCCTCAGCCAGCAGCACTGCCTGACTGCCCAGGACCTATGTGCAGCAAAGCTGGCCTCCTGGGGCAGCACCAGGTACCCTCTGAGTAGGGCCCCCTGGCCATGAAGCCACCTGAGGGCCCAAGGCTGAGGAGCCCCTGCCGTACTCTGCAGCTCTGGCCTGGCACCGGCCCTTCCCAGCACCCCACCTGCGAGTGTGCGCTGCACACCCATCCATGCATCTGCACACCTGTGATCCATGCGTCTGCACACCTGTGAGTGCGTCCACCCCGTGCCAACAGCAGGCAGGGAGCCGCCCTGACAACCACGGTGGGGGCACCCAAGTCTGCACTGCCGGGCAAGCTGGCCACCCACAGAGGCTGTCCTCACCCAGAGCATCACACGCATCAAAAGGAAGGACGCTGGCACTGAAGCCTGGGGGGACCCTGAGGACTCTGTGGCCAGTGAAGGAGGCCGGCAACAAAGGGCGTGTTCCGTGACTCCGCTCCTGGGAAACACCTGGAGCAGGCAAATCTGGATGAGGGGTGAGGGGTCGCCGGGGGCTGCGGAGGGGACGGCGCAGGGTTTCTTTGGAGGTGATGCAGATGTTGAAAATGGACTGTGGTGATGGTTGTGCAGCTCTGTGGAAAATGAAAAACACTGAATTTTACAATTTAAATGCTGTGCAAGTCATATCTCGATAAAGCTGTTTAAATAAAAAGAAAGAACATTGGGCCGGGCATGGTGGCTCATGCCTGGAATCCCAGCACTTTGGGAGGCCAAGGCAGATGGATCACTTGAGGCCTGGAGTTCGATACCAGCCTGGACAACATGGCAAAACCCCATCTCTATAAAAAATACGAAAATTAGCCGGGTGTGGTGGCGCACACGTGTAATCCCAGCTACTCGGGAGGCCAAGGCAGGAGAATCACTTGAACGTGGAAGGTGGAGGTTGCAGTGAGCCAAGACTGCGCTACTGAACTCTAGCCTGGGCGACAAAGCGAGACTGTCTCAGAAAAACAAACAAACAAAAAACATTAAATTGGGGTGCCACAGGGGTGTTTGGGCAAAGGCTATGTGCCTCCCTCCGCCTGGGCCAGGTCTCCAGGCTCCCGGCACCCTGGTTCCTCTCCATCCCCTCAAAGGCGGTAGTACCTGGAGCCAGCCCTGGAGACCTCCCGGCCGGCCAGCGTAGCTGCAAAGGCTGGGGGCCAGCACCAGGCTCTTCTGGAGCCAGCATGGGCACTGACCCTGGCGCCCAAGTGGCCCTTCATGGAGTACCGGGTCTGGTTAGGGCAGAGGGTGGACAAGCAGGCACAGGGTGTCTTTGTGCCTGGGAAGGGGTGGCAAAGGCAAAGAGAACCACGGTGGAATGTACCCTGCTACAGGGGCTGGCCTGGGCCCAGCTCCCTGCAGCCTCCTACGGGCCCCTCACTCCCCTCTGCTCCCTGGGTGCCCACGATGCAGGCAGCTGGGCAGGGGCTTCAGCCTCAGAGGGCCCCCGTGGGATCAGTCCAGCCTCACCACAACCACACTCCAGCAAGGGCAGGGCCACTGGGCCTGGGGGCGGCTGGAGGGGGCATGGCCACAGGCAGGCAGCCTTCCCGCTGGAGGAGGCACCACCCCACCCCACTTCGGACCCCCTTGGACAGCCCCTCCCGAGGCCCATGACTGTAGGAGGCCTAGGGGTGGACCCTGCGGCGCCCCTGCCCACAGGCCGGCAGAGCCCCCCAGCCCTTGTTTTCCCGAGGTTGAAGTGGTTACAGATATATTAATTATATTTCTGCCCCTTAATGGGCTGCTTACTTTATGATGTGGGGACACAAAAGTAAATTTTAAAATCAATTATACAATTACATATGTAGCAATAACAGAGGACACAGCTAATCTTCACCGGGTCAGGACTGCAACCTTCCAATAATGCAGGTTTCATTAGGGGAAGGGCTGTTATTGCCAAGAATTACAGAAATAATGGGAGAGGGTGTATTCAGCGAGAAGTTAACAAATGAGGCTGCTCTGGAGATAAGACGCAGAGCCGGCTGCCGGCTAGAGCCGTGGAGGCCGACACATCGGGGTCACCCGCTGCTGCGGGAACAAGAATTAATTTTAGACGCTTCCTTGGGGTCTGGCGGCGGGGGCTTCTGCCTAGCGGAGGGGGGGGCGAGGGGCGGGCGCGGAGTGGGGTCCCTCAGCCTCCTTCCTCTCCGCTACTGGATCCTGTCGCTGGAGGCCCCGCCGCCGGGCCCGCCCTGATGGCGCGGGTGGACCAGGGGACAGGTGGCCAGGTTGCCAGCACAGGGTAGGAGTGCGTGGGCTCGGCGAGGGCTCAAGGGCTCCTCTGCAGTCAGCGTGGGGCTGCGCCACGGCCCCGGCACCCACAAGCCACGGGGATGGTTTCCAGGGGCGGGGATCGAACCAGCGTCCAAAGCCTGCTGAGCCCAGAAGGGCGGAAGCCAGGCTCGGGGAGGGAACGGCTGGAAAGGCAGGGCGGAAAGGCTCCCTGGAAAGGCTCCCTGCACTCAGCACGGAAGCAGCTTCTGGAAAGGTCTCAGCCGCTCTGGGTCTGGCTTCAGGAGCGGGGTCCTTCCCAGCCGTCGTCACTCTGCAAAGACCCGAGCGACCCCGGGACACCAGCCCCGGCCTGTCCAGGGTGCGCGGACCCCTCCCTACGCGGCGGCGACCCCGGGGACGCCTCTCCCTCCTCCAGCCCCTCCGAGGCCGCCCCGGGGACGCCTCTCCCCCCTCCAGCCCCTCCGAGGCCGCCCCGGGGACGCCTCTCCCCCCTCCAGCCCCGCCCAGGCCGCCCCGGGGACGCCTCTCCCCCCTCCAGCCCCTCCGAGGCCGCCCCGGGGACGCCTCTCCCCCCTCCAGCCCCGCCCAGGCCGCCCCGGGGACGCCTCTCCCCCCTCCAGCCCCGCCCAGGCCGCCCCGGGGACGCCTCTCCCCCCTCCAGCCCCTCCGAGGCCGCCCCGGGGACGCCTCTCCCCCCTCCAGCCCCTCCGAGGCCGCCCCGGGGACGCCTCTCCCCCCTCCAGCCCCGCCCAGGTCGCCCCGGGGACGCCTCTCCCCCCTCCAGCCCCTCCGAGGCCGCCCCGGGGACGCCTCTCCCCCCTCCAGCCCCTCCGAGGCCGCCCCGGGGACGCCTCTCCCCCCTCCAGCCCCTCCGAGGCCGCCCCGGGGACGCCTCTCCCCCCTCCAGCCCCTCCGAGGCCGCCCCGGGGACGCCTCTCCCCCCTCCAGCCCCTCCGAGGCCGCCCCGGGGACGCCTCTCCCTCCAGCCTCGCCCATGCCCGGCCCCTCCCGGTGCAGCGAGGCCCGCGCTGATCCTGGTGATTCCTGCGGCCGCCGGGGCCCCGCATGCAAATGAGCCGACGGCTCCGGCCTCTCTTTCCTCGCGCCGGCAAATAGACTCTGATAAGGGGATCTTTGTAATTACACGGAGCTACACTGGTCAATTCTGACTTTTAAATACCGCAGGGCCGAGAAAGGGAAGAAAGCGCGAACACATGTTCCCGGCGGCCGCCGCGGTGCCTTTGAATCCCGCCCCCGCCGGGGCCCCGTGGCCCGGCCGCTCTTTGTGAAGCGCTGTCGCTCCATCTCGGCGCGAGATCATTTCCAAATTAAATTTTATGGTCCATTACTTATCGCTCCGACACTGGTCTAATGGAATCTTAAATGGAACTGACTTGATCTGCGTGGGGCTGGCCTCTCAGTTAAGATGTTATTTAGTTCTAATTATCAGATAATGAACTCGGGAAATTTAATTTTTAATATTTGTATGTCAAAAGTCCATTGTGTTTTGGTGAGAGACTTTAAATTAAAAGTTAACGCGGGTCAAGCAACAGCCCCAGCTCATCCCTCCAAGGGCGGAGGCCACGCCAAGCCCCTGCTGGGCGCCTGTTGGCCCCCAGGACCGGCCCCCAGGTGAGTGCCCACCAGCAACTCAGAAGCCCCCCTGGTGGTCTTCTGCAGCCCCCCTGGCCCGCGAGGAAGAGCGCCCTCCTGGGCTCACAGCTGCCACTCGGGTCCCCACCTGGAAAGAGGTTGGACCCAGCGCCTACAGCAACGCCTCCCCCAGCTGTCCCCAAGACCCCCAGGGGCAGCAGACGGACACAGGAAGAAGGAAGCACCTCAGCCCCACAGCGCTTTGGGCGGACACCTTGGCTTCACAGACGAGGCACAGACAGTCCCCTTTGTCCCTGAGGTGAGGAGGAAGCTGTCTGTCCTGTCCCGATACACGGCAGGAGTGTTTCCACTGCAGGACTCAGCAGAGGCCGCATCCGGAGGGACCAGGCCCTGCATCCTCACGGCCAGCACACAGAGCAACCCCACCAGGCTCCCCTGCAAGCCCCCCTGCAAGGCCGGCCTGTAGCTAAGGCTGCTGCTGCCACCCTGGGTTCCCCTCCACTCTTTTGGCCCCTGCCCCCCTCACCCTCATGCCCCTTGGTGTGAACACCCAAGGCCCACCTGTCCTCTGTCCCGTCACAGCCACAGGCAAGGCCTGGGGACGTCAGTGCCTTACCAGCCTCCTGCCCAAATACTTTGAGTCCAGGTCTTTCTGGGGCAAGCCAGGCTCTGTGACCTCTGCCGCATCCTGATGTGGGCCTGGACTCGCGGCTGGAAATTATCCCGACTCAGCCCAAAGTCAGGTGCCGCTTGTGCTTTGCGTGACAGAACAGGTCTCAGGGGTCTGACTGCGTCAGCAAGCACAGGGAAGCCTCCTTCCTACCCTGATCGTCATGAGGCTGGGAGAGAAGGGAGGGCCAGGGGGGCTGCAGAAGACCACCAGGAGGGCTTCCGGAGGAGGAGCCACTACCAGGGACCAGCTGGGGCCTATCTGGGTGATGCAAGAAGGCTGGCAGGCCTGGCCCCTCCCCCTCTGCCTGTGGCTGTACCAGGGTGCCCACATGGGGCAGGGATGTGCCATCTGCCCTCCATCCCTAGCACTGGGTGATGGCTTCCACAGTGGCCACAGAGTCTGCACACGCTCAAGACCACCACAGACAACCAGCCAGGAGAAACTGGGGAGTCCCCCCGGGTGTCTGCCTCAGGGTCTCCCACGTGGAGGCAAAGGTTGCCTAGTGTTATCAATTGTTGCATAACCAACCACCCCAAAACCTAATGTCTTAAAACCATGACAGCGTCTGTTTTGCCTACAAATCTGCACTTTGGGCAGGGCTCAGTGAGGACAGCTGGTCTCTGCTCCTCTTGATGTCACTGGGGTGACTTGGAGTCTGGGCTGGAGTCGTCCAGAGGCCCCTTCACTCACCATCAGGTGGTCAGGCTGGCTGGGCTGGGACTGGGACCCCTGCGTGTAGCCTCACCTTGACCTGGGCTTCCTCTCAACATGGCGGCCAGGACTAGGGTAAGTTGCCGTTTATGATCCATCCTTGGAAGTCACCCAGCCTCAGCCTGCCCCATTCTTCTTCTGTTTGAAGCTTGTCCTTAAAGTCAGCTGATATTCAGTGTGGGTGGGGGAATTATACAAGACACGTCAAAGACTGTGGACGTGGTGGGGCCAGCTTCCCGGGATGGGGCCAGACTCAAACTCTCCTTTCTAGGGGCCTCCCTCACTTGGAACTGGGAGCCCACCCAGGCCCTCTGGGCCAATCTCCTCCCTCCATGCTTCCCACACCCACCAAATCCTGTGGATAGTGGGCTTTGCTTCACCAGACAAGCCCTTCACTTCTGCCTTGCCAGGGAAGGGTCTTGGTTCTCAGAGGAGCTGGGGTGCTCTGAGAGTGGAGTGGGGGTGTCTGCCCCTGCACTCTCCCATCCGCCTGCTGTGCCCTGTGTGTCCCCTGACGCTCAGGTGCAAGCAGTGCTGCCCTCAGTGCTATTGATCCTCACAGGGACCTCTGCTGTGGCTTCTGCTGCCTCCTCCCACACTTCCCCGTTTGAGCTCCTTGCACAGCTCTGCCATTCACCCCTGGACTCGGGCTGTGCACTTTTAAATCACCTTCCATGAGTTGGAGAAGGAACAACTTGTTTTAATCCTTCTTGCTTTTTTCAGATTTATTTTCAACATAGATTCCTCTGGTTACTGAGGGCGAGAGCAGGGGAGTCACCTTTGCCCTTCCTTCTCACGGAAGCTGTGCAGCTCTTTCCAAGTGCTGCACTGGTGGTTTCATCGTGTGGCATCCACACAGCGTGTATGTTTCAGGCCCCGAGGCTCCGGGGCTCCTGCTGCAGCCTCCTTGCTGTCCCGTCAAGGGACCAACGTCTTCATTAATTCAGGATGGCACCTGCTCTGGAGCCGACTCCTGGCTCTGCACTTGCAACTCTGGGCAAGCCACTTAACCTCTGTTTTCCTCTGTCTAATCTGTGCATGGGGACAGTAAAAAGACCTATCACAGAAGCACTGGGAGCACGTAGGAGGGGCCGCGCCAGCCGTCCTCCTGGCTTCTCATCACTGGCATTATTTCAGAAGACAGCCTTTGTCCTAACAGAAGCACTGGGAGCACGTAGGAGGGGCCGAGCCAGCCGTCCTCCCGGCTTCTCATCACTGGCATTGTTTCAGAAGACAGCCTTTGTCCTAACAGAAGCACTGGGAGCACGTAGGAGGGGCCGCGCCAGCCGTCCTCCCGGCTTCTCATCACTGGCATTGTTTCAGAAGACCCCCACCACCACCTTCGTCCCTAGGGGATACGTTCCAAGACCACCAGTGGAAGCTGGAAACCTCACATAGTAGCAATACCTGCACACTGTCTTCTCGATCTGATAATCGAAGTGGCTGCTAAGTGGCTAATGGGAAGGCAGCATCTGCGGCGTGGATCCACTGGACAAACAGATGACTCCTGTCCGGGGCAGGATGGAGCAGGCAGGTGTGAGGTTTCACTGCAGTACTCAGAACATCATGCAGTTTAAAATTCAGAATTGTTTTATTCTGAATTTTCCATTGAACAATTTTGGACTGTGGATGACCGCGGGTAGCTGAAACTGTGGAAGGCAGAACCATGGGAAAGGAGACTACTGTATTCATGCCAGCTTCTTGTGAGCTCCCTCCCTGTGCCACAGCCTGCCTTGGGCACCGAAGATTCAGCGCCTACAACAGGGCTGGTGGCTGCACCGTGCAGCATCCGGGAATGTCTTTCTGCTCTCTTCTGATGGGAACAGTAATTTGTGTGACATATTCTTTCCCCCCAAATGTCTCTGTGTGTAGCTCAGAGTCATTTGATATTTCAGAACACAGGGAAATCTAAGCTCATCCCAAAGTATCACAGATTTGTAGGTAATGCATGTCTTTTGTTTTTTTCCTGGCCGGCTGGCAGGAAGATTTTCCCCTCTCTATGTGGAAGAAGCGACTGAAGGCCTCCTGCCTGCCCCCGGCACCAGATTCCCCAAGGCCTGCACCAGCCCCTTCTGACTTCTGGTTGCACTTCTGGTCATTTGTGATTCTCCACATTAAATCACCTGGATTTGCCCTGTGTGGTCTCCCTGTCTCCTGATTGGACCCAGACTGAAACAACTTCTTCGTGACTTTTTGCTCATATTTTTAAATTGTGGTTAAATGTACGTAACATGAAATTTACCATTTTCACCCTTTTTGAGGGTACAATTCTGTGGCACTGGGTATATTCACAATGCGACACAACCATCCCCACCATCCGTCTACAGAGCTCTTTTCATCCCACACCCCTGGCACCCACCATCCCACTGTCTGTCTCTAGGAATTTGTATATTCTAGGGACCTCATATAAATGGAATTGCACAGTATTTGTCCTTTTGTGTCTTATTTCACTAGGTATAATGTCTGCAAGGTTCACCCGTGTTGTAGCACGTGTCAGACCTTCCGTCCTGTTTAGGTTGGATAATATTTCATTGTTTATGTATACCACATTTTGTTTATCCGCTTACCCTTCGATGCGTGCGCTGTTTCCACCTCTTGGCTATTGTCAATAGTGCTGCTATGAACATGGGAGGGCAAATATCTGTCTGAATCCCTGCTTTTAATTTCTTTAAGTATGTACCAAAGGAACATACCTAGAAGTAGAATTGCTCGTTCCTGTGGTGGTTCTCGGTTTAATTTTTTAAGGAACTCTCATCATGTTTTCCACAGCACCTGCATCATTTAGCACTCCCACCAACCCACGCTCAGGTTCTAAATGTGTCCATGTCCTCACCAACACTTATTACATTCTGTTTTTTGATAGTAGCCATCCTAACGGTGAGAACTGGTAACTCACTGTAGTTTTGATTGTCATTTCCCTAATGGCTAATGATAGAGAACTGGTAACTCACTGTAGTTTTGATTGTCATTTTGCTAATGGCTAATGATAGAGCACTGGTAACTCACTGTAGTTTTGATTGTCATTTTCCTAATGGCTAATGATAGAGCACTGGTAACTCACTGTAGTTTTGATTGTCATTTCCCTAATGGCTAATGATAGAGAACTGGTAACTCACTGTAGTTTTGATTGTCATTTTCCTAATGGCTAATGATAGAGAACTGGTAACTCACTGTAGTTTTGATTGTCATTTTCCTAATGGCTAATGATAGAGAACTGGTAACTCACTGTAGTTTTGATTGTCATTTTCCTAATGGCTAATGATAGAGCACTGGTAACTCACTGTAGTTTTGATTGTCATTTCGCTAATGGCTAATGATAGAGCACTGGTAACTCACTGTAGTTTTGATTGTCATTTCGCTAATGGCTAATGATAGAGAACTGGTAACTCACTGTAGTTTTGATTGTCATTTCTCTAATGGCTAATGATAGAGAACTGGTAAGTCACTGTAGTTTTGATTGTCATTTCCCTAATGGCTAATGATAAAGAACTGGTAACTCACTGTAGTTTTGATTGTCATTTCCCTAATGGCTAATGATAGAGAACTGGTAACTCACTGTAGTTTTGATTGCATTTCCCTAATGGCTAATGATATAAAGATTTTTTCCATGGCTTCTTGGTCACCTGTTCATCATCTTTGGAGATACGGCTATTCAAGTCCTTTGCCAGTTTTTGAATTGGGTTGTTTGTTTTGTTGTTGAGTTATAGTTCTCTACATATTCTGGATGTTAATCCCTTATCAGGTACATGATTTGCAAATATTTTCTCCCATTCTGTGGTTTACCTTTTCACTCTCTTGATAGTGTCCTTTGAGGCACAAAAGTTTTAAAATTTGAGTAAGTTGTATTTATTTTTGCCTGTGTTTATGGTGTCATATCTGAGAAATCATTGACAAATCCAAAGATTTCTCCCTATGTTTTAAGGGTTTTATAGTTTCCCCTCTTACATTTAGGTCTTTTGTCCATTTTTACTTAGTTTTCGTATGTGATTTAAGATCAAAGCTCCAACTTTATTCTCCGCCTATGGATATCCAGTTTTCTCAGCACCTTCTGTTGAAAAGACTGTCCTTTCTTTCCCCATTGAGTGGTCTAGACACCCTTGTCGGTCACTTGTATATCATGGCGAAAATCATTTGACCATATATGCAAGGGTTTACTCCTGTACTCTCTATTCTATTCCATTGGTTTGTCTAAATGTCTGTCTCTATGCCATTACCACACTGTTTTGATTAGATCATCTTGTAGTAAGTTTTGAAATTAGAAAGTGTGACTCCTCCAATTTTGTTATTCTTTTTCAATATTATTTTGACTATCTGAGGTCCCATGAGATTCCATATGAATTTTAGGAGGGGCTTTTCTATTTCTACAAAACATGTTGAGATTTTGATAAGGATTGCATTGACCCTGTAGATCATTTTGGGTGGTACTGTCATCATAACACTATGAAGTCTTTCAATCCATGAACATGGGCAGTCTTTTCACTTATTTATGTCTTCTTTAATTTATTTCAGCAATGTTTTGTTGTTTTCAAAGTACAAGTCTTTCACTTCCTTGGTTACGTTTATTCCTAAGTATTTTATTCTTTCTTACACTGTTGAAAATGGAATTGCTTTCTTAATTTCATTTGTGGATTGTTCATTGTTAGTTTATAGGAATTGTCATGATTTTTTAAAGCTCTAAAAATGTAATCATAATATTCATACAGAAAAGTGCTTAATGTATGAATGTACCACTCAATTATCACCAAATGAAATCCATGTAACCCCCTCCGACTCAATAAATAGATGATTACCATCTGATGCCACCTCCTGGCACCTCTGTGCTCCCCAAAGGTAACTACTTTTGTACTTTCTAACTCCATGAGTTTGTTCAGCCTGTTTTCACACTTAATATAGAGGAACCCTGCGTGAGTAACTTTTTGTGTCTGAACACTTTTGCTCAATCAACATTGTGTCTAGGAAGCACATTCATTTTGTCATGTGTAGCAGTAAATTGCCCATTCTCATTTGTAGAATGTTTCATTGTGTGGATATACCACAAATAAGTTTTCCCCGTGCTGTTAGTAGGCATTTGGGTATTTTCTCATTTGATGCTATTCCAGGTAGCAGAGCTGGGAGCATTCTTGCACGTGTCTTTTTGTGAATGATGTGTATGTTTCTGTTTCGAGGTGCCCCTAGGAGTAGGGTTGCTGAGTCAAAGGGAGTTCTTGTGCTTGGCTTTTGTAGATGCTGCCAGAGAGTTTCCTAACGTGCTTGCACCAACGTACATGACACCAGCAGGGATGGGAGTTCTGATTGCTCCTTAGTAGTGGCTGGAGCTGGCTCACAGGGGCTTGCAAGAGCCAACCATGCCAATCTCTTCCAACTCCACACGAGCAACAAGACTGGTAACTGGAAATCAACCACAGCAGGAGTATTTGCACCATGGAAATCAGCCCGCGCTGCAGATCAGGTGAGTGCTTGTTAGGCGCTTACCAGCACATTCCTGCTCCACTTCTTTGCCAACCCTTGAGGCTTTCAGTCTTCTTCATTCTGGCCACCCTGGTAGATGCGTGGCGGCATCTCATTTTGGTTTTATTTTGCCACCCCTGCTTCCTAATGACGTTGAGCACCTTTTTGCATGCTGCTTGGTCCCTAGGTGCCGTGTTTTGTGAAGTGCCTGTTTGAGTCTTTTGCTAGTTTTTGACATTGCGTTGACTTTTTCTTATACGTCTGTAGCAGTTTTTTATGTTGTGATTATACAAGCCCTTGGATGATGGCCTGTGGTGATTTTGATGAGCAAAAGCTCTGCTTTTCTAAATTTTTTATAGTTGGCACTTCATGTGTACTATTTAACATCCCCCATCCCGAAGCCATGAAGATTTTTTTTTTCTGCAGGGTCAAATTTTGCTGCATCCATATGGGTAGCAGCTAACCCAGAATATCTATTGATTATATCCTCCTAAAATATAACAGTTCTGAGTATTTTGTTACTAATTTCACACAAAGAATCCATCCAATCTCAGCATTTTCCTCCTTTCCTGGGGGTAAGAGTACATCATCTTTTAGCATTGTTAAATCATTTCAGACGTCTAGGTAAGTTGCAAAAATAGTGCAAAGAATTCTCACACATCCTTCACCGGATTCCGCAAATGCTGGCCTTCAGCACCCTTGCTGTCTCCTACGCTCCCCCTCCTCCTCTATCTACATCGTTTTTTATCATTTATAAGTAGGCTGCAGACATGATGTCCCTCTAAGTGCAATGCACACTTCCTAAAAGCAAGGACATTCTCTTATGTAACTGTAGTACAAACATCAAAATAAGGAAATTAACGTTAATAAAATATGATCTAAGCTACAACATTCAAATGTTGTCACCTGTTCTACTGTGTCCCTTTTTTTAATCATCCAGCCCAAAATGTCGTCCTGTGCTCTTTACATACGTGAGTCTATCCACACACGCACACGCGTCCCAGCTCTGACCACTGACGGGCTGGAAGCAATAACACCCTGATGACAGTCGGCACATGGGCCACTCAGATACCAGATCCTAAATACCTCCCAAGTCGTATTTAGAGAAACAGCCGAGCCCAGGGCTGGGGCAGAGAATCAGAGTAAAACCAGCACTGAGGGTGAGAATCCCACAGTGACCCTCCCTGGCAGTAAGCCGGGCCAGCTCATGGTTGAGTCCAAATCTTAGCTTTTCTTTTTGAGACAGGGTCTTACTCTGTCACCCAGGCTGCAGTGTAGTGATGTGATCGCAGCTCACTGCAGCCTCCAACTCCCGGGCTCGAGTGATTCTCCCACCTCAGCCTCCCGAGTAGTTGAGTAGCGTGCACCACCACGCCCAGCTCATTTTTGTATTTTTTGTAGAGGTGAAGTTTTGCTATGTTGCCCAGGCTTATCTCGAACTCCTGGGCTCAAGTGATCCTCCCACCTCAGCCTCCCACAGTGCTGAGATTATAGGTGTGAGCCACCACGCCCTGCCAGCTTAGCTTTTTTTAACTCAAATTTTAAGTTTTTAATTTTGAAATATTTGATGTTTACAAAAGATTGTAAATTGCAATAAAAAGTTTGAAAGCACTTGAGCCCAATAGTTTGAGGCTGCAGTGAGCTATGATCGCACCACTGCACTGCAGCCTGGGTGACAGAGTGAGATCCCGCCTCAAAAAAAAAAAAGCGAGAAAGGCCCTGCTCAGGTGTAGGTTCCTGGGTCCTCTGGGTTCACGCTGCCCACTTCCCACACTCAACCAAATTGTCCCAAGTCGCTGGTCTGGCTCATCCCCTGGTGCTGGGGCTGGGGCTCTGGGGCCACACGCATGCACACACACTGCCGCCAGCTTCCGTGTTGTTCGTTGCTGCTTGGTGGGTGCAGCGATCCCCCCTGACCCTGGTGCCAGCCAGGGAGAGCCTCTTCCCTCACACCCACTGACACTCACCGCGCAAAGTGCCTGTGTGTGCCTGTGTGCGCCTGTGTGTGCCTTTGCTGGTTTTCATACTGAGTTGTCTGTCTTGATCTGATTAATTCTAGGAACGCTTTTTTTTTGTTCGTTTGTTTTTTGAGACGGAGTTTTGCTCTGTCGCCCAGGCTGGAGTGCAGTGGGGTGATCTCAGCTCACCGCGACCTCCACCTCCCGACCTCAAGCGATTCTCCTGCCTCAGGCTCCCAAGTAGCTGGGATTACAGGTGCCCGCCACCAAACCCAGCTAATTTTTATATTTTTAGTAGAGACAGGGTTTCACCATCTTGGCCAGGCTGGTCTCCAACTCCTGACCTCAAGTGATCCATCCACCTCAGCCTCCCAAAGTGCTGGGATTACAGGCGTGAGCCACCGCGCCTGGCTGATTCTAGGAATTCTTTCTGGATACTAGTACTTTGCTTCTGTGCACAGAAAATATCCTCTCAGGCGTGTGGAGGTCCCCTCTCTTGTGTCATTTTGGAGGTCCCCTCTCTTGGTGTGTCATTTTGGAGGTCCCCTCTGTTGGTGTGTCATTTTGGAGGTCCCCTCTGTTGGTGTGTCATTTTGGAGGTCCCCTCTCTTGGGGTGTCATTTTGGAGGTCCCCTCTCTTGGTGTGTCATTTTGGAGGTCCCCTCTCTTGGTGTGTCATTTTGGAGGTCCCCTCTCTTGGGGTGTCATTTTGGAGGTCCCCTCTCTTGGGGTATCATTTGACAAAGAGAAGTTCTGGGGTTTGACACAGCTTCTCTTCAGGGCCCTCCCTTGGTCAGTGCTTACTAAGGTCACAGAGATGAGTGCCCGTATTTTCTCCTGTAATCTGCCTGAAGATGCCTCGTGTGGACAGCAGGGAGCTCTGGTCTATGGCACGTAGCATGGAGTTGGCAGCAAGTAGCAGAAAACCCCTATTGACAGCTGCTTAGGTGAGGTCGGGTTTAAGAAATAAATCAGAAGGCTGTATTTAAGAAATAATTGTATTTCTCCCTGGTGTTAAAACCAACAGACGCAGCTGCTGTGTGTCAGGGACAGCTCTGAGGAGACCTGGACACACCTCCCTCCCTGCCCACAGGCAGGACATCGGCTCCCACAGGGAGGCTGGAGGCTGGAGGCGAGGCCCCCAAGGATAGGCTCGGCCTGGGTGAAAGTCCATTTTCTCTGGAATGAGTGGGGACTGGGTGTTAGGAGTCACCTGTCCTTGTGGGGACACACTTCTCCCAGCAGGAAGGGGACAGTCGGTCATTTCCCCGCCCTGGGCAGCAGGAGGAGGCTGCACCTACCGGGGCCCAGGCCTAGAGCATCAGGGACCCCCCGCTCTGTCCCCCATCAGCAGCAGAGGCCCTGCCTGCGTCCCTGTCCTGGCAGCTGTGTGTGTGTCTGGGCCAGACGCCCCTCGGCCCTGCTCCACTCTGCTGACTCTCCTCACCGAGATGCAGGGATCAGAGGGTGACCGGAGAAAGGGAGGCAGACGGAGGGGCCTGGGGTGGGCAATGTCTCCCAAGAGGGAGGACAGATTTGCCTTCAGACACAGAAGCAGCAGCAGAGTCTCTGCTGGTGGGGGCAGCTGAAGGCCGGGCAGGGTGTGGGCTATGAGGGAGGAGCAGGGCCGAGGGCTGGTGGGCCAGGAGGACAGGGTTGCCCCCCAGCAGGTTGGCGCAGGCCATACCTCTCTGAATCTGGCCTTCGTGTGAGCTTAGCGGTGGGGGTCCAGGCACCCAGGCAGCCAGCTGGGCACAGGGGAGGCCTGTGTGGGCTCTAAGGAAGCCACTTGTCCCGGTGACCCCAGGGCTCAGGCCTTCCACCTGTCCTGCCTTCCCCACCAGCATCTGTAGGTAGGGGCGCCCAACCCTGTCCGCCAGCCCTGACTCCAGCCGGCAGCCTGGCTCCGCACCTGCATCGAATCTGCAGGGGTCCTGGACGCCCCCCCACCCACCCAGGTCCAGCCTGCCAGGAAATCCAGGCAGAACCTGCCGTGGGGGGACCCCTTCCCAGGCACCGGCCGTGGACCCCCATCTCTGTTGGGTCCGGAGCCTCCTGCCCACCCCGATGTGTCCCCAGCAGCCTCCAGGGACCCCCATTAGCAATTCACAGCCTCAAAACACCAGCCCCAGGGAATGGCTGGGCCAAAACGGGGTGAGTGAGACAGAGGACGCGCTCAGAGGACAGTCAGTGGGACTCGGGGACAGCTGACACGGCCACGGCGACCCAGGAATCACACCTCACAGACACGCACCCACGAGTGAAACCGGAGCCACGTGCCCACACAGACGCAGGGGGTGGTAAACTGTCCCCCGCTGCTAAACACCCCCTAGTCACCAAGGGGTCCTGCCTCTCGGCAAAGCCGGTCAGAAAGACCCACGCCAAGGGGCGGACCCCAGCGGGAAGTCTGGGTGGTGGGGTCCTGCCCCTAACTCCGTGAGAGACGAGCCCTGAGCCCTGGGTGGTCCATAGTGAGCCACAGTGGCCAAGGGGCTTGGGTCTGTGGGCGCCACGGGGAGCCTGCCAGGAACATCAGTTCACGGGGGTCTCTTTCGAGTGCCCGTCGGCGGCTGAGCGTGGCAAGCTAAATCCACCTGGACGCGAACACAGTGCGCGGCCTCCTCATCCTGGGGGTTTTCTGGGCCTGGGTGGGGCAGGCAGGGAGGGTCTCGGGCGCATCTCACATCACAGGGGCTGGTGGCTCAGAGGCCTCGGGACAGCTGCTCTGCCCGGGGGCTCTGGGTACTCAGAGGCCAGTCAGCTGCCCACGCCTCAGGCCGCGTTCCAGCCCGAAGCCCCTCATCTTCCCACTCAAATGTGTGCTCTTAATTGCAATCAATGCTCAGAAAAGCAATTAGCCCCCGACTGGCCACGCTGGTCATCTCTGATGGCAAGAAGGACTGCAGAGGGTCACGCCGATGCGGTGAAGGGGCCGGCAGGGGGCTGTGGGGACAGAGATCCATCAGCCTTCCCACAATTAACGCCGAATCGCCACCCTCACCTCCTAAATTACACCGGCGGCCGCAGCCAGCCCGGACCAGCGTAAATCACGTTCTGACTGCCGCGCGTCAGGGCAGAGGCTCTCCCGCTGAGAGCAGTGTTACTGTCTCCTAAATCCCAAAGCCATGATTGATGCCACCTGCTCCACACGTGCTGAGGCCACCATCTGCTTACAGGGAAACATAAACTTTGAATAAGCAGGTCCTGCTGATTTTAACTGGACTAATTTATTGCTCACAAGCGGAGGACCTGAGTTCGCAGCAAATTTCTCCAGCCACCCGGGAGCCCGCAGCCCGGCCCTCGCGTCTGCGATGGGAGCTCGATAAGGTCACCGTCAACAGCATCCACACGGCGCCACGCCAGCCGCCAGCCCCCAAAAGCACCAGGGAAAAGAGCCCCGGAGAAGCACCTCCCGTGGGGGGATTTATTTCTGAATTAAACACTCCCAGCCCCAACGGAAGCCTATTCTTTTTCACAATCAGCTTTCTTCCCAGTTGTAAACACTCTTTCTAAAACTTGTGCATGATTTTAATTACAGATAAGTTTCTCTTTAAAGGCCGGGCATTCATGCCTGGGTTGCTAAGCTGAATTCGATACATCTCTACGTCCGGTGAGGCACAGGCCAGGCTTGGGCCGTGCTCCTGGCTGGGCCCAGGCAGCTCCTGGGTTGGGGCACTCCTTGCCACAGAGGCACTGGAGGGCCCCACCAGCTCCTTCCACCCTGTTGCCCCGGGACGTTGGGGACCCAGGAAAAGTCCTCTGTCCAGCTTCATGCCCCACGAGGACATAGCCCAAGACAGCAAGCCGAGCAGTGTGCGGCTGAGACCCACCAGGACGCACCCCTCAGCCCACACCGACCAGAGTGCACCCCTGTGGCCATGGCAGTCCTGGGTGGGAGTGTGTCTGCGGAGTGTGTCTGTGCTTCTGCAGGAGGGGAGGCTGTGGGTGGCTGGTGCACAACAAGGGCAAACAGGAGCCAAAGCCACTGGAGCTCGTCCTAGAGCCAGCTCTGGGCTCTCTCCTCCAAGAAGCCTCCCCTGACCTGCCTTTCCCCAGCCCTTCCTGGGTGTCACCGCTGCCTGTGGCTGCTGGGCCTACGCCCTCCCCCCGCCCATACCAAGAGCTTCTGGAAGCTGGGAGAGCCTCTCACATCATCCAGGTCCCCAGTCCCAGCACATAGCTCTGCAAAGCCACTCCCCTCACCCCCCAACAATTGAGAAAAGGCCCAGGACAGCCACACTGTTTCCCCTGGTTGGGGGTCCTCGGAACCACAGCCAAAGACAGACTATTCTCCTTGCACTGTTCAGCACCCATGACACCACTGAGTCGAGAACCCCAGGGTACTGGGAGGGCCCCTAGAACCTCCTCCAGGGAGCACCAGCACCTGCCTCGCTGGACTGAAAGGAGGAGACCCGGGTTTCACCCACCTTCCCAGGCCGGAACACACTCACCTTTTCTGGAAATGCAAGAGACACACTCAACCAGTGTGACACAAGAGGCGTGAGCTGGAGACAAGGGACACAGCCGTCTGCCACACCAGACGGGGAAGGGAAGCTCCCCCTTGGGCCCATCCCCACAGTACTGGACAGGTGGAGCTCAGGCAGTGTGTGTGCGTGCACGTGTGTGTGTGCGTGTGTGTGCGTGCATGTGCCGGCGTGTGTGTGTGCGTGTGTGTGTGCGTGTGTGCGCACACACCATGTGAACATGCAAGTGGGTCATGCGTGTGACTGTGTGCATGTGTGTCTGAGCGCATGGTCAGGTGCATGTGTGTCCGTGTACATGTGTGCACGTGTGTGTGCTGGTGTGTGTGTGCACTTGTGCGTGTGCGTGTGTGTGCGTGCGTGTGCACGTGTGCGTGTACGTGTGTGCGCGTGTGTGTGTGTGCATGTGCCGGCGTGTGTGTGTGTGTGTGTGTGTGCTCAGAGAAGTCACCTGGAGCCGAGGAGATCCCAGGAGGCTGAGGCTGCCCCACAGGCACGGTAGGCTTTGCCGTGGGTGTTCAGCTTCCTGGGTTTGAAGGAATGTCCTTCTATCCATAGAAAAAGAAGGAAAACAAAAGCTGGGCTACAAATTCTTTCTTTTTTTTTTTTAATTATTATACTTTAAGTTTTAGGGTACATGTGCACAATGTGCAGGTTAGTTACATATGTATACATGTGCCATGCTGGTGCGCTGCACCCACTAACTTGTCATCTAGCATTAGGTGTATCTCCCAGTTCTCAAACGGAGGCCCCAGGCCAGGCCAAGCCTCGTCTCCGGAGGTATCTGCAGCCTCTAGCGTCCATGTGATTTTTCAGTGGTTAATGAAACTGCCAAGGCCCGGCTATGTTGCACGACTTCGCCATCATAACTTTAAATCCCATTATGATCACCTCATTTTACAACATGCTTTGGCCCTGGGATCAATATATCAAGAGGGCCCAGCGCCGGTTACGATCCAGACAAGATTCTGAAGTGGGGCTGCTGCCAGCAGGGCCCGGCCTCTCCTGCCCCTCGGGTCACGCCTGCCCAGAGCGGGGGCTCCCCAGGGCGCAGCAGAATCCGGGAAAGGGGCAAAAGAGGGGAAGCCATGAGGGAGGTAGTGAGGGGCAGGAGAGCCCGGCAGCCTCCACCCCGCGCCCCCATGGCTCCCCCAGAGTGTTACAGCAAGCAGGCGCCCGAGAGCCCGGTGCAGCTCCAAGTTGCTCGAATGGGGACCAGCGCAGACCTCGGCTCCAGGGTGGCCCCGGCACTCCGTCCTCTTACTTGACAGGACCCCCAGCCTCCTGCACACTCCCGGGGTGAGGCAGCCCCACATGGGTGCTGGGCTGCAGGGACCCAGGTCTTGCCTTTGCAGATGGGAGACGCGGCCAGCACACAGGCAGGTGCTATGGGGTGGCAGCGGGCGGGGGGGGCGGTGGTGACGGCATCCCTCGCTCTCACTAAGGCCCTTTCCATGGGGTCGTGTCCCAGAACCCCCTAGGGGCGCACAGCAGAGCCAAATGGAGAAGCAAAGACACAGATTAGCTTTCGCTGAAACAGGATGACAATGGCATTTTCTCCCGTTTCTGAAGCTGGACCTCATCAGTGGGCAGAGATACCTGCAGTCAAGGCCTCTGGGGCAGACACCCCGGTGCCTCCCGACCCCTACATCCCACAGGTGGCTGCCACAGCCGGGCAGCCCACCCCACCCAGCCAGAGGAACCGCGGGGACCCAGGGGCCTGCCTGGAAAATCAATCAGCATGTTGGCCCCGCCAATTTCCAGGAGCATGAAACCATTTTTTGCCCAGCAGGGTGCTAATGTCCAATGCGGCCGAAAGCAGAAAGAGGCCACATCAAGACCGGCAGGGATCCTCACACTCCCCAAACAGCCCAGGACCCCAGACCCATCCCTGCAGCCTTCCTGTTACATCTTGCTTGGGAGGGCGGCAACGAAAGGCACAAGGCACATGCGCGGACACACACAGGCTCACAGCGATGCCTCGCACCCACGCTCACGCACACGCCGCACATACACACACACAGGCCCATGGCGACGCCTCGCACCCACGCTCACGCACACGCCACACACACACACACAGGCCCACGGCTCCCTCACACCCACGCTCATGCACACGCCACGTACACGCAGGCCCACGGCTCCCTCGCACCCACGCTGAGAGGCTGCTGTGGTTAGGGTTCGGTCGGAGGGGTCCAAGCCCATTGATGCCCCCACTCCACACCCAGGTCCTACATCCAGCCCGGGTCCCCAGTATCTGTTTGGCTCCCCGTCCGCTCCTGAGGCTCACGTGGGGTCTGCAGTCTTTTGTGAGGCCCAGACCAGCCCAACCCAGCATAGCAAGGACCTGAGCCTTCCCTTCACAGATGGGGCGGTGGAGGGCCAGGGTCACAGCAGGGTGGGGCTGCCTCCTGGGCCACACTGGGCTGAGACACTGGGTGCAGACCCCTGGGTAGGGGGTCGGCAGTCTCTGACGGGACAGTGGGACCCTTTGAGCCAAGGGCGGCGGCGCCAGGGCCCACCCACTGCCTTGTGCCACAGGGAAGCAGCATCTAGAACCAGGGGCCCCAGGTAGCATCAGGCCCGCTGTGTGCCTATGGCTGGTGAGGAGGAGCCACTGGTCCTCAGAGGCAGTGAAGGGGCAGGAGGCAAGCTTTGTGCTGGGACATGCAAGTCCAGCAGCTGGGAGAGTCCAGGTGTGGCAGGGGCAGCCCCGGAGCAGACAGGAGAGGCCTGGGCAGAGGAACGGCTGTCCTGCTGCTGGGGGCAGGTCCATGCTGGGGCAGGGGAAAGGCCAGGGCACCTTGAGACTCAGAGAGCCTCTTGGGGTTGCTGAGCCCCCTCCAGCCCAGCGTGCCTTGGGGGGTGCCTGATCCCTCAGCCATGCCCCTGACCCCCACCCCTGGCAGTCCTCCTGGGTCCTGGGAGGTGCTCATTGGTGCTATACCTGTGACCTGGGACTGGTTGGATGACAAGGTCGAGTGGGAAGGGCTGGGGATGGGGCTGGGTCCACCCCTGTAGCCCTTGGCCCCTGGCCTCCGCTCTGAGGTTGGAGTGGATCCAAGAGTCGTCTGACCCAGAAGCCCCAGAAACACCCAGCCTCCCCTCCCCCCAGCCTCACCAGTGCCGGGAAAGGAGGGGCTGCTGACCGGGACCCACGGACACGCGGAAGTGCTAACAGGTGCCCGGGCTAGAGGGAGGGTTCCAGCAGTGGGAGGGCAGTGGTGGGAGGGGAGAGGTGGGAGGGGAGGGGTGGGAGGGCAGAGGTGGGGGGAGGGGTGGGAGGGCAGGGGTGGGAGGGCAGAGGTGAGGGGAGGAGTGGGAGGGTAGAGGTGGGAGGGCAGGGGTCGGGGGGCAGAGGTGGGAGGGCAGGGGTGGGAGGAGAGGGGTGGGAGGGCAGAGGTGGGAGGGTGCAGGAACATCCCCCTTGCATTCCGGGACCAAACCGAGGGTCAGGCTGCTATTTCTCGTGGCCCAATAACGAGATGCAGATGAACTGGGGAGGAAGAGAGGTTTTATTTCTGCAACTGGTTACAAGGAGAAGGCTGGGAAATTATCACCAGACCAACTCAAAATTACAGTTTTCCAGAGCTTATCTACCTTCTAAGCTCTATGTCTACGTGTAAGTGTGCATTCATCTCAAGACGTAAGTGATGAACTTCTCTTCATCTATAACGAAGGTCTGAGTCCTGAAGACCTTCCTCTGGAGCCTCAGCAAGTTTAAGTTTACTTAATCTAAATGGGTCCAGGTGCTGAGGTGATTGCCCTTATCTTGTCTCCTGCTAAATCACGGAGGTTTGGGGAGTTCCTTCAGACCCACAGTAAAACTTATTTAATCCTAAATGGGTCCTGTGAAGAATTCCTTCATCGTCTTGTCGCTTTAAGGCCCAGGCAAAACTCTGGGCCTGGGCAAGAGTTTTGGGCCAGGCAAAACAAAAGGCCTGGGCAAAACTCTGGGTGGGCTTTTGTTACACTCCAGCGTTTGTATCAGGGCACTGGCTTTTAATATTTAACTTCACTGCACAGTCAGTGCTGAAACAGGTGTTGTGGAGGCCTGCGTTAGTGAGACCTGGCCTGCCGCACTTGGAGTCCTAGCGTAGCTCCCAAAGTCAGGGAGGGACGGGACCCACAGACATGTGGCCGCAGGGAGAGGCCCCATGGGGCGTGAGGCCTGGTGACCCCACACGGCCCGGGGACCAGGACAGCTGCAGCCTGACCTGGAGAGGTGCCAGTCCCAGGAGGCCCCGGCACTGGGTGGGAGCACAGCCCCAGGCCCCACCTTGGCTCCCAGGGGCCTGGAGCCCCCCCAGCTGCCGTCTTCAGTGATTTGGAAGTGTAGAAAATGGGATTATCCAGGAACAGATGTGCACAGAGTGGGTGAAATGGAAAGCCTGCCCGCTGCGCCTGCCTTTGATTACCTCTGACGGCCACGCTGTCCACGCCCCCCCAGCACCCAGCTAAATTCAGCCCCAGCCCCGCCAGCCAGCGCCTCATTGAAATTGAATTGATACTTTGTGAACTTCATTTGTGAATAATGTGATCTGACAGGGACAAATGTGACGGGGAATTGTTTTCAAACCTCCTCCAAATGGAACTTATTATTGGGTAAATACAGATTCCTTTGTCTCCTTCCACCCTGGCGTCCTCGGGCCTGAATATGTATCAACCCCGGAGGTAACTGAATTGATGATGCAGAGGGTGGGGGCCAGGGTGGGGACCCTCCCCAGACTGCAGGTCCTCAGCGGGCGGCAGCCGTGGTGGCCCTAGGAGGCCACCCTGCCCGAGCACCCGCTTGGCCCTGCGGCCGCCGTCAGGCCTCAGATGTCTTACATATTAATTTCCCGCTGCAGAACATTTGCCGAGCGCAGCTCAAACCCAGTTAGCTGGATTGATGAAGGTGGCAAAAGGATACGACACACGCTGATTCCACCTTTTCAGCTTCGATTAGCTCCGGCCGGGAGTCTGTCCCCGTCAGAGCTCCATCACGCGGCCGGCGGAGAACTGGGGAGGGACCGGCCGCAACAGTGCCCAGGAAGGCTTCAGTGCCAGGCCATTATCCTAACAGGCCGCCCCCCAGAGAGCCAGGTGGGGCCCGGGGCATGGCAGAGGCAGCCCGAGAGCCTCAGACGCCCATCTGCGATGGACAAGCATTTGCCCCCCGTGGTGGCCCGGCTGCAGCCCCTTCCTGTTCCTGCCTTCCGTGTCCACAGGCCTGGGGAAGCCAGGCCCCGGCGTGCCCTGTGGACACGTCCCACAAGACCCCAGGGACTCCCTCTCCCTGCCAGGACACGTCCTTGGCTCAGGCTTAGGCTCGGGTGGGCCGGGGGTCCCGGCTCCCCAACTTTCTGCCGTGCAACATTGACATTGGGGTCATAAAAAGCACCTGTGTCTGCCCCGCGTGGCTGCAAGTGTCCCCTCGTTTAAGCGCCCAGACGACAGCATGAGGAAGGACAATGACCTGCCCTTTACAGACGAGGAAACTCGGTCCTGTGTGGGCGGGGGCCGCAGGCTGGTGGAGAGGACACACACGGCACCCTGCCTTCTCCTCATCAGCATCTCCGCGAGTGCAGCAGCCGAGGACAGAGAAGGACTCGGAAACCTCTGCCCTCAGCCGCACACCCCGGAGTGAAGGTCCCTGGAGCAAGTGAGGAGGAGAAAGCGGATGTGACTCAGGAAGACACTGCCGGGCCCCGGCCCCACCCCGGGCCCTGGAAGCCCCGTCTGTTCCGACAGCCCTGAAAAGACCACTGATTTCAGGCCCTTCCTGACGGGTTCTGGTGAGGACGGCGGCTCTAAGTCGGCCTCGTGGAGTCAGCATCTGTGTTCTCAGAAATGCTGCAGGTCCATCCCCAGGGACACTGGAGGTCTCTAGGCTTGTGCTTCGGAGGCCAGGGACTCCCGACTCAGCTCGTGGCTCAGGGACTCTGATTGTGCTGTTCCAGCTCACATCCCACACGTCTCCCTCAGCCCCCAGGAGGAGAGAGCAGCAGACAGAGCAGGGGCCACACCAGGCACCACCGCCTTCCACCTGCTCCGGACCCCAAGTGGGTACAGGCACAGGCAGAGTCAAGGAGGCAGCCCAGGCCTGCCCAGCTCGGGGCCCTTTTCCCTGGTGAGATGCCCTGAGACCAGGACACACCCCAGGCTGCCCGCCTTGGCCCACACCTCCGGCAAATCCACGGGCTCCATACGAGGTTCTGTAGCCTCCGGCCCATGCCTCCCTGCAAATCTGCAGGCCCCAGACAAGGTTCTGCAGCCTCCAGAGGACCCTGGAGGATCCCTCCCTCCATCACCTCACTTCCTCCTGGCCCCACTGACGTGGTCACTGTACCTTTTTATTTTAGTTTTTACTGGAAGCAAAATTCACATAACCTAAAATTAGCCATCTTACACGGCACATGTCTGTGTACTCGGATGTTTGCAATGGCACCCACCCAACTCCAGCGGTGCCATCCCAGGTTCTCATCCTCACCGCAGTCAGAAACCGCCGCCTTCAGGAGCCCCGCCCCACTCTCCTCCCCAACTGCCTCCCCCACCTCCCCCTGCCTTCAGGGGCCACGCCCCCACCTCCTCCCAGCCCGACACCCCCCATTCTGCTTTCTGTCTGGGAATCTGTCGTTCTGGACAAGTCATTTGGCCTTATTTCAGGGCTGAGCACAGGGTCCCCAGGTTTGTCTACACAGTGGCGTCAGCACATCCTTCCTTTTTAAGGGTTTTCCCTTATGAGTGCGGAATATTCACACTGCATTTTCCCTGTTGTGGACATTCCGCATTCTTCCCGGCGTGGATGCTCCGCACCCTCCCCCGGCGTGGACGCTCCCCATTTTTCCTGGTGTGGACACTCCGCATTCTTCCCGGCATGGACACTCTGCACCCTCCCCTGGCGTGGACACTGCGCATCCTCCCCAGTGTGGACACTCCCCATTTTTCCTGGTGTGGACGCTCCGCCTTCTTACTCATTCCTCTGGGCAGGGGTGCTGTTCGCCTCCCCTGCCTGGACGTTGTGAGTGGGCTGCATGAACAGGCAGTCGGGCACCATCTTCCTTTCTTCTCAGGGCCCTTTGGGAACCGTGCAGACACCCCGGCTATGGCTGAGTGGGGCTGCCTGGTGGCAGGAGCCCCGGGACCAGCTCCGTCCAGCCACACTCCCCCCAGAGTCCCACCGTGAGTCATCTCGAGGGCCCGCCAGGGCCAGAACCTCTAACAGGGATGAGAGCCTCGGTGGTGCCCCTGACTGTCCACTACTGGAGCAGCTGGAGGGTCTGATGTGTGGCCCCCAGGGCCCTGGGGTGACCCGAGGAAGCCCCCGCTCCAACCTCCCAAGCAGGAGCGTCACCCCAGCACAGCACGTTCCAAGGCTGTGGGTTTATCTTACAAACACGGGAACCAATGACTTAGGAAATTGCCAAGATAATAAAGATTTTTACGTGGCTTCACGCTCTGTACTCCGATGCAGTGGGGCTTCCACGGGGAACCCAGGGACAGCCAGGCTTCCCAGAGTGGCACCTTCACTCCGCCTCACCGATGCAGGTGGGGCCACCTCTGTGACTCACAGGAGGAGACATCAACAATGGCCACAAAAATGGACCTTTTGTCCCACCCAGCTCTGTGGGGGTTGCGAAATCTATCCTGGGCTCTGAGCAGGCCTGACCCACAAGCCTTCCTGACCGGCCATCACCCTGGGGGTCAGATGGGTGCTGCAGGCCCTGGGGTTCAGCCAGATACCGGGCACAGGCCTGGGGGCCAGTCGGGCTAGGACAAGAGTAGGCCTTGGCCCGGGGGGGTAGGGGGACTCCTGGAGTGCCTTAGGGCTTGATTTGGTTTGCTCTTTTGTCCCTGCAGCTTTAGAGGCGGAGGCAGGAATTCAGGAAAAGACGCTGAGCACGCATCACAGCAGCCCCAACCCAGGGAGCCCCTCAGATGGGGAGCCAGGGTGTGAGCCCCAAGACTCCAAGGATCTCGGAGGTTTCATCGGCTGCCGGGCTCGGGACCCCGAGGCCCAGTGCACAAGCCAGGGAGTGGGCAGGCAGGGCACCCGTGAGCCATGGGGTCGGACCTCCGGGCCTGCTGCTGCCCGCTTGCTGTCCTTACACTGCTGCATCCTGGGATTCCCATCTGAGACGACCGCCCAGTGTCCAGGCCACTAGGAACGATGCTGCGGGCCTGAGGTCACTGATGCAACCCCTTCTCTGGCCCTAAACAGAGTTCAGGGCTCACCGCCCTCATCACAAGCATGAAGAAGTGTGAGGACTCAGGATGGTGGGAGGGGCAGCTGGAGACCTGGGGTCCCAAGGGCCAGCTGCAGATGGTGGCATCCTTCTGGCTCTTTCTGCAGAAAGGAGTCTGATAGGTGCTTGCAGGGGCTGGAGGGACCGGTCTGGGCTGCCCTGACCAGACAGGGGCTGCTCCTGCCACTGCCAAGGGTCGCCTCTGCCAGCCCAAGTCTGCCCCTAGAAACAGAGCGAGTCTCTCCAGAAACTCCTGTGGGCAGGGCACGCAGTGAGACCTCCCAGCCCTGCTTGCCCGCTTGGCCAGGCAGTCACTGACATGTTGAGAAGCAGGTGCCCCGCCCCACTTCCCCCAAGAAGAGCTGAGGCAGGCACTGCTGTGTCTCAAGGGGCAGCAGGAGGAAAAGTCCACAGGCAACCTGGGTCCCTCTGTGGGCCCCACATTCCCACTGAGCAAAGCTGGCGGCACTGTGGCCCCCACCATGGACACCCCGCACCCACCCACTGTCCTTCCTGCTACTGAGGCCAGAACTCGGGGCCTGAGACACCCACAGCCAGGGTGTCCAGCAGCCACCACTGGCACGTTAGAGCTGCCAACAGCATGGATGCCTGGACAGGCGAGGACGAGGGTGTGAGCACAGCACACTGGCGTCAGTATGCCCACCCCAATCAGGAAGGAGCATTCCACCAACTCCCGGCCAGCTCCCTGCAGACTGGCCAGGATAATGAAGGACAAGGGAAGCCTGAGGACCCATCCAGGCTGGGGTCCCACAAAGGTGACCCCTCGACGCAGCCTGGGGTCCCGGAGTAGGACCTCAGTGGGAGCCCCGGCAACTCCCATTCTGTGGATGGCGCTGACCCCAGGCCCATCAGCGGACCCTGCTTCGGTGCAGTGCTGTCCTGCGGGAGGTGAGGGAGCTACGGGAACTCTCCATAGTATATTTAAAAGTTTTTTGTAAAATTTACTCAAAATTAAAGTTTTTTTTAATTTGAAAATGCCATTTGTCCTAGGTCAATGTGTGCAGCTCAGGAAGGTGTTGACATCCCAGCCCCCAGCACCTCAGAATGTGACTTGTTTGGAGACAGAGTCTTTACAGAGAAAATCAGGTTAAGGGGCGGTCAGGAGGCCGGGCCTCACCCCAGCACGAGGCGCCCTTATGGAAAGGGGATCTGGAGACAGGCACGCAGGGAGAGGCCGTGCGAAGATGAAGGCCGAGGTCAGGGCGGTGCTTTCTCAGGCCAAGGATCACCGAGGGCTGCTGGCCGCCACGGGGAGCTGGGGAGAGGATGGGACCGGTCCTGCCTCGCAGCCTCGGAGGAGCCGGCCATGCAACCGGATCCTAGACCTCCAGCCTCCAGAACTGCGAGGTGTATGTTGCTGTGGTGACGGTCTCCAGTCTCTGGTACTTTGCAAACTCACCGTGTCTAGGCAGATCTCGCATGTGCTAGGCCCAGCAGTATGAGAATATGACCTGTTTTCATTTCTGCCTGGAAAGGGGACAGCCTGGGCAGGGTGGTAGGTGCTGGGGGCACTCTCCTGCCTTGTCGCCCCCCGCCCTGGGGCTGCGTGGCCCTGATGACTCCCCCTGCGGATGGTTCTCATGGGTGCCCGCTGCCGCCGTGGGCCCCTGCACAGCTGGTGGCCGTGGCATCGCTGGTACAGCGCTGGCAGCTGACACTGATCCCACTCTCGGCCCACACAGAGCCCATGCTGCTCCGCTCCCAGCGGGAACTGCTTCTTCACTGAAGCACCAAGTCCTAGGAATGGTTCCCTGAGGCCACACCTATAATTTTATTGTTGTGTGAATATTCTGTTTGAACGGGAGATTACAATTTTACTTCCTGTTCAGTAAACATCCCCACCGCAGGCCCTACTGAGGGAGTCATTAGCGGCCGTGTGGGGAGTGGCGATTAACAGTGGGTTCAGTGCAGCAGGACAGCCGGACCCCTGCCCCAGGCTCTCAGCAGGACAGCCGGACCCCTGCCCCAGGCTCTCAGCAGGACAGCCGGACCCCTGCCCCAGGCTCTCAGCAGGACAGCCGGACCCCTGCCCCAGGCTCTCAGCAGGACAGCCGGACCCCTGCCCCAGGCTCTCAGCAGGACAGCCGGACCCCTGCCCCAGGCTCTCAGCAGGACAGCCGGACCCCTGCCCCAGGCTCTCAGCAGGACAGCCGGACCCCTGCCCCAGGCTCTCAGCAGGACAGCCGGACCCCTGCCCCAGGCTCTCAGCAGGACAGCCGGACCCCTGCCCCAGGCTCTCAGCAGGACAGCCGGACCCCTGCCCCAGGTACTCAGCAGGACAGCCGGACCCCTGCCCCAGGCTCTCAGCAGGACAGCCGGACCCCTGCCCCAGGCTCTCAGCAGGACAGCCGGACCCCTGCCCCAGGCTCTCAGCAGGACAGCCGGACCCCTGCCCCAGGCTCTCAGCAGGACAGCCGGACCCCTGCCCCAGGTACTCAGCAGGACAGCCAGACCCGCCCCAGGCTCTCAGCAGGACAGCCGGACCCCTGCCCCAGGCTCTCAGCAGGACAGCCGGACCCCTGCCCCAGGTACTCAGCAGGACAGCCGGACCCCTGCCCCAGGCTCTCAGCAGGACAGCCGGACCCCTGCCCCAGGCTCTCAGCAGGACAGCCGGACCCCTGCCCCAGGCTCTCAGCAGGACAGCCGGACCCCTGCCCCAGGTACTCAGCAGGACAGCCGGACCCCTGCCCCAGGCTCTCAGCAGGACAGCCGGACCCCTGCCCCAGGCTCTCAGCAGGACAGCCGGACCCCTGCCCCAGGCTCTCAGCAGGACAGCCGGACCCCTGCCCCAGGCTCTCAGCAGGACAGCCGGACCCCTGCCCCAGGCTCTCAGCAGGACAGCCGGACCCCTGCCCCAGGCTCTCAGCAGGACAGCCGGACCCCTTGCCCCAGGCTCTCAGCAGGACAGCCGGACCCCTGCCCCAGGTACTCAGCAGGACAGCCGGACCCCTACCCCAGGTACTCAGCAGGACAGCCGGACCCCTTGCCCCAGGCTCTCAGCAGGACAGCCGGACCCCTGCCCCAGGTACTCAGCAGGACAGCCGGACCCCTGCCCCAGGCTCTCAGCAGGACAGCCAGACCCCTGCCCCAGGCTCTCAGCAGGACAGCCGGACCCCTGCCCCAGGCTCTCAGCTGGACAGCCGGACCCCCTGCCCCAGGCTCTCAGCAGGACAGCCGGACCCCTGCCCCAGGTACTCAGCAGGACAGCCGGACCCCTGCCCCAGGCTCTCAGCAGGACAGCCGGACCCCTGCCCCAGGCTCTCAGCAGGACAGCCGGACCCCTGCCCCAGGCTCTCAGCAGGACAGCCGGACCCCTGCCCCAGGTACTCAGCAGGACAGCCGGACCCCTGCCCCAGGCTCTCAGCAGGACAGCCGGACCCCTGCCCCAGGCTCTCAGCAGGACAGCCGGACCCCTGCCCCAGGCTCTCAGCAGGACAGCCGGACCCCTGCCCCAGGCTCTCAGCAGGACAGCCGGACCCCTGCCCCAGGCTCTCAGCAGGACAGCCGGACCCCTGCCCCAGGCTCTCAGCAGGACAGCCGGACCCCTTGCCCCAGGCTCTCAGCAGGACAGCCGGACCCCTGCCCCAGGTACTCAGCAGGACAGCCGGACCCCTACCCCAGGTACTCAGCAGGACAGCCGGACCCCTTGCCCCAGGCTCTCAGCAGGACAGCCGGACCCCTGCCCCAGGTACTCAGCAGGACAGCCGGACCCCTTGCCCCAGGCTCTCAGCAGGACAGCCGGACCCCCTGCCCCAGGCTCTCAGCAGGACAGCCGGACCCCTGCCCCAGGCTCTCAGCTGGACAGCCAGACCCGCCCCAGGCTCTCAGCTGGCGGTCAAGGTCTCCTGCTTTACTGATAAACTTGTCTCCAGGGACCCACACCCCCTGCCCAAGGGCTCTTGATCCTGGGCAGACTTAGAAGCAGTGCAGGGCCTCAGTGTGGGCCCTGAGCCTCGGGCTCTAAAGGGTGAATGGCACGTTCACACCATCGTCTTTCCTGGAAACGACAGCGCCTGCCATTCAGGACATTACCCAGCCCCCGGCCTGATAGCCCATGACTCTCCGGTTCATAACACAAAATCACACTTTTCATCAAGAAGCTTGTATTCTCCAGATAATTCAAGAATCCACACAGCAAATCCAGCACAGACTGTTTGCTTCCCAACACCCAGACACATGTGCCTGCAAATTCCTGATGTTACGAAGACCTGCCCCGGAGAGGGGAGGCATCGCCCCAGGTAACCCCAGGCCACAACCCACATCCCACACCCCAGACGACCCCGGGACATCGACAGTCCACACCCTAGACAACCCCGAGGCACTGAAAACCCACACCCACACCCGAAATAACCCTGGGACACTGACAACCCACACCCCAGACAATCCCAGACAACCCCGGGACACTGACAACCCACTCCCCAAATAACCCTAGGCAACCCCAGTATGCTGACAACCCACACCCCAGACAACTCCAGGAGACTGACAACCCACACCCCAGCTGACCCCGCATCCTGGCTGTGATGGGGCTGCCATCCACACCGCCTGCTCCAAGGGCTCTGCTGCTCCGGGTTGGACCTGCACGGTTCTGGGTCACTGCAGGACTTGGGACAAGTGACTCAGTTCCCCATTGAGCAGGACAGCATCCCAGCCGCCCTGGGTTACTGTGATATCAGGAGTCAGTGGCCAACGTTTCCTGAGCCCTCTTTCTGAGGCCAGACGCCAGCATGGAGGCTGCAGCGAGTCCCTTCCCTCATCTGCACGAGGCTTGGGGACCCCATGGCCACCTGGCCCAGGTGTGGGCACCGAGGTGGGGCTGTGGGGTGAGCTCCCGGGTGGCCCATGGCTGGCAGTCGGCCGTCCTGAGGGGACTCTAGGTACGACACGAGGTCCTCCAGCCACAGGCATCAGCTTCCCCTCTCGGACACAGGCCAGCAAAGACAATCGCCGGATGTCTGAGTACCCCCTCTCCTTCCAAAACAAACAGAAAACCCGTCCACAGCATCTGTCGACCAAAAGAAGAACCGCCAGAGTCCAGGGAAGCAGCTTGCCGGGAACCTGCCAGGTTTGCATCGAATTCCCCGAGTTCCGGAAACCCCGTCCGTCCCAGGCAAACAGGCACCGTGGGTCACCCTTCCGGGACCCACATTCGCGCCAGGCCTAGGTGGAGGCCTTGGCCCTGGGAAGGAAGGCTGACCAGAAGCCTCGGCACCCTGCCCCCGCGGCCACGTGTGGACGCAGAGGCCTCTTGGGCGGTGAAAGGCTGCTCCTGAAGGCGTTTCTGGTTTTTCCATTTATAAAGCAGAGTGAGGTTATAAATCAGAAAAGTGTTTACAGGAGACACACAGCTGGCAATAACAGCTTTGAGGGGCCACTGCGTCTCTGTGACTATTTCATCTTCCACGCCAACTTAAACATGAGAAAAAAAGGCTTTGCAGCCCAGGGCCCCGCTGCACGGCCCAGCAGATCGAGAGCATTTGCAATAATTCATAGACTTCTCACTTTCATTTTTCTGCCGCCCAGGAATTACATTCCACTATTAAAATGCGCTGGGACTGCCTGGCCCGGCCGCTCCTGCGTGTTCAGACACAGGTCGGGCGAGGACCCTGTGCGGCCCCAAGCGGACCCTGCTGCGGCTCCGGGGCCGGGCGCTTGCCCCCTGCTGGACACACGGTGCACTGCAGGCAGCCCAGAGGGCCCTCCCCGCTCTGCGGGTGAGAAAATCCCGAGACAGGCGGGTTTCCTCTGAGATGGCCACGGTTCCAGGTGAGAAAGCAGGCGGGAGGGAAGAAGCTGGCGTCCAGGCCCCTGTGCAGTCACATCTGGTCCTCTGCGGCCCGTTCCTGTTCTTGGGATGCTGGCGGGGGCACTGCCCCAGCTCAGGGGCACAGAAGACCCAGATGGGTGCAGGCAGGAAGGCCAGCTTGGTCGGGGTGGTGGGGGGGGCCTGGGCCAAGGCCAGAGCCGGGACAGCCCCCAGGTGTGGTCGGGCCTGGACCTTCCCTACTGCAGACCCAGTGGGTCCCACTCGCCTTCAGTCGAGGCTTTGTCACCTCAGGGCAAGTTGAGGGCAGAGCTGGGACTCCCCAGATACTGCCTGATCTGCTCTCACTGACCCAGCCCCAGAGCCCCAGGCAGGAGGGATGGGCAGGGCCTGAGGGACAGGTCTCTGTGGTCCTCAGAGCCTCACCCATTCACAGTCAGGCATGGGGCCAGAGAAGGCCGTGCTTCAGTGGGACCACCCACTGAAGGCCGAAGGCCGGTGCCAGCCGTCCCCACAACAGGACCCGGAGGCCTCTCTGCCCCATCCTCCAGATCCAGCCTCTAGTGTGCACAAGCTGAGAGGGGATGCTGAGGGCAAGAAGGAGCGGGACTTGGGTGTCCTGTCCCACACGCCCCCGAGGGGCTGGCAGGGGAGGATGGGGCAAGATGGTGGAGCTTGTCAGGGGAGATGGGGAGCACATTTCAGCAGCTGTGCTCTTCTGGGACAGCACAAACTGTCGGGGAGAAGAGTGATGGCCGGCAATGCCCCTGGGCAGCGAGGGGTCCCGAGTCCAGGGGCTCAAATGCTTCGGGGCACGGTGACAATGCCACCTCCTCCAGGAAGTCTCCCCAGACTGCACTGCCCAGTGGTGACTCTGAGCTGACTGCACCTCCCCTGAACTCCCGCCCTAGGAGCAGCCACTCTCCGGCTGCATGACTCTCTAAGACTCGGGAGGTTTGGGGCGCAGTCCCAGAGGTTTTTCAGGAAACAGCCACTAAATGGATGAATGAATGATGAAACCTGCTGCTCAAGGGCTGCAGACCTGGGCTCTCCCTGCACTGCCCGGGCCCTCAGGGCTGCACCACCCAGGCTGGGTCGGGCCACACACCCCAAAAGGGCCCTGCCAAAGCCCTCCCACCCCAGAAACAGAAGAAGGGGCCGGCGGCCACCCCTGGGCCCAGCCCCGGCCTCCCCTTGTATGCCCCCAGCCCCCCACCAATGCCCTCCCCTGCCCCTGGTGGGTCAGAGATCTCCTGGAGGCTACAGGGAGCAAAGGCGATGCCCGCAGGTGGCGAGCGTGTTCTCAGGAGCAGGTGGGCAGGGGCCTTGCAGACTCTTCATTTCTTCCTTCCCTTATCACCGTTAGCCATTTTCATGGGATAGAGATACAGAGGAGCTCCCATTACAAAGCGCCATTAAACTGTCGTCTGTGCAACTGTGTGTGAAGAGGCATCGGATAACGGTCAGGGCTGTGCACGCCTGAGTTGCTGGCCCTGCACCCGGCCCAGCACTCCTAGAGAGAGGCCTCACCTAGAGAGACAGGCCTTCTTCGGCACCCAGCACCACTGCCCACCCCAGCCTGCCCCCCTAAATGACACTCACTGCCTGGGCAGGACAGCCCCGGGGCCCAGCACACCAGGAGGGCTCCGAACCCGGCCAAAGGTGGTGGGAAGACAGAGGAACCGTGAAGAACAGATGATAGTACAGGCTGGGGAGAGGGGGCTGGTGTCCCCAGAGGCAGGGCCACCCCCCCAACAGTTGAGGGGGCCACCCACTCACGGCGCCATGGCCAGTGCAGGGCCTGGAGTCAGGCCAAGCTCCCGTCTGCCCCAGCTTGGCATTCAGACCACCAATCCAGCGGCCACAGGAGTGAGGTGTAGCCCCAGCCCCTGGCGCTAGAGGGAAACTGAGGCTGGGGTAGGGGACCAGAGGTGAAGCAGGCCTAGACCCCACCCCGTCTCCAGGGGGAAGGAGCTGTCCTTGGACCCACCATTCCCCCTCAGTGTGTCTAAGGGCCATGGGGATTTAGGAGCCCCAGGGGCATGGCTGGGGTGGACGCTCAAGGCTGGGAGGAGCTTCTTAGGGTCCCCAGGGTCCACTCCACCTGGCCATGCCCAGCCCACAGGTGCTCAGGCCCCAGGCCAGGGCAGACTCAGTAAAGAGTCCGGTGGGCAGGTGGGAGGTGGGAAGGGGGTGTCACGGCCCAGTGTCTGGCCTTTCCAGGGATGGGGACCAGGCCTTGACGGAGGCTGGATGTGGTCAGGTGGGGCCTGGGCAGCAGGGCATGACTCCATGGGGGGCACATGTGGCACCTGGCAGGAGGTGGAGCTGCATCTGAGCAGAGCACACAGGAGCCTGTGTCCCTGCATGTGGGTTGGTGCCCATGAGGCCAGCACGTGCCTGGAGCAGCCAAGCGGGTTCCAGGACTCAAGAGGCAGCCAGGCTCAGCGAGCAAGACAAGGTTGCCTCCTGAGGACAGAGGAGGCCCAGCCAACCCAACAGATACCCCCAGACAGAAGGTCCCAGACTCACCTAAGAACCCCCAGACAGAGGGTCCCAGACTCACCTAAGACACCCCCAGACAGAGGGTCCCAAGCTCACCTCAGAGACACCCCCAGACAGAGGGTCCCAGACTCAGCTAAGACACCCCCAGACAGAGGGTCCCAGACTCACCTGAGAAATACCCCCAGACAGAGGGTCCCAGACTCACCTAAGACACCCCCAGACAGAGGGTCCCAAACTCACCTCAGAGACACCCCCAGACAGAGGGTCCCAAACTCACCTCAGAGACACCCCCAGACAGAGGGTCTCAGCCAACCCAACAGACACCCCCAGACAGAAGGTCCCAGACTCACCTAAGACACCCCCAGACAGAGGGTCCCAGACTCACCTAAGACACCCCCAGACAGAGGGTCCCAAGCTCACCTCAGAGACACCCCCAGACAGAGGGTCCCAGACTCAGCTAAGACACCCCCAGACAGAGGGTCCCAGACTCACCTGAGAAATACCCCCAGACAGAGGGTCCCAGCCTCACCTGAGAAATACCCCCAGACAGAGGGTCCCAGACTCACCTAAGAAATACCCCCAGACAGAGGGTCCCAAACTCACCTAAGACACCCCCAGACAGAGGGTCCCAGACTCACCTGAGAAATACCCCCAGACAGAGGGTCCCAGACTCACCTAAGACACCCCAAGACAGAGGGTCCCCAACTCTCAGGCACCCCTTCATTCACCCAGCTGTGACTGGTGGGCCTGGAGCCCAGGCCCAGGGCAGGTGCAGTGAAGACCCCGCCCAGACCCAGGTCCCCACACACACTGGCCACACCCCTGCCCTGGGCATGGCCTGGGCCGAGCGGTGGCAGAGGCTGCTGTCCAGGAGGCTTCGTCTAGCAGCTCCAGAGAGCTGGGCGCTGAGTGCGGCCTGCTCACCCCCTCTCCTCTCTCCTCCCTGAGAGTCAGTGGGAGGTGAGGGGAGAGGGCCTGGGAGCCAGTGGCCAGGGTCAAAGCCCAGCTCAGCCACCGGGCAGCCAGGGCCAGTCCCTGACGAATGAGGGCCACCTGGCCCGGCCACTACAAGGGTGGGGGCAAGGGTGGGGTCAGCACCCTCGCGACGCCCAGAAAGGCCACTAAGGAAGCCGCAGAGCCCAGGCCACCGAGCACAGCGGGGAGAGGAAACTGCCTGGCCCGAAGGAAGGGAGCGAGCGGTCCAGGGGAGGCACCGTCCAGGAGCCAGCGCCCGGGGCCCCTCCGCAGGATCAAAGGCTGTCCAAGGGCACGGATGCCTCCCCACTCCCACCCGGGTGCTCACCGACGCGCCCGCTCAGAAATACAATATTTGTAGGGTCTTTTTCATAAAGGTCTTTATGGGTTTGGAAATTTAAACACCACGGAGCCTGAGTTGAATTGGAAAGCAAACGTCTCTAAGCTTGTACATCTTAGAGCAAAAAAATTCAATTAAGTGGGATTTTAGCTGTTTCAATAAAATTGGACTCTCCCTCTTCAAGATAAGAGCTCTGTGGCGTAGAAGCACCTTTATGTGCCACGAGTATCCACTTCTCCGAAACGCGTAATCCCGGCTCAGGACACAATGCCCACAACAGGAAATCAATGCATAGTCGAATCAATTTGAAAATATAAAATAAACTAATATATGAGTGGAAAATTGACTTCCTATGGATTAAAAGCAGCACAAATAGTAGAAAAATCTAGCTTTTTAGCAAAAGGAAGCAGGTTGGGGGGCGGGGTCTGGGAAGGGGCCCGGGAAGCCCTCGGTGCTTGGAGGATGGCACTGGGGCCTAATCTAGCCGAGGAGAATACGGGGCACCCGGTCCGAGGCTCCAGGGCTGCCAGGCGGTACTGAGCCTCGAGGCCCCCGTCACCAGCGCACATAAATGCTGCTGGCATAACCATTGAGTGGAAGAGTTGATAACGGGACTGTTTTCAAGGGCGGTGTAATAACAACCCCTTCACAGGCACCCATGGCTCCTCTCCTCCACAGCACGGCTTGGGGTGATGGCGTGAGCTGCCTGCCCGGGGGATGCAGGGAAGAAACCCACAGGCCCGACAACATCTTCAATGATGCCTTCTCCACATCACCGCCCCCCAGCCCAGATGCCTGGGAAAGAATGCTAGAGGGGCAGCCCCGCCAGCTGGTGCAAGCATGGCGTGCAACGTCCACGAAGCTGAGCAGGATGGCCTGGACGACGCACCCACCACGGGGCTCCTGGAGAGAATGGGCAGCCGCCCGACGAGGCCTGCCGGGGTCTCAGCCCTGCACCTCCGCAGCTGTGGGACGCCATGCCTCCTCTGAGATCTCCGGTCTGTGCCGCCTCCACCCTTTTGTTCAGACATAGCTATCGCTCTCCCCTGAGCCCCCATGACCCACAGCCCCCTGGCCTGCAGGCACTCCTCCTCCAGGGAGCCCACTCAGTTGCCCCCCTCAGAGCCAGCTCCCACCCCCTCCCCGGCTGCCAGGCCACTCCCTCCCCGGCTGCCAGGTCTCTCCCTGGCCCAGACCCCACAGGCCCCTGACATCCCATGCGCAATTGGGACTCAATGCCTATGAGGCTGCCTCGCCCCGACCCCAGCAACCACCCCTCACCCTCTGTCTGACCTGTCTGACGGGGACCCCTCCTCACCAGCCCCCCGGTCTGTCTCCCCATCACCTCGGTATGTGGTTTCCAGGTGCCCTCAGGGGGCAGCCGGCGTCTCTCTTTTGGTTTGTTTATTTCCAAGCAACAGACAAAAGCGCCACTCCCGGGTCCCGCGGCTCTGAGGCTTCCACCAACAGGGGAGGCCAGGAGAAGCCCAGTGGGCAAGCCCCTCGGGCCGTACCCAGGCCCCCGCCAGGCACCAGCCCACCTACCACTGCCCAGAAACCCACCTGCTCATGCACCCACCCACCCATGGGCTCCCAAACACACCCCCTCACTACTGTCTCCACCCGCCCAATTCCTCCCCCACCCACCTATGCACCCACCTGCCCACTAAATCCCAAACCCAGCCACCCGTGCGTCCATCTATTCAACCAGAGCATGTCTGTCCACCCCCAGACCGCCTTCTGCCTGTGCAGCCACGGCCCCCACCAGCCTCGACCTGCCCGTCCCGTCATCCATTTATTTATGCCCCGCTTGCCGATGCCTGCGGCTGAATAACAACTCTGTGGGTCCCAGCATAGGGTCTGCGGCATGGAGCCTGCCTGGCATGGCCCAGGCAGCCGCCATCCTCACCAGCCCCGGCCCAGCCTTGCTCTGCTAGTTCTGGGGTAGTCCAGTTAGCACCCCCACTCCCCACTCTGACCCTTGATCCACTCAGCAAACCCTTGTGAGCTTGCGAAGATTAAATGAGAGAATAATACTGGCAGCTAATGCAATGCCCACAGGTGCCAACCATGGGCCAGGCGCTGATCCAAGCACCCTGCTGTGTGCAGGTGACAATGACGCTCAGAACTAGACCTGCCACAGAGTCAACAAGCGTGGACCGCCTGCGGGCTCCGAGCTGAGGGAGAAGCACACGCCGCCCCTGCCCTGTGAGCTGGCGTTCCAGGACAGAATCGGATATCAAACGAGCACACGGATACCAAGTAAAGGCCCCACCGTCACACAGCAGCCGCCGCTGGAAACTGAGTTTGGTGGGGGAGGGGCCTCTCTGCCCAGGGACTGAGACCCTGGGATGGTGACAAAGGCCAGCACCGGGTCCCACACGGAGATGACGCCATTTAACCCTCCCCAAGACGCCAGGGAAGAGGCGTCCTTGTTCGTCCATTTTACAGAAGAGTACACTGAGGCCTCCAGACGCTGGTGGGGACCTCCCAAGCCAGGCTCCCCATGTCTCTTTCTGGGCCTCCGACCACCGTTGATCAGAGAAGCAAATCTGTTGGGAGAAATCTCGGAGCCACAGAGCCCTGGCAGGGTGCTCCTGGTGGGGACCAGTCCGGGCTGGCCCGACACTTCCTGCACGCCGGCCTCCCTGTCCCTGTCCTTTCGCCTGCAGCCTCTGCCTCTGCCTATCTCCCTCTTGGCCTCACTCCTGGGTCCTGTCTCTCTCTGCAGACCGTCCTTCCCACTTCTCTAAGCAGCGGAGGCAGCCACTGCCTACGGCACCCGAGCAGTCCACACAGTGGACCCCGGGGAGGGAAGCCTCCATGTCCACAGAACAGTGATCACGAAGAGGGAAGCCTCCGCATCCACAGAACAGTGACCACGAAGAGGGAAGCCTCCGCGTCCACAGAACAGTGACCACGAAGAGGGAAGCCTCCGCGTCCACAGAACAGTGGCCCCCGGGGAGGGAAGCCTCCGCGTCCACAGAACAGTGACCACGAGGAGGGAAGCCTCCGTGTCCACAGAACAGTGTCCCCGGGGAGAGAAGCCTCCGCGTCCACAGAACAGTGACCACGAAGAGGGAAGCCTCCGCGTCCACAGAACAGTGACCCCGGGGAGGGAAGCCTCCATGTCCACAGAACAGTGACCACAGGGAGGGAAGCCTCCGTGTCCACAGAACAGTGACCACGAGGAGGGAAGCCTCCATGTCCACAGAACAGTGTCCCCGGGGAGAGAAGCCTCCGCGTCCACAGAACAGTGACCACGAAGAGGGAAGCCTCCGCGTCCACAGAACAGTGAACCTGGGGAGGGAAGCCTCCATGCAGATCCCTGAAGCCCGCACTCCCGACCGTGATCTGAAAAAGGGTCTTTGCAGATGTGGCTGAGGTAAGGTGCAAATGAGACCCTCCCAGATAAGGGCAGGTCCCCAACCAATGACCGTGTCCTCCTGAGAAGGAACACAGAGGTGCCAGGGAGCAGCTGGGGAAAACAGAGGCAGAGGCTGGAGTGGCCGCTCCAAGCCAGGGCACTCCGAGGGTTGACGCAGCCCCTGGACCTGGAGGAGGCAGGAGGGAGCTCCAAGCCTTCAGAGGGAGCCATGGGGCAAGTACCAGGTACCCCCTGGTGATGCTGGTTGGTGCCGGGTAAATTCCAGGTGGCTTCTGGGCTCCAGACCGTGAAAGCATGCTGCTGTTTTAAGCTCCACCCCTGCCCGTGGTATTCATTCCACAGCCCCAGAGCAAGTTCCCCTGGGGGCCGTCCTGTGACTCCCCCGGCCACACCGCACCTCACCCGGAGTCCCCAGCCCGCCCCACCCAGCCTCAGGTCACGCCTTCCTCTGAGCAGCCTCCCTACACTGCACCAGCTCCCGGGCCCCCTCCTCATTCCCTCCTCGGCCCCACCCCCTGCCTCTCTCCTGGCCTCACCTTGCCCCCTCCTCTTCTCCGGGGCGGGCGGCACCCAGGCCAGACACCTCCTGCCAGCCCATGCTGACGCCGGGGCTGTGCTCAGTACGGGCTCAGGATGGGCTCAGGACAGGCGAAGGCGGCCGAGACTCCCGGGCCGGCAGGCCGGTGCCGCGTCAGCAGCGGGCTCATTAGCGGAGTTAACTGTCAGGCATAAGGAGGGGGAAAAAGCTCAATTTGTAAACACTTGGTCAATATGAGGTAAAGCCAACAGGATGGATTTGGGACCACATTGGACAACGCCATCGGCTGCACCGGACGCCCAGCAACAGTAGGTAAATTAGGTCATCATTAAATTATCATGAGGAAAAACGCATAATCGGCACCAGCGCTGGTAGAAAGATTACGGTTATTTACAAAAACCATGCTGTTTGCAAATTTGTGCAAAATTATTTGTTCCTAGCAGAGTTTTATAGAGCTATCTGCACATGATCTCCGCCCGAGATTCCCAGCCCTGCATATTAACTAATGTCTGTGGTTTAATTGGAAATAGAACAGGCCACATTGTAAATCGCTTTTCTGCCATCTGTCTCTGTCTCCACACGGGGCCTGGGAGTGGAGGACACAGTGAACAGATGGATGACAGGGACCCTGCGCTGCCCGGCCCCACCCCACTCCCCGCCAGAGCCTCAACTTACCCCTGCACCGCCCGGCCCCACCCACTCCCCTCCAGAGCCTCAACTTACCCCTGCACTGCCCGGCCCCACCTCATCCCTCTCCAGAGCCTCAACTTACCCCTGCACTGCCCGGCCCCACCCACTCCCCTCCAGAGCCTCAACTTACCCCTGCACCGCCCGGACCCACCCACTCCCCTCCAGAGCCTCAACTTACCCTGGTCACGGCTCGACCCTGACGCTGGCCACAGCCACGGACACTGCAAAGAACCAGCCCCTGCACAGCCACACACAGGGTTGGGGGCGGCCCTCAGTGGGCTTGAAGCGGCAACGGGCAGTAGTGTCTTCAGACCTGAAAATTAAAGAAGGTGACGGAGGCCATGTCTCAGCAATGTGCGCACTTCGTGGGCCTTTCTTCAATCGAATTGACCATTAGAGCAAGGAGGGTGAAAAACGACCTGGAGCAAAGGGTCGGACCCGATGCCAGGGACTCCTGCGAGATTCTGGGTTACTGCCAGGTAAATTCCAGGTCCCAACGGTGCTCCCAGGGCTCAGCCTCACGCCTCACTGGGAGGCAGTGGGATGGGCAGGGTGGTTCCTGTCCTTTCCTCGGCATGACCCGGGCCGGCTGTGTCTGTCCGACCCTGAATCAGCTGGTCTGGGAGGTGGACAGAGGGGCTGGGAAGCACCGAGTCCCCTCTGGAGGGCCACCCATCACCTACCATCCCCGCCAGGCCTCAGAACAGCCCGGAGCCACACTGCGGAGGGGGAGGCCCCACGAGCCTACAGGAACTGTTTCCCTGGCTGATGCCTGCCTGGCTCACGAGGTTCCTCACAGTCATATTTGCATGTGTGGACAACAATGAGCACAGACGCCTTAACATAAAAAGCCCAAGGCAGGCCAGGCACGGCGGCTCACACCTGCAATCCAGCACTTTGGGAGGCTGAGGCGGGAGGATTGCTTGAGCCCAGGAGTTCAAGACTGACCTGGGCAACATAGCCAGACCCTGTCTCAAAAAAAAAAAAAAAAAAAAAGGAAAGAAAGAAGAAAAAAGGAAAGCAAAGGGAAGGGAAGGGAAGGGAGGAGAAGGGAGGGGAGCGGAGGGGAGGGGAGGGGAGGGGAGGGGAGAGGAGGGAAGGGAAAGGAAGGGCAGGGCAGTGCAGGGCAAAAAGGCCAAGCCATAGTCAGAAAGCCAGGAGGCACCTCCCTGTGCCCCGCCACGGTCTTAAACCCACTTCTCCTTCCTTACAGCCCTAGGACAGATGTGGCTGAAGGTCAGGCTCCAGACGTGACGCTGGGGTTTCCAGTGACAGCCTGAACCCAGTGCTTGGCCCTGTCTGCACTTTTATTCGGAGTGGGGCTTGGGCTAGGGGGTGTGTCCTGAGACGGGGATGGGATCTGGATGAACTGAGATGAATTCTGGAAGCTTGGAAACCCCTGAGCCCCGGGTCCCCGTGAGTCTCCCTTGGCAGCAGAAGCTGCCCCTCCCCTATCAGAAGGGACCCACCCCCCGTGCTACCCCCACGCCAGCACCCCCGGCTGGCTGCCCTCCCCACGACCAGAAGGAAACTGTCCTGTATTCTCTGAATACACAGCCTGAGGGACAGGAGACCATGCAGGGACATGGGGAAGCAGCGTGAATGTGGATTCTGAGGGTGTCACACCAAGGGGGACAGGTCTGGGCTGAATGTTCCTACTCCTGCAGTTGGAGGTGCCTCTTGGAGTTCACTTGGACCCTAGACTCCGTGGTGGCCTGATCCCATGAGGCTGAGATGCCACAACCTCCCCGCACCGTGGGAGGAGGAAGCCGGGCCACCTGAGGAGGACGAGGGAACCCTGGGAGATGGCGGGAGGCAACCGCGCCAGCTGGCCTCGTGAACAGCACAGAAATGGAGCTGGGGGTGCCCGTGTCGTCATCACGAATCCAGCCATCTCATGAATGCAATTACGTCTTTTTACCCTTTCTCCTACCCTTACTGGTTTTTTGCTGTTGTTGTTTTTTGTTTTTTGTTTTGAGACAGGGTCTCCCCCTGTCATCCAGGCTGGAGTGCAGTGGCGCGATCTCAGCTCACTGCAGCCTCTGCCTCCCAGGTTCAAGCGATTCTCCCGCCTCGGCCTCCGAGTAGCTGGGATTACAGGCGTGCACCACCATGCCCAGCCTACCCTTACTTTTTAAATATTTGTGGTGTTTGGCACCGTAGCTATGGGTTACAGAAAGCCCAGGTGATGTCACACGGAATTTACCCCTGCGTGGTGCCTGCGGGGTGGCTGGAGCCAGGGTCTCCGTCTTGGGTGGGGACTCGGGGAGAGCTGCAGTGTCCTAGGCAGCCACCTGGGGCCCGGTCACATGGAAGTCAGATGTGGGCCTGGGCCGCCGTGCAGCGATGGCTGTGCCAGCCGTCTGCCTTGCCTCTCACCTCCACCCCACCACATCGGCCACTCTGCCCTGGGGCTGGGACTGACCCTTCACCCTTGCTCCCAGGCTTCCGACCACTGCCCTCTGGTTGGGTCCGGTCAAGGGAGCCCCTGGCCGCAGCCCAGAGGGATTGGGGGCCTGGACCCCTCCACATCTGTCTTGGGTGGCATTTCTTCACCTCGGCTCCCGCTGGCAGGTGCCTCCTTCTTGATCCTCCTTTTCTAGGAAGCCTGGCCTGACTCTGCGTCCCCAACTCCAGCTTCACCCCGGCAGCCTTAGGACATGGCAGCGGCCTCCTGCCGTGGGCCACGGATTCCCGCACCGCCTCGGTCACCCGGTCTTCAGGCGCGGCCCCTGTCGAGTCACCCGACAGACTCGTAGGTTTGTTCTGTTTTTCAGCGCCCTGCGTCAGCTGCCTGCACACCGGGCCCAGCTCAGCTGTGCATGGCTCCAGCACCATTTTAATTATCGTATCCACTGCAAAATGCGTCATTTCTTGTTGTGTTAGCGGTCGCTGTTTCCTGACTCCCTGCTGTGCGGCTAAATGAGTTAGACGAATCTGTTCTCTCCTGAACTTGGCGGAGCTCCTCGGCACCCCACACTGTTCTGGGGACTTGGGCTGCCTCGGAGGAAAAAGAAAACAGATGTCACCATGCCCTGTGGAGCCTGCGTCCTAGTGCGGATGTGGCAGTCGGTCCACGGGATGCACGCGGGACCCCAGGTGAAGGTGACCACCGTGGAGGAAGGTGGGACAAGGCGGGAAGGGCTGGGCGAAGGGAGCACGGTCACCTGGGGAGCGGCTCCAGACAGGGGACAGCAGGAGGCCCTCGCCACAGCACCTGGTGTGGGAGGCACAGCCAGGGTCATCGTGGCCACGGGCTGGAGGCCAGAGGGGTCTGTTCTGCGCAATGGCTGCTGAGCTGCAGCGATGGGGTGGACGCCGAGGGGACCCGGGCAGCCGAGAGGCAGCATGAGGAGGGATTGGGTTCTGTGCATTTCCATGGTGCAGCCATGGGAACCTCTATGGGATGAAGGGGCCGGGAGAAGCTGCGGGGCCCATGGCGGGGCCTGGAAGGCTGGGCACCCCTCACTAGGTACGGGGACTTCTGGGCAGCAAGTGATCGGGGATCGTTAGGATTCAGCCATGTTGAGTGTGAGAAGCCTCTGGGACAGCCGGGTGGAGATGTTGGGGCCTCCGGACTCACGGCCTGGGAGTCGGCGGCAGGAGGGTGGCCAGTGGTCATCAGCACAGGCGGCTCGAGAGGCCAGGGCCGGACAGAGCAGGTGTCAAGCCTCGGAGCAGAGGACCCAGAGGGCAGGCACAGCCACAGGCCTGGGAGCCGGGGAGCACAGAGCCCTGGACACACACCGGAGCACGTTGCAGAAAGGAAGGGCTGGTCATGTGTGTGTAGCGTGTCTGTGAGTGTCTGCGTGTGTCTCTGTGACCATGTGTCTCTGTAAGGGATTCTGTGTATTTCTGTGTCAGTATCTCTGTGTGTCCACGTGTGTCCACATGTGTCTGCATGTGGGATGCCGAGTACCTGTGTGTGTCTACGTGTGTCTGTCTAGGTGCATGTGGTCTGGGGCTGCACAGAGGCTGGGTGGGGATGCTGACAACCATCCCAGACTGAGCCCTGTAGCCCCGAGAGGAGGGCGTCGGTAGCCTGTGGAGCATGGCTGGGAGGGACCCCTGGAGCTGAAGCAGACAGGTCAGGGTCACCGTGACTGTCTCCCGCCCTGGTTCTGGGACCCTGGGCCTCAGGGTCTGGGCCACCTCTCCCTGGCCGGGTGGAGCAGCTCCATGGCAACCCAGGTCCCCACCATCCAGGACAGGGTCTGCCTCAGCCTCGGGTGGCCGAGCCAGGCAGGGTGAGGCCGAGAGGGCAGAGGATGGGAAGCCCAGGTACCCACTTCCGCCGCCGGCCCCACCGGCCTCCCTCACCCCTCCCAACAACCCACGGCCTGGGAGTGTCGATTCTGCGCCACTAACTCATTGATCGCCTTGCCCGGGTTAATTAATTAATTAGGGGCAGCCATGGAGCACAGTGGGCTGGGGCCAAGGAGGGACCCCAGCGCCGGGAGCTTTATTAGTACATAAAATGGGTGTTTAAAACACACACGGCCACGAGCGTGCAGTTGAGGCTTTTCATTAAACAAACCTATAACATTACGTGCCTCATTATGTATTTCGAGACTTCCCCTGCCTTCCGCGCTCCCTCTCCACCTGCCTCCCCGCGCACTCCAAGTGCCTATTTGAAATCAATTTCTCTAATAATGGACTTAATGAGCTCATCAATTAGAGCTGCCATAACCGAGTGTCGTGGGCTCTGCGGTTATCAGTTAAACTCTGGAACTAATTTCCATGCTTCATCTATCACGGGGCGCCCGCGACGTGGGGCTGCTGCTCTGGGACGATAGGGAGACCCCAGGCCCTTCCCGCAGGTCTCGGGGCCATCCCTGGAAGAGGACAATGAGGACAGAGTGGCCCACCTGGCCGAGAGCGGCCGAGGCGCGAGGCCGGTGTCATTAGTGGTAATGGATGGCCGGCGCGGGCCCAGATAAGACGTCCTTCCACATGGTCAGCCCCATTAGGCTGTTCTCGTCTCGCCCCAAACCCTCTAAATAACACCCCAGCATGGTAGGAGGCCAGCTGCCTGGGGACTGTGGTGCCTCAAATCCTGCGGCTCCCGCCTGCTGTCCAGCCCAGGGCTGGCGTGGGCCGGGCGAGAGCACCCATGGGCAGGCAGAGCTGGCAGGACCCCAGTGGTCAGGAAGGGAACCTGGAGAGAAGGTTCCAGAAGCTGACTGGGGATGGGCTTTGGGAAGGGAGGTGTCAGGGCATCCAGGGCTGCTGCTGGACACGGCAGTGTGGGTCCGCAGGTCTAACAGGCAGTGGTCTGGAAGGGGCTGCTGGGGGGAGGGCCGAGCAGAAGGAGGGTGGCCCGTGTGGGTGGGCAGGGCCGAGGCCAGGATGTTGAAAGCAGGATCTGCTCTGCCCGCTGCGCCCAGCTCTTGGGACAGTCTGGTGCGCAATGAGGCTCGAAACAGGCGGACGGATGGGCAAAGGGAAGCTCAGACAGCTGCCTCTGCCCCAGCTAGGGGTGCTTCCCAGAAAAAGCAGACCCCGCACCTGAGGTCCTGGATACAGGGACAAGGACCTGGAGAGGGACAAGGGGCACCAGAGCTGCAGACCCAGGACTGTGTGTCTCCTAAGCCAGACACCTCCTGGACTGAAGGAGAGGAGGAAATGGGCCTCTTACCTGGGGTACTCTTGGGAAACTGAGGCACAGAGCTTGTGCCTCCCTGCCCAAGCCAGAGACCACGGGGCCAGCTCCCCACGGGGTGAGTGTTGCCCACATGGTCCCTGCCCCAGCCTTGGCCTGGCTGTCTCTGCTAGGGTGGTTCAAGGTGTCCTCAACAACCCCATGGCTGGGCCCGGGGTCTCTGGGCAACTCCTCACCTGCCTGGCCCGTCCTCCCTGCAGCCCTAGAGGCCCCCGAGTCTCCATCCAAGCCATGCACCCCCATCCCAGCCTCAAGCCGAGGACCGCCCTTCCTCCTGTCCTGCCCAGAAAAGCCTGAAACAGTTCACTCAGTCACCCCTAGGGACCCCACCCGTTGCTGCCCAGGCCCCATGCACTTTGGAGAGCTGGCGTGGGGAGGTGGGTGGTGATTTGGGCAGGTGAAGGGCCAGGGTGGGGGCACTGGAGGAGCAAGGAGCCTGGGAACCACCTCTCCCTTCCACCCTGCCCACCCTTCCACCCCCACCCCTGCCCCAGGGTGTCTCTGGTGTCTCCACTTAGCCCCTGCCCCCTTCGATTTGTCATAATCAGCTCGGCTTTCTCATTAGCGAGAGGCCATTAATGAAGCTTTATCAGCAGCTGGAGGCCTGGCCCTTCCCCATCTCCGCCTCCCGGCCACCCTCAGGGCTGCACCCCCAGCCCCTACGGTGGAGGCAGGAGTGACCTGTGTGGCACCCTCTGCCCCCACTCTCCCCAGCACCTAGCACATCCAGGCCCAGAACTTGGGGTGACTTAGCCCCAGGGAGGATGGTCCCGGCGGCCCCAGCCCTGGGGTGCCCCTGGTCACTGCACTAGGCTTAAGGGCACCCACCCTGTGCCCTGCACCACCGTTGGCACTGGAGTGAGGGCTGGAAGGCTAACTGGTTGCCTGTGGGACCCAGGGACACAAAGCAGAATGGTTGAGGGGGAACAGGCGCACACCTGAGGGTCAGCAGGCTTCTGGAGCACAGGGTTGCCAGTGGGGATCTGAGCAGGGGAGGGGCAGGACCCCAGAGGCTATGTGGCCTCAGGCAGCAACCCTGAGAAGGCGGAGCGGGCGGCGGGACAGGTGTGTGTGGGAATGACACAAGAGGAGCAGGGAGGGGACCAGGAAGAGGCTGTGAGAAGACGGCTGATGGAGAGGCAGAGCTATGGGAGCTGTGCGGTGTCTGCAGGAGGAAGGAGACGTCAGCTAGGCCAGATAACGTTGCGGGTGGGGGCGTAATTTGGGGCCTGAGACTTGCCCCCGAGGTTTAATAAGGTCCCCATGGTGACCAGACAGAAGCCCCCTCGGTGTGGGTCCGGGAGGGCCGTGGAGGCTGCCCCTCCAAGGGAAGGGGGTGGGCTGGGGTGCCAGGGAGGAGGGCAGGGGGTGCAGGTCAGGGGAAGGTGCTTAAAGAAGGAGCAGGACCAGCCAGCCTGTCTTTGCTGATGGCTGAGGAGGGGGCCTTGTGGGGTCGGTGGTCTAAGAGGCCAGAGTGAGGGGCAGGATGGGGGAGGCTGCAGATGCAGCTGGCTGGGCTGGGGGCCCTCAAAGGCGCTCCCCTTGCCCCTCAGCTCCCCAGCATGCCAGGCCTGCTTGCCGACGCAGACCCCTCCGCAGCCCAGCTCAACAACCTCCCTCAGCTGGCGTCCCTCTGGGAGTTGAGCCAGCATCATCCTCCCCAGCTGTGGGGCCAAGCCCTGTCCAAGGCCTCCTAGTCCTGGGGACCCTGGCCTTGCTCCCTGGGTCCCACGTGGGGTCATCCTTGGCTGTTCTTTGGGCCTCCATGTTGGGGGACTCTCGGCAGCTGCCTGGGTGCAGGTCGGAGTCCCCAGAACGTCTGCTCTCGGTAGGCAGGACCCTGACCTTGCCAAGGCTGGGCCCCTCTGGCAAGGCGGGTGAATGATGGATGAGCAGTGAGGGGCCCTGCCCCACCCGACTGCTCACAGCCTTTCCCTCGTCCTCACCTCTGTCTACCCCCGAGGCCACTCCCCTGCAAGCTCAGACTGGAAAACCCCGTGGCCCCGTCAGCCTCGAAAGAGGTCAGGGCGGTCAGTGACAGCAGCTCCCGACATGAAAGCCACTCAACACCCCTGCTCCTCAGGGGTCTCTCAGAACCATCAGCTCAGAGCCAGGCACTGGGTCATTGCTCAGCTGGGCCAGAAATGGGGGTAGGGGGAGTAATTTGGGGCCTGAGACTTGCTCCAAGGTTTAGCAAGGTTTAGCATCTCCTCCAGGTGGGGACACACCCACACAGGTGAGGTTGCCCCTGGAGGGGACAGAGGCCTCTATGTGGGTGGGATCCTGGGTTCTCAGGCCTGGCCCTGGCCTTGTGGGGTGAAGACCCTGCAGGGGGCCCTCTCAGTCTCTTGGCCATAAATCAAACCTGTGCAGGCAGGTTGGCTGTGGCTCAACCTAATGACCCCATGGCTAGACACTCCTAAACCCAGGTTTAGGAATGTCGTTCTTGGTGTCCAGTGAGACTGCTGAAACCAGCTTCAGGATGTCCACAGGCCCAGGCAGAGCGAGGGTGTGGCCCCGCAGGTGCCCCATGGGGACAGACAGCTCGCCTGCTGCCGGTAGAGAGCATCCAGCAGAGGGGCAGAACTGGGCTCTCCAAGTACAGAGAAGCCAGAACGCTAGGTCATGTGTGTGCACGCCAGCCTCCTCCATCCGTCCCTGGGGACTGCGGTAGAGGCAGGTAGGGGACAGTGTGAGGTCCCACGGCACTGAGAAGGACCTCAGATCCAGGACAATGACCCCCTTCGTCCCTGGCAGGGAGGCAGGAGCCCCACCTGCAGAGGGGGAGGCAATGACCCCCTTCGTCCCCGGCGGGGAGGCGGGCGCCCCACCTGCAGAGGGGGAGGCTCGGCGGATCCCAGGGGTAGTCTGTGTTTGTGTCTCGTGGGCATCAGACACAGATGCTGTCTGTGCTGGAGCCCGCCAAGAAAAGGGTGGCACCAACCACAGGGCTGCCAGCGCTTCCTGAGCTGACATGGAGGCGGCACCAAGCGGGCCCCGCAGAGCCACCGCTAAAGACGCAGTGCTGCCGATGCGGAGATGAGAATGCCACGGTGCCCAGGAGCACCAGGGGAGGCTCCCAGGCGTCCACTCTCCCGGGAGAGGTGAGGGAAGGTGTAGATGAATGCTGGGAGCTGGTAAATCCAGACTCCCCAGGACCATGATCAGAGGAAAGCTGCAGGGCAGGCAGAGGGGCAAGGCTCCCACCAACAGCATTCCCGGTGGACTGGGCTCTGGGTGGGGCGGGGCTCCAGGTGGGCGGGAATATGGCTGGAGTCACAGGTGGGTGTGGTTCCAGGTGGGTGGGGCTCGGGTGGGTGTGGCTTTGGCGGGAGTCACAGGTTGGGTGTAGCTCCAGGTGAGCGGGAATATGGGTTGAGTCACAGGTGGGTGTGGTTCTGGGTGGGTGTGGCTCCGGGTGGGTGTGGCTTCAGGTGGGTGTGGCTTTGGCGGGAGTCACAGGTTGGGTGTAGCTCCAGGTGAGCGGGAATATGGGTTGAGTCACAGGTGGGTGTGGTTCTGGGTGGGTGTGGCTCCGGGTGGGTGTGGCTTCAGGTGGGTGTGGCTTTGGCGGGAGTCACAGGTTGGGTGTAGCTCCAGGTGAGCGGGGCTCCCTTTGGGTGGAGTCACAGAGGGGGGCTCCTGGGGAGGTCCAGCCCCAGGTCTCTCTTCTTCTCCACAGGGAAGGCCTGTAAGTCAGCCCCTCCCTTGTGACCCTCCTGGAGCAGGGGCTGGGCCAGGGGGTCCCCCCACCCCCGTCAGGTCAGGCACCCACTGCCCTTCCACATCAGCTGCAGCCTCGGCTCTCTCGCCTCTCCTCCTGACCCTTGAGTCATCGGGGCCTCCCTGTCCTTGGTGCCGCTCAGGCTCTACCTTCACTCCGCTGCAGTCCCAGGCTTCACAGCATCCCACCCTGCGGGCTCAGATCTGCAGATGTGTGCAGCCCTTTCCCCAGCACCCTGCCAGAGCCCAGACCCTCCCAGGGCAGCTGGAGGAGCAGGGCTGGTGGTACCCGGTACTGGTGGAGGGCAGACCAGTGGAGGGAGAGAGGGAGGGGGCAAGGTCCAGGACCGGCGGGCGGGTGCTGGCTTTGCAGCATGAAGGACCTGGGGCTGCGTGAGGCCCACCCACTCCTCGCTGCGCAGGGCGGGGAGCAGCCTCGCCTCCTGCCGGAAGAGAGGCCCCATCCTCTGAGCTCCCCTCCCACCCCCTGCAGCAGCCCTGTCCCCCGCCATCCCCCACCAGGGACTTTCAGGACCTCTGCCCCCTCCTCCGGCCCAGAAGCTGGCCATGGCCCCACAACCCAGGCTGAAGGGGTGGCCCTGGCCACGCCCCCTGTGCCCAGCAGAGTCCTGGGATCTCCTCTCTCCTCAGCACCTGCTCCCCCTTTGCTGAGACCACACACCCAGCCAGATTTGGGGGGCTGGAGAAACCCCTAATCATGACTTGGGCTCGGGGTCCCTCCTCGGCCTGAGGCCACATCGTTAAAACACCTGGGGCCAGGACAGCCCGAAAGGCCCCCAAGGACCTACCAGGAGCAGCCCCAGCCCAGGGCCCCCGGCCCCTCCAGCCTCCCCTCCACACATGGGTGGAAGGTGCAAGGGGATGGGGGACACAGCCGTCCACACGTGCGACCAGGGGAAGGGCTGGGCAGCACGCCCCGCCCTTCCACAGCTTGGACCCGCCCAGCATCATGGGATCAACCTTGACCCCAGCTCGGCCCCAGTGTGTTAGGCCAGACCGGCTGTGGAGGTGCAGGCAGGGCCGGCAGGGACGGGGTTAAGAGCACGGCGCCTCCCAGGCCTCCCTCCTCGTTCCCTTTGAAATGGCTCCCTGGTTCCAGAATGACTCCGGCTTCCCCTCTTAATCTGTATTTTACGAGTGAGAAGGTTTGCATTATGCAAATCGTTAGATAGGAACAGGTGACATTTCAGCAAAGAACACGGCAGGCGGCGGCCTGCGGCTGCTGATTTAGACATTAGTATTTGTCACCAGGGCGGCGGGGGCGGAGGAGAACTCGGCCACGGAGGGCTCCTCACACCTTAAGGTGGAAGTCTCCCAGCCGGGGCAGGCCGGGCCCGCACACCCTGAGGCCTCCCAGCGACCAGCACACCACCCGCGGGAGCTCCCTTCTGTGCACCAGGCTCCGGCCCAGCAGCACCTCCTGGAGCTCACGCCGCCACGGTGCAGGGCAAGCACAGGCCCATTTTACAGATGAGGAAGCCGAGGCCCGGCGAGGTGATGGGCGGGCTGGGTCTCAGCTGGAGAATGGGGCAGGGTCCAAGCCAGCCAGGGATGTCCCCACAGCGAGTGTCCGGAGGGCCCACTCCCCACGACTGCACAGTTCATTCTGCGGGTCCTTCCTCCAGCAGCGCCCCCATCCCAACTCCACCCTCTCCCATGCAGCCCACAGACAGCCTGGGGCGGCCCGCCCACCCCACCCCACCCGCGCCGCCTCCCACCCACCCCACCCGCGCCGCCTCCCACCCACCCCACCCGCACCGCCTCCCACCCCACCCCACCCGCGCCACCTCCCACCCCACTCCACCCGCGCCGCCTCCCACCCGCGCCGCCTCCGACCCGCAGCCCCGCGGCGCTCTCCTGGGCAGGCTCTGCGGCACCATCCATCATCCACTGTCAGAAGCATCCGCGTCCATTTCCCGGGAAGTTGTTTGAGGGGAAATGGACGAAAGAGAAGGGAGCGGCCACGCACTTCCCAGGGCGCCCCGCGAGCCCTTCAATTTTCCAGCTGCCTGACAACGCCCACGGCGCACCCAGCTCTGAGGGGCATGAGAAACGCCAGGCCCTCGGGTCCTCCAGAGGCTGGGAGAGCCGTGGAGCCACCGGGGCAGGCTTTCCCAGGAGCCCCATGGGGGCTGTGGGCCGCAGCACGCAGCCGGAACATGGACGGCAGTCCCGGGCAGACCCTCCCGGCACAGGCCCGGCAAGCTGCTGTCCCGGCTTCGAGGTCTCTGGTAGGCTGAGCTGGTTGGTCCTGGGGCTCCTGTGTGGCCGTGGGTCTGTAGGCAGCCAAGGGCAGTATGTCCTGGGGAGCCTGCAGGGCACCGGGCAGGGCCCAGCTCCCCACAGCCCGCCTGGTCTCTCCGGCCTCTGGCTCTGAGTCTGCAGGATGTGGAGTGGGCTGCAGCAGGCTGCTCTCTGTGCTTCTGAGAGGCTGGGCAGCCCTCTGGGGAGCTCAGGGGAGTTTGGGGTGCCGTGGTCCAGGACGACCTGGATGACCTTGGATGACCTCGAAGGCCTTTTGGCTCAGACGACCCTGGATCCCAGGGGTGTGTGGGCAAAGGCAAGAGAAGGCCCATGAAGAGAGGCTGGGCCTGTTGTGCAAGGAGAGCAAGGCCAGAACCAGCGGCAGGGCCAGACGGCAGCACTGAGCACTCCGCCTGTGCAGGGTGACCCCTCTTGCCCTGTCCTTGCCTGTGGGGGAGGAAGGGTGGGGCAGCAGAATACCGAGGTGGGAGCCCTTTGTGGAGCCGAAACCATGGCAGCCGGGAGGCCAGATTCACCCACCCCAAGGACCCCCAGACCCCCGGCTTCATACAGCAGCGCAATGGCATTAGTAACACGCTTTTCTTGGGGAGACTTTGGGGCAGAAATGAAGTTGCAGGCAACATGCCATGGGGGAGGCAGAACCCTGGACACAGCCCAGCTCCAGGGCGTTGTCTGGGGCTCACGCCACCTCTGAGACACCCGCGTAGGGGGCGCATGGCTGGCTTGTGGCTGGCAGATGCCGGTAGATGCACCTGGCTGAGGAATCCGCTCAGATCCTCAGCAGATCTGCCTGGTGCTCACAACCCCACTCCAGGGGCTCCTGACACTGAGAGGCGGGGATGTTAGCTCCTGGCTTATCTAGCGGGGTTCCTTAGGCCACAGAACTTTGGGTTCTGGACACCTGTGGGGCTGTGAGGGGGGTTGACCCTGGGTAGGAAGAGGGTGCAAGGGCACGGAATTCCTAACTCACGCCTGGAAGTGTGCGGACAGTGTTTAGCCAGAGGGGTGGCTCAGTCCTCAGACATCACACAGAGTGGGTCATTCAGCCACTCAACAAACACAGGGATCCAGAGGGGACAAAGGAAGTGGCCCGGCCAGGGTGGGCTGAGCACCCTCCATGTGCCTGGCATTGGGCTCGGTGCCGGCCGTGCAGTGAAGGCCAGGGCCCTGTGCCTAGCAACAGAGCAGCTGGGTCCTCGTCTGGCACCCCCACGAGGTGGCTTATCCATCTACACGGGTTGGCTCTGACACCATCCACGTGTGCCAGGTGAGGACAGTGAGACGCGCTCAGGGACCTGCCTCCCTCTCACACTGCTCGGCTCCACAGCTCCCCCAGTGCACGCCCAGAACCAGGTCAGGGCCTGGCGGTTCACGGCCCGTCTGCACCCCTGCATCAGCAGCAGGGGTCCCCAAATGACGGCCCGTCCTCTCTCCTCAGGGGCTTCTCCAACCCTAGTTCCCCGAGCCGAGTGCAGCTCCTCCTGGACAGCCCGTCCACTCCAGGCCAACACAGCAGCACAGCCCTGGTGTCAAATCTGAATGGACCCAGCAAGCCTGAGACAGGAGAGGAGAGAGGGTGCCCAGGCGGGTAGAGGCAGCCTCAGCCCAGCTAAGGAGGTCAAGGAGGCTGGGGAGGCCCCTGGGACCAGACCTGCCGGGCTCCTGGGCCTTTGAGAGGGGCTTGGAGGAGCTGCTTAAGGCTAGACTAGTTGGGGGGGGGGGGTCTGTGGGGGTGAAGAGGATGCCCCAATCTCGACAATGTGCAATGAGGCCTTGGTGGGCAAGGCTGCGGGTTGGAACCTGTGTTTATGCATTTGGGGACACCCTTCTCCGCTTGGGGCACTGCAGGTGGGGGCCTCAGGGGCCAGGAGGGCCACAGGGTGAGGGCAGTGCCCAACCCACCACAGGTCACAGGTGTGCAGCAGAGGTTTCCAAGGGTTAGGAGTGTGGGTAGGGCCATGGGGGGCAGACTCTGACCCTCATCCCTAGTTCCCAGGGAAAGCGGGGGATGCTGGCCGCCTCACTGAGGGTCTGGCAGACCCCAGCCTAGCAGTCTTGCCCCAAGCACGGTGTCTGCAGCTGTGAGTGCAGGGGTGGAAGCAGAGGCTGAGGCTGAGCCTCACCGGGCCAGGCCGCTGGCTGCCCAGCCTGTGTCCTCTCGGAGCCCACCCGTTTCTTCCAGGCTTCCCCGGGAGAATCACCTGCTATTTTTCCACCTCCCTTAGCCCTGACTCCAGCCAGGCAGGGCCTCACCTGGGCTGGGGTCGGCAGGTGAACCAGACCTGGTGCCGGGTGCTGGTGCTGCCAGGGAAGAACGTCTCCAGGTCCTGGCGCTGGCAGGAGGAAGGTGTCCCTGGAGTTGAGGGCTTGTGCTCGCCACCCTAAGTGCTCTTTCCTTTGGGTCCAAGTGTGCTCTTCATTGCCATGGCCCCACGAGGCGGAAGGGCCTCCTCAGCAAGCCGCTTGGGGGTGACCTCCTGCTTCTCTTAGAGCCCTGACCCTGCACAGGGGGAAGGGAGCGTGGAAGGGGTGCATCGTGCAAGGAGGTGGAAAGCTGCTCTCTGGGCTGCCCCACCCTTCTCTGATCCGAGGCCCAGGGCAGCAGCCACCCTTATTTTCCTCGCCCTGGAACAAGTGTGCATGCAGCGGCTTCTGACACACACACATGTAATAAACAGACAAGGAAACACATTTAATCTGCTTTTCTCTTAAAGCACTCTGTGGACTGAGGCCTGGTGAGATAGGAAGACGGTGGGTCCCTGGCCCACTCTGCCTGGGAGCTGAGCTGTGGGGTCAGGCGCTCTGACACCTAGAGGAGACAAGACCCCCGCACCCTGGGGCCTCCCACACCCTGAGTTCCCAGCCCCGTCCCCCATCCCAGCCCCACCACCAACGCCTGGCAGCCACAGCGTCACCCCCGCTCCTGCGGCAGGGGAGTGTTGTCCTGGCGTCTCTTTCCTGGGATCCCAGCGCTTTGTAGTGACATTTAAGATGAAAAGAAAGGGAAGTCCTCCCTGCTCTAATGTGTACAGTTCAGGTTGGAAATTAGCATGAGAAAAGGAAACACTCTCCTTATCTCTGGGAGCGAATGGGCCAGCTCCTCCACTCCTGGGCCTTTGTCTACTGTCAATAATCACTTACCTTCAGGCCCATAAATGTCATTCTTGGGGTGCTCATAAACAGCCCCGTCTCTTTTTAAATTAGCAAGTAGAGATATTTATGGGTTTCTATTAAGGGTGGTGGGTGGGGGAGTCGGGAGCACTCGGCAGCTGTGATAAGGGAGAGGTTGGGGGGGCCTGCAGGAGGCACGGAACCCCCACCCAGCTTCCAAGGCGGGAGCCCCAGCTAAGGCTCCATGCAGACCCGCAGACCCTCACCACACTCCTGTGGGGACAGCTGGGGGACATCCATGGCTTGGTCGGGGGAAGGGGGCTGGAGGCCTAAAAATCACAAAGAGCGAACCACCTGTGGCAGAAGCCAGGTGGGGGTTGGTGGGCGCATGAGGGTGGGAGGGGCTCCAGCAGACGGGCAGATGATACCACCAATCCTGACTCCTGCCCCAGAGGGGCCGGGCCTCAGCTTCCCCAGCTGTGAAAAGGTGTGGCCAAGCCACTGTGGAGGCAGGTGAGGCCCCTGCACACGCAGTCACACCAAACATCCTATGCTCACATGCACACACTGTCCACTCGCAAAACTGCTCACACATATACTCACATGTACACACACACATTCACACACATTCACTCACACACAGTCATTCACATTCCCACATTCACATTCACACACACGTTCACACACATTCACACACCCACATTCACACAATTCACTTTCACACACATTCATTCTCACATTCACATTCACACACATTCACACACCCACATTCACACAATTCACTTTCCCACATTCTCACATTCACACTCACATTCACTCACGTTCCTTCACACACACATTCACATTTACACCCATTCACACACACATTCACACACATTGACTCACATTCACATATTCACTCACATACATTCACCCTCACACATTCAAACACACAAACACACAGCCTCCCACCTCTAAAATGTCTCTCCACACCTCCCACCCCTTCAGCTTCTCCCCCATCCCAACTCTTCCTTCATTTTAGATCCTTCTTCATTCCCAACTCCTCCCTCTTCCTGGTTTCTCTCTCATCCCAGCTCCTCTTTTTCCCCAGCTCCTCCCTCATCCCAGCTCCTCCCTCAGGTCCTCACTCTTCCCCAGATCCTCTCCAATCCCCAGCTTCTCCCTCATCCCAGCACCTCCCTCATTTCCAACTCCTTCCTCTTCCCAGATCCTCCCTCATCCCAGCTGCTCCCTCATTTCAGCTCCTCCCCAATTCCCAGCTTCTCCCTCACTGCAGTTCCTCCTCATCCCCAGCTCCTCCCTCCCAGCTCCCCCCATCCTCAGCTCCCCCTCATCCTCAGCTCCCCCTCACCCTCAGCTCTTCCCTCATCTCAGCTCCTCCTCACCCTCAGCTCCCCCCATCCTCAGCTCCCCCTCACCCTCAGCTCCTCCCTCATCTCAGCTCCCCCTCACCCTCAGCTCCTCCCTCACCCTCAGCTCCTCCCTCATCTCAGCTCCCCCTCACCCTCAGCTCCTCCCTCATCTCAGTTCCCCCTCACCCTCAGCTCCTCCCTCACCCTCAGCTCCTCCCTCATCTCAGCTCCCCCTCACCCTCAGCTCCTCCCTCATCCAGCTCCTCCCTCACCCTCAGCTCTTCCCTCATCCCAGCTCTTCCTGCATCCCCAACTCTTCCCCTCCTTCCCAGCAGCCACACTGCACACCAGAGCCGGAGTGATTTTTAACTTTCACTTCCGAATAATGTTAGATTTACAGAGTAGTGCAAAGACAGCACATAGAGTTTGGATGCCTCCCCCGCCCCCCTACTGTTTCATCTTGTCGCCTTCGTCACAGCCTGGCACGTGGCTCTTCCCTGAATTCCAGCCTTCCTTTGGGCTCCTGCTTTCCCAGTGCCGTTTGTCTGGTCCAGGACTCTGCACCATCTCCTGAGGCCCCGCTGGTCTAGGACGGCCTTGACAGCTTTTGGGGGCACTGCTTGACATCCTGCAGAGTGTCCCAGTCAGGGCTGGTCTTGGGGGTTGTCTCAGGGCCGGACTGGTGCCCTCCTCATCCCCTCCCACCAGGGTCAAAACCCCCGCCTGCCGGTCATGTGACTGCTCTCCCCCGGTGCCCTGTGTGTGGGGAGAGTCAGTGAAGCCCCCACTCAAATGGTTCAGCTCCTTCTCTGGGGACATCCAGCACGTTTCTTCAGATTCCTCTGTGAGGAAGATTGGAAGACATTCTTTTAAAACACAGATGGTCTCTGGTGCCCCCACGCCTCTCTTCCTCTGTGGCCCTCAGCCAAGGGATCATTTCAAGGGACCCCCAGCCCCACTCTGTCCCAGCCCCTCCTGTGGGGCCTTGCACACACGGGCACCCCTGAGACAGGCGAGGCCTGGACAGGTGCAGGAGGTGGGCCTGGAGCCGGTGGGTGGGGCTGGCTGGACGGCAGGTGGTCAGCGGGCGGCAGGCTCAGCTTGTCTCTGGCAGGAGGGCCCACGCCCTGTGTGCCAGGCTGCTGGGCCTCCCCGGACGGACCGGCTGCCCGAACCCCTCGGCTATGGCAAGCTTTCATGGTCTCTGCCTCCCTCGGTGTCAACACATGACATTGAGGTTAAAAATGTGCCAGGTGGATGAGTGACAGGCCTCCTTCACAGAAGGTGGCCACAGAAGCAACCTGCACATCTAAAGGCACGTGACAGCAGTCCAGTCCCCACGCAGTGAAGGGGCCCCATCCGCCCACCAAGAGGACAGGGTGCAGCAAGCCAGCTACCCCCTGAGTGCCCACTGCCTGCCCATGCCCTGCTGGGGGAAGAGGCAGCTGGGGGCCACCCGGCAGGGCTGACTGCATGGGACATACCCAGCTGTGCTTGCAGTCCCTGAGGAGGGCTGGCAGCCCCTTCAGGAGAAAGCGCAGCCACAGGATGGGATGCTGTGTGGACTCAGGTCCAGGGCTCCACCACACCCCAAGTCTCTCTGGCCCCCAACCTTACCCCATCCCACCCTGTGCCCGAGTTGGCATCATCCAATCTCCACTTGGCATCATCCAAGGTGCAGACTGGATGCAGATCATCCAGTCTGAGTTTTAGGAGACTTTGACAGGGGAGATGGCTGCGGTCTGGCAGGGGCCACACCAGGGGAAAGAAAGGCAGTGACAGGCACAGGCAGTGCCCCTGACAGAGGGGTGGCCTGGGAGGGGGGCTGTCAAGGGGGTTGCTGAAGGTATGGCAGGAAGACAGAGAGGCAGGACGGGGAGCGCCTTGCCCGAAGCTGAGTACAGGTGGCGGCTGTCCAGCAGGGGGAGGGAGGGGTCTCCATGATACTGAGTGGCAGAGGAAGGTGCTGGACACTGCCCCCACCCAGGAAATGGCCTGGCACCCCTGGGGTCCTAAACAAGCCAATCTCCCTCCTTGCCAGAGAGCAGGAGCTGGGGGCAGAATGAGGAGGCTGCTGGGTCCCCAGCATGGGTTGGGAGAGCCATCATTCTTGGAGGCCTGATAAGGGGTGGGAAGGGAGAGGGCCACCCTGAGACCCAGGCATACAGGACAGTCCACTGAGCCTGGGGTCACCAGGGGCACCTCACCCCCGGGACCCCCTGCAAGCCACCCGGGGTGAAGTGGCCCCAGGGCAGTGTGAGAATTCCACACCCCCCACCTGCCCGGCTGTGGGCTGCAGCCTCCCTCCTGGCCATCCCAGCAGCATCTGCAGCTGGGCCTATGCGGTGAGTCCACCTTAAGTGGGTTTGATCGGCCCGTGCACTGGTGAGAGCATGCTAATATTGGCTCCAATAAAGAGCAAATCAGGGCCCTAGTCGACGCGTCTTATCACACAGTCAGAACTGATGGCTGCAGAAGTCATAAAGATCCCATTTAATCTCGCGCCTATCTATCACGCGGCTGCCTTCATCCTCTTTGTGCCGGGGTAATATGTGCTCATTACAAAAGCAAAACAGATCTGGCATGAATAAACGCAGGATGAAGTGCTCACTCGGAAAGTGACAGCATGATCAGTGGCGGCAGTAATCGCAGAGAATCGCGGGCTAAATTATTCCATAACCGTGATTTGAGGGGACAGCCCAGAGCACCCCACAGCTGCCTGCAGCACAGCGACGTGTCCTGATAAAACATCCTTCCCAATTTACGGGGCCGCGCTTGACTAATCTGCCTCCGCGCGCACACTGTCTAATCATGCCATCAGCACCGCGAGAAGGGGCTCAATTGGGACTCCAATGAAAGGAGATTGGAAAACTACCCTCAATTGAAATTACATTTGTAAATGAGGCAGAGTTTTCTGTTCAGAGTGTGAACGTTACGGTAAATCTGCTCCAGAAAGTCGAAGAGGCGGCAGCGGTGGGCAGGCCGGGGACGCCGCAGGGGCGACTGGGACTGTGCCCCGGCTGGGGCCAGGGTCCACATTCTGGAGAGGTGCCCGGCACCATGCTGGCCCCTGGGGACAGCCCCAGGAGAGGAGAGGGGCTGTGGCGGAAGCCCGGAGAGTTGGGCCTAGTTTGTCAGACATCAGACTTCACTTCCCACTCTGTAAAATGGGGCGCAGGGCGGCCTCCTTGAGGGAGGGGGTAAGACAGAACGAGGGGTGAGTCAGAGCTTAGTTGGTCTCCTCTCTGCCTTCCAAGGGTGCCCCCGCCCCTCCCTCCCACACTGCACACTGTTCCCGGCCCCTCCCTCCCTCCAGCCCTCTGTGCATCTGGTAGTGTTCCGGGTCCTCTCTGAGGCAACTGAGCGGGTACGGTGGGGACAGGGGCACTTCCCGCACCAGGGTGTTGGGTCTGAGGCTGTCCTCGTGGTAGGGGAGGGCTGGACCCAGATCACCTGCCTGACCACGTGCCCAGGACATTGGCCAGGCACACTCACTGGGACACTGCAGGAGGGGAGCACACAGGGAGAGCAGAGGGGACCATGTGCCAGACGAATGGACCTGCCCCCTCCAGGACAGTGGCGAACCCAGGGGAAGGTGGCCTTGGGCCCTGGAGGTCCTCTCCCAGACAGAGGCAGGGCCTGTGCTCAGGGCTCAGGGATGGCCATGCGGACCCCGCCAGCAGACGGAGCCTGGACGCCAGCAGCTCCCGTGGCCACAGGGTGCGGGGTGGTAGGGGGGCTACTGCCTGCTGGTCTCACCTCGTGGACTGCTGGCCAGAGTGGCCCCAGCAGCAGCGGTGAGGTACCCAGCACCTCCTCAAAGGCCTTTATGTAAATCAAGTCCTAATTAGGCCATCCGGCGTTTGTGTAGAATATCATTTTTTTAATTACCAGCCCTGGGCAGGTTCCCCGGCTGCCTGTTGTGCGCCAATTACCATAAATCCCCCGGTAACAATTAACAATGTTGGAGCGAGCTGCATGTATTTCCAATGTTATAATTATGCGCGGCGCTCTTGTTAATTGGCCTATCTGACTCTGTACTTTTTATGCCGCTCATCTGCTCATTACCGCGGCCATTTAATTCAATTAGCACCTTAATTAGAGGGACAGCCTTGTCCAATGTCGGGGCCTTGTCAGGGAGCCGCCTGATGAGCAGAGACAAACACAGGCTCTGCCGGGACCAGGCAGCCGCAGGGCTGCGGGTCGGGGGCTGCAGGTGAGGGGCTGCGGGGGTGCAGGTGGGGGGCTGTGGGGGTGCTGCCCGGGGATGCTCTGGGGGTTCTCCCCATGCCCTTGACCTGGCTGCCCTTGCAGGCCGGGGTGAGCAGCCACAGCACGATTCCTGCCTGCGATTCCTGCCTGCCCTGAGCGCCTTCCCCTGCCACGACCTTCAGGCGCCTGGGAAGGTCTGCAGTCCTGGCTGTCAACACCCCCAGGCCCCCCCCAAGCCTGGACACGGCCCCCAGACCGGCACGATGTCCAGGCTAGGTTTTGTTTTGTGCCAGTCTATTGAAATCGCTATTCCCTGCCTATTAATTCTCCTAATTAGAATTAAATGAAGCATGCTAAATTGCTAGATTAACCAATAATTAAGCAGCCACTGCACTAAAACTGAACACCCCGGGTGGCCTGCACCCCGTCTGCGTGCAAGTGCCAGGGGCGGGCGTGCCAGGCAGGAGGGGCCGACCAGCCTTGGGGACAGCGGTGCGTGCGCTAGTGCCCGCACCCGGTGTGTAGAAGGGCGCGAGCGTTGGCGTGAGAGCCGGTGTGGCCTGGAAGCTCTGCAGGAACGTGTGGGGGTAGGAGGTGAGGGGACCCTCAGTTACGGGGAGAGGGCATCACACGGGCCTTGCTGGGGGCAGAAGATTTGTCGTGAGCGCGACAGACCCACTAGACTCTGCAGGTCCCCATGGGAAGCGCCCTGCCCTCCACGCCCACCTACGAGGTCGCGACCCCCCTACCCCGAACCGCCCTCTGCAGACAACGAGGCTCGGAGGAGGCAAGCAGCGAACCAAAGCTCCCACCGTCACCAGGGAAGGGAGGGGAGGGCAGGGCAGGGAAGGGGCGGAGGAGGGGAGAGAAGAGGGGGAGAGGAGAGAAGAGGGGGAGGGGAGAGAAGAGGGGGAGGGGAGAGAAGAGGGGGAGGGGAGAGAAGAGGGGGAGGGGAGAGAAGAGGGGGAGGGGAGAGAAGAGGGGGAGGGGAGAGAAGAGGGGGAGGGGAGAGAAGAGGGGGAGGAGAGGGGTCGCCTCTCGAGGCAGAGCAGGCGGGAAAGGGCGCGGCCCGGCTGCGACACCCCTAGGCCCCCCACCCCCGCAGGCGCAGAGCCGGGGCGCTCCCCCCATTGCACCGCCCGCCCTCCAGGCCGGAATCGAGGTCCCCTTCCCAGCGCTGCTGGACGCCCCTCCCGAGCGCTCCCGAATCCGACCAGCCCGGAGGCGGCTGCGCCTCCAGGGGCTCCCGTCAGGCCCCTGCCCCCCCTGCCCTCCCTGCCCTGGCGCGCCCCCGCCCCTAGCCGCCATCCCCGCCCGAGGGTCCCAGCCAGAGCCCCGGCCCCCGGCCCCGCCCGCGCCTGCTGGGCGCCCCCTGGTGGCCTCGGCTGGGCCCTGCCGCTGCGCCCACGGCCCTCGTGGGAGGCCCCTCCCTACCCCGGCCGCCCTCGGGCCCCCACGGTCTACTACCCCATGGGGACCGGCATGTCAAGCCCCTGCGTGGGCGCCTGCGCCACCCCCCCGCCCTCCGCACTCGCCCCCTTGTCCCAGCCCCGCGTCCTGGGGAGGAGGCTTGGGCCGCAGCCCAGCACCCAGAAGTGCAACGCGCACGGGTGGGGCCAGGCTCGAGTCAGCCGGTGACGCAGCCTCTGTGTGACCAGGGCGGATGGCCCGACCTCTCTGAGCCCCCGTTTCCCCGCCTGTAAAAGGGGGTGGGGCTGCCTCCCAGCGCCGCTGCGAGGCGTGAGTGAGTTACGACTCAGAACGCCCAGGTCCGAGGTGAGCACACGCGACACCCGCGAGCCACGGCCACGCGTGTCCCCAGGGCGCCTCCCGCCACGGGCTGGCCAGGAGTGTCCGCGCTGTGGGGATACGAAGGGGCGCGGCCCCAGCGCTGCGGGGCCCGCAGGGAGGGCGCAGGGGCCGAGCATCCGCCCCGGGGCATCCACCCATCAGGCCTCGCCGTAAACTTCCTCCTAACAGCCGCTCCTGCAGCCGGAAGATATTGACTCGAAGGAGAAACAATGGCAGGAATAAAATAAAAATAAAAAAGTTAATTATCCTTTGTGTTTGTAATTTAATTAAAGATGCAGTAAAGTTTTACTGTTTTTCCAGGTGATGATGTTTAGAGCCCCGAGAAGCTATTTGTGCTGGTGAGATTAAAGTGCATTTTAAAATGTTCCTCCAGTACTTTCACATTTGTTGATAGATTTTTAAATTAAACTTTAAATTGTAATCTAAATTACCTCCAACAATTCATGGTCCCTGTAATGAACTCCCACCGTTCCCGCTGTCATCCGTCGATGATGGAGTGCGAGCCGGGAGCTGCAGCCCCGCGGCCGCCGAACCAACCGCGGAGGCCAGGCAGCCTCGCCCCAGGGACCCCGCCCACGGCGCCCTACACCGGCGGCCAGTCAGGGAGGCCAACGCCGCGAGACGGAAGCAGCCATACCCCGCGGGCCACCAGTGTGGCCAGAAAAGATCTGCAGGGATGTGAGGGCAGCTCAGAGCTGAGATCTAAGGCTGGGGCAGAACCGGACGGCGCAACAAGCTAGGGAGAAAGCATCCCCGGCGCGGGGTGCACGGAGCCCCAGACCCCACCCGCCTCCCGCCCGGACCCCGCCTCCACTCAGGGAGCCGGGCCCCACCTCCCGCCCTAGGCCCCGCCTCCTACCTCGGGCCCCACCTCCCGCCTAGGCCCTGCCTCCTGCCCAGGCCCTGCCCCCAACTCAGGGCCCCGCCTCCCGCCCAGGCCACGCCTCCCACTGAGGACCCTGCCTCCCGCTCAGGGACCCGCCTCCTGCCCGAGCCCTCCCTCCCTCCCAGGTCCTGCCTCCCGTCCAGGTCCCCGCCTCCCACTCAAGGCCCCGCCTCCCACCCAGGCCCCGCCTCCCACTCAAGGCCCCGCCTCCCACCCAGGTCCCCCCCTCTAACCTGGGCCACGGCTCCCACTCAGGGCCCCGCCTCCCACCCAGGCACCGCCTCTCACCCAGGCCCCGCCTCCACTCAGGGCCCCGCCTCCCACCCAGGCCCCCCCTCTAACCTGGGCCACGGCTCCCACTCAGGGCCCCGCCTCCCACCCAGGCACCGCCTCTCACCCAGGCCCCGCCTCCACTCAGGGCCCCGCCTCCCACCCAGGCCCCCCCTCTAACCTGGGCCACGGCTCCCACTCAGGGCCCCGCCTCCCACCCAGGCACCGCCTCTCACCCAGGCCCCGCCTCCACTCAGGGCCCCGCCTCCCACCCAGGCCCCCCCTCTAACCTGGGCCACGGCTCCCACTCAGGGCCCCGCCTCCCACCCAGGCACCGCCTCTCACCCAGGTCCCGCCTCCACTCAGGGCCCCGCTTCCCACTCAGAGCCCCACCTCTGCTCAGGGCCCCGCCTGCGGCCCAGGCCCCGCCCCTCACCCTGGCCTCGCCTCCTGTGGTCTTGCATGCCACAGTTGCTCAGACCAGACTTTCATCATAATGTCCCCTCCCTTACAGAAGTAGAAGTTAAAGACAAAACCAATTTTGAGTTTCCAATTTTCTCCAAATGTTCTAGAAATCGGTCATTTTCTTAAATATTTAACTGTTACCTGAATTTTCTCTTCCTCGTGGTCCTGCATATCTGGAATATTACTGGCAAAACCCAATTAGACTTTTAAGACATGTATGTGTTTCTAAGCAGGCCAAATATCTTTTTTTGTTTTGTTTTGTTTTTAAGACAGAGCTTTGCTCTTGTCGCCCAGGCTGGAGTGCAATGGGGCAGTCTTGGCTCACTGCGACCTCTGCCTCTGGGTTCAAGCAATTCTCCTGCCCAGGCTCCCAAGTAACTGGGATTACAGGCACCCGCCACCATACCCAGCTAATTTTTATATTTTTAGTAGAGACAGGGTTTCTCCATGTTGCCCTGGCTGGTCTCGAACTCCTGACCTCAGGTGATCTGCCCTCCTCATCCTCCCAAAGTGCTGGGATTACAGGCTTGAGCCACCATGCCCAGCATTTTTTTTTTTTGATATAGGGTCTTGCTCTGTCATCTGGGTGTGAGTGCAGTGGTGTGATCACAGCTCACTGCAGCCTCCTCCAACTCCTGAGCTCAAGTGATCCTCCTGCCTTGGCCTCCCAAAGTGCTGGGATTACAGGTGTGAGCCATCACTCCCCACCCAAAATTTCTTTACATCAGCCACACAGAGCTCCTTGACTACTTGAAGGCAGCACATGGCAAACAGCCGAACCTTGTCAGCAATCCAAGAAATGAGCTTTAGGACAGCAAGGAGACGCCATTCTCATGTCACGTTTCAGCGTTTACTACTGATATGATAAGAAGGGTCCCTGCCGTGGGGGCAGTGTGGCAGGGCAGATGCTCTGTGACCTATACTCCAGCCAGGCCACGGCCATCAGGGCATGCTGCCTAGCAGGGCTGGACAGAGTCCACGGCGTTCCTCCTGGACCCAGCTGAACGACACTCCCCTCCCTGCCACGGACGTCACCACCACCCCGCGGGGAAAGACCAGAAGGGCAGGGAGTGAGCCAGTGCCATGTATGCCACCTACACAGACCCAAGAGAGAGTGGACGGGAGGCCCTGCACCCTGCACCCAGGCTGGGAAGACCAGGAGGAGGCTGGCGGCCCTGGCTGAGACCCCATTTGGAGGCTGACCTTGGCCTCAGAGAGCCACCCAGCCCGAGATCAGTCCTCTCCCGCCTGCGATCTCAGCACTTTGGGAGGCCGAGGCGGGAGGAGCTCTTGAGCCCAGGAGTTCAAGACCAGCCTGGGCAAAATGGTGAGACCCCATCTCTACAAAAACAAAAATTAGCCAGGTGTGTGGTGGCGCACATCTGTAGTCCTAGCTACTAGAGAGGGTGAGACAGGAGGATCACTGGAGCCCAGGAGGTCGAGTCTGCCATGAACTATGTTCCCCACTGCACTCCAACATGGGCAACAGAGTGAGACCCTGTCTCAACTAAAGCAAAACAAAAAATAGCTACATATATAGGCAGGATCCAGAGAAAAACCTTGGGATTGGATTTCTAGGTCCCAGATGAAGGGATCAGCCTGGATGAGCAAGAATGCATTGATTTGACGACTCTTTCTTGGTCATGAGAATTAACATCCTGTCAAGAACCTGGGTGATAGGGCAAACTCACTGCTAGTTGGCTCTTAGGAGCCTAAACAAAGTGATAGTTAACTCTCAGTGAAATGGCAATGTCCAGTTGTCCTGGGAGATGGCAAAGGGAGATGGGTGTGCTGGGTGAACACACTGTGGGTGCCAGAGACCCAGCAAAATCATGTTCTCTGGGAGGGCCAGAGGCTGTCGAGAGTGCACTGGGGAGGGGACCAGCACCAAGAGGAGGTGGGCGGAGTGTCCTCTGCAGGCAGGGTACAGTTAGAGATGGGAGAAAAGCAAAGGAAGCGGGGTCCCAGGTCTGCCCCATGAAGAAGAGCGGGACCAGCAGGAGGCAAGGTGGCCACATCTTAGACCCAGCACAGGCCTAAGGCCAAAGTCACTGGTCAGAGGAGTCTCGTGTCTCCCTTGGGGAACGAGCCATTCACTGGCTTCCCTGTGCTTGATCTGTGCTCCCAGGAGGACAATAATCTCTGGTCTGTGCCAGCAGGGATCAAGCACTTTGCATGATCACCTCATGTGCTTCTCACACGTCTCATGTGCAGCTCCGGTTACAAGGCACAGCAAGTGTGCACAACCCTCCCAGTCCTGCAGCTCCCAGCAGCTCAGGTGGAGCCATCCTGGCCTTTGTGCTCCTGACCCTGCTGCTGTGCTCCGCCTGATACCTGTCCCTCCTCCCGGGGCTTGTGCGAGGATTGAAGCGTTAGTGTCGTTCTTGCCGGCTCATGGGTGGGCACCTGCCTGCTTTCACCACCTGCCGCCAGCTTGCTTTCCAGGAGACGTCCTCTCCAGCCAGAGGTTCTCCTTGGCCCACATCCTTGTCAATCCTGGGAACTATACAATTATCTAATTTTTGCCTCTCTGATGGGTGCAGAGTTTATCTCACTGCTGTTTCCATTTGCGTCTTTCTGATCACTGGAGAAGCTGAACAACCACTCCTTGTCTATCATCAGCCATTCAGGTTCTCTCTGAGAATCTCCTGTTCGTGTCTCTGCCCCTTTTTCTTTTGGAGGCCTTGTCTTCTTCAAGGTGATTGATGGCTGTTTCCTGTGTATTCTATCAATCCCTTGTGGGTTTCAGATGTTGCGATATCATCTATTCCTCTGTCGTCCATTCATTAACATGGCCTATCGAATTCTTTGTCAAACAGAATCCTTCATTTTGATATATTCAAATCCATCCATTTTTCATCTTATGATTTGTTCTTTTGGAGTCTTGCTTAAGAAATATTTTCCTATCCAAGGTCACAAAGAAATTCCACAGCATTTTCTCCTATGAGCCTACAGCTTTACCGTTTACATTTAGGTCCTGAATCTCTTATGTTTAGGTTTCTCTTTGTATATGGTATGAGGTAGGGATCCTGCCTTCCATTTTCCATAAAGTGAGGCAATTTTCCCAACATTATATGTTGCAGTTACTATTTCTGCATAACAAATTATTCTACAACCTTGCATCTTAAAACAAGTATCTTAATTTGCTCACATTTTTGAGCATGAGTAACTTGGGAAAGGTTCAGCAAGGGCAGCTCTTATTTGGGAAGAGAGAAAGTGGCATGTGGCTGCACCTGGATGTCAGCTGGGGCTAGAGCCACCTGGGCTGGATGTCCCCATTGGCCACTCCCGTGGCTGGCAATGGAGGCTGGCTGTCAGCTGGGAGCTTGGCTGGGCTGTCAACACAAATGCTTACATGTGGCCCCTCCAGCATGGCGGTCTTGAGACAGTCAGACTTTTTACTCTGTGCCTGGCTGCCCCTATGGCAAGTGTCCCAAGAGGACAGGCAGAGGCTGCATGGCCTTCTCTGACCTAGCCTCGAAAGTCATGCAGTGTCATTTGCATTGCATTCTGTTGGTTACATGTAAGTCACAAGGGCCAATCCAGAGTTAAGGAGAGGAGACAGACTTCACCTTTCAGTGGGAGGAATGTCATGGTATTTGCAGACTTGTTTTTTTAATTAATTAATTTTTTAACTGACTAAAATTATATATGTTTACTATGTACAAGATGATGTTTTGAAATATGCATACATTGTGGAATGGCTAAATTTAGCTAAGTAACAAATTTAGCTAAATAACCTCATATGCTTATCATTTTTTGTAGTGAGAACACAAAATCTACTCTCAATGACTTTCAACAACACAATATATGATTAATTATAGTCACACGTTGTACAGTAGATCTCTTGAACTTACTCTTCCAATCTATTAATAACTGAAATTTTGTACCTTTTGACTAATAATGTCTCTACTCTCTCTCTCTCTCTCTTTTTTTTTTTTTTTTTTTTTTTGGAGACAGAGTCTTGCTCTGTCACTCAGGCTGGATGGAGTACAGTAGCACAATCTTGGCTCACTGCAACCTCTGCCTCCCAGGTTCAAGCAATTCTCCTGCCTCAGTCTCCTCAGTAGCTGGGATTACAGGCGCATGCCACCACACCCAGCTAATTTTTGTTTTAGTAGGGACGGGGTTTCACCACATTGGCCAGGCTGATCTCGAACTCCTGGCCTCAAATGATCTGCCTGCCTCGGCCTCCCAAAGTGCTGAGATTACAGGTGTGAGCCACTGCACCCGGCCCAATGTCTCTACCCTCTACATCTCAGTTCAACTTCTTTAGAGTCCACACATGAGTGGATCACGCAGTATTTGTCTTTCTGTGCCTAGCTTATTTTGCTGAACATAAGGTCCTCCATGTTCATCCACATTGTCAATAACAGGATTTCCTTCTCTTTGTTTCTGAGACAGGGTCTCACTCTGTCACCCAGGCTAGAGTGCAGTAGCAATCTTGGCTTACTGCAGCCTTGACTTCCCAGGCTCAGGTGATCCTCCCACCTTGGCCTCCCAAGTAGCTGGGACTACAGGAATGCGCCACCACACCTGGCTAATTTGTGTGTGTGTGTGTGTATTTTTAGTACAGACAGGGTTTCACCATGTTGCTTGGGCTGGCTTTGAACTCCTGGGATCAAGCAATCCTCCCGCCTCAGCCTCCCAAAGTGCTGGGATTATAGGCATGAGCCACCTCACCCAGCTTCCTTCTTTTTAAAGGCTGAGTAGTACTCAATTGTGTATATAGACCACATTTCCTTTATTCATCTGTCAATGGATACTTAGATTGATTCCATGTCTTGGCTGTTACAAATAGTACTATCATGAACATGGGCGTGCAGGTCTCTCTTGGTGAGACTGATTTTTTTTTTATTTTTTGAGACAGAGTTTCCCTCTTGTTGCCCAGGCTGGAGTGCAGTGGCGCGATCTCGGCTCACCACAATCTCTGCCTCCTGGGTTCAAGCGATTCTCCTGACTCAGCCTCCCGAGTATCTAGGAGTACAGGCATGCACCACCATGCCCAGCTAATTTTTTGTATTTTTAGTAGAGACGGGGTTTCATCATGTTGGCCAGGCTGGTCTCAAACTCCTGACCTCAGGTGGTCCACCCCCCCAGCCATGAAGCTGATTTTATTTTCTTTCAATATATTCTCAGAAGTTGAGGCCAGGCGCGGTGGCTCACACCTGTAATCCCAGCACTTTGGGGGTCCGAGGCGGGCGGATCACGAGGTCAGAAGATCGAGACCATCCTGGCTAACACGGTGAAACCCTGTCTCTACTAAAAAAATATATATATAAAAAATTAGCCAGGTGTGGTGGCGGGCGCCTGTAGTCCCAGCTACTCGGGAGGCTGAGGCAGGAGAATGGTGTGAACCTGGGAGGCAGAGCTTTCAGTGAGCCAAGATCGCGCCACTGCACTCCAGCCTGGGCAACAGAGCGAGACTCCGTCTCAAAAAAAAAAAAAAAAGAAGAAGAAGTTGAATTGCTGAATCATGTGGTGGTCTATTCTTAATTTTTTGAAGCACCTCTGTACTCTTTTCCACTTTTCTCCACATCCTCACCAACACTTGTTATCTTTCATCTTTTTGATAGTAGCTGTTCTAAAAGGTGTCGGGTGATATCTCACTGGGATTTTGATTTTGATTTCCCTGACTGTTCATGACACTGGGTGACTTTTTACAACCCGTTGGCCATTTGTGTGTCTTCTTTTGAGAAATGTCTACTTAGGTCCTTTGCCAATTTTTCAATCAGGTTATTTGTTTTCCTGCTATTGGGTTGTTTGAGTTCCTAGTATATTTTCGATATGAACCCCTCATCAGATGGGCAGTTTATAACCATTTTCTCCCATTCCACTGGTTGTCTCTTCACTCTGCTGATTGTTTCCTTTACTGTGCAAAAACTTTTTAGTGTGACATACTTCCAATTATCTATTTTCTCTTTTGTTGCCTGTGCTTTTGGGGTCATATCCAAAAAATCATTACCCAGACCAATGTCATGAAGCTTTTCCCAAACCTGTTGCTTAAAAACAGTAGGCATTTTTAAAACCTCTTCCCTTTCTGGCCGGGCACAGTGGTTTACGTCTGTAATCCCAGCACTTTGAAAGGCCGAGGCAGGCAGATCATTTGAGGCCAGGAGTTCAAGATCAGCCCGACCAACATGGTGAAACCCCATCTCTACTAGAAATACAAAAATTAGCTAGGCGTGGTGGTGCATGCCTGTAATCCCAGCTACTCAGGAGGCTGAGGAAGGAGAATCGCTTGAACCCAGGAGGCAGAAGTTGCAGTGAGCTGAGATTGCGCCACTGCACTCCAGCCTAGGTGACAGAGCGAGACTCTGCCTCGAAAATAAAAAAACCTCCTCCCTTTCCAAAGACATATTATATCACCCTGTGACATCAAGCTGCCACAAAAACATGGATTTATCAGGGGGAATCTGTCTTCAGTTTTATTATTTATTTGTTCCAGTGCCATTGGCGTACTGTTTTTATGTCTTTGTAGCATGTTTTAATACATTTTATAACCGTAGGCAATTTTAATAAATTTTAAATGATTGTATTTTAATTTATATTTAATATTTTAATAAATGTAGGGTAATTCCCCCTCCCTTTGCTCTTTTTCGAAGACTAAGATGTCCTTGTATCTTCATTTTTCAATGTACATTTTAAAATTAGTTTATTACACTTCTCAAAAATCTTTCATTTGAATTATATTTAATTTACAGATTAATTCAGGGAATACTAGCATCCTTAATGCTAAGTCAGCCATCGGCGGCTGTGATGCAGCTCTGCTTTCATGCCCGCCTTTTCAGCAGACTGGGATTTTCCCATTCTCCAAATAGGGTCTGGTGCGTCCTTCCTCAGGTGAATTCCTAGGTCCTCAATTGTTTCAACACTGTTGTGGTGGTTCCCCATTTGCAGTTTCTGTTTTCCCTCAGAACACTAGTGATGTTTGTAAGATAATTGTGGTGGTTTACAAATATGCTCCCAGATTCTTCAGTGCCCTTCCCTTCAAGAGGTGGAGCTTAATTCCACTCGCTTTGAGTGTGGGCTGTGCTTAGTGATCTCTTCTTATGAACAGAATGTGGCAGAAATGATGGTGCGTGACTGCCGAGAACTGGACATCAAAGGCCCTGTGGTGCCCTCCTTACTTGCTGGCTTCCAGGTCACTTGCTGGGGGTGGGGGCACCTGCTGTGTCATGAGGACATCCAAGTACGGGCAGGTCCACATGGTCAGGAAAGAACCTTCCACCAATGCCAGTAAGGAGATGAGGTCTTCTATGAGTGAAGCTATCCTCAAGACGAATTCTCCAGCCCAGGCAAGCCTTCAGGTGACTTCAGCTCCAGCCAGCACTTCAATCTCAGCTTCCTGAGAGACCCTGAGCCAGAACCACCCAACTTAGCTGCTCCCAAGTGCCTGCTCCCATGCTTTGAAAAAATAAATGTTTATTGTTCTGAGCTGCTAAACTTGAGAGTAATTTATTATGCATAAATGGACAATGATACAATGATCTTGTATCAGTCAGCTTTGCTAAATCGTTTTATAAGTTCTATTGATGTATCTGCAGATTCTGTTGGGCTTTGTGTGTAGGTAATCACATCATCTGCATATGATGGCAGTGTGTTCCTCCCTTTCCAATCCAGTACTTCCTATGCATTTTTCTTATCTTATTCTATTCATCCTGGTGACGAATTTGAGAAATAGACATGATATTCCTTTATCTCGTACTCGCTTCTATGGGAGATGCTGTGTAAAGTTTTTCTAATAAATAGTGATGTTGCTGTCAGTCTTTAAATAGGTAGCTTTTGATCAAGTTAAGAAAATGTTCTGTCCATTACTAGTTTTCTGAGAGTTTAAACAATAAATAGAGATCCAGTGCTATCAAATCCTTTTTTAATCTGTACAGATAATCATGCAATTCTTCCCCTCTAGTCCATTCACGAGGTAAATCATGTCAATAGATTTTTCTGATGTTGAACCATCTTTGCATTCCTGAAATAAACCTATTTGATAATGATTTTTAGAAACATACACTTGGGGTTGGTTGGTTATATTTTATTTATAATTTTTTTATTGAAAGGCCTTACAATTGTCTTTTCTGATTTTGGAATAAGAGTGTTGCTTGCCCATAAAATGAGGTGCAGGACATTTCTTTTTTTTCTGTTCTCTGGAAGAGTTTGCATGAGAAATAATTTCTCTTTCTTGAAGATTTTTAGTGGGGAATTATTTGTTTTCCATTTCAATTTCTTTCTTTTTCTCATTTCAATTTTCAATAGCTAATGGATATTAGTCTTTTACATTTTCTGTTTACTGTGGTGTCAATTTGGCACTTTATATTTTTACAGAAATGTATTCGTTTTATTTGGGCTTTCTGAATATATTAGTGTATAGTCATTCATAATTTTCCCTTCATTATTTTTGCCATTATTTTCCATTTTTATTCTATATTTACTTTGCTTCTTCTCTCCTTTGTCATCAGTATTGCCTGTCTTATTATATTTACAAGGTCCAGTTTTAACTTTGAAAATCTTCTCTGACTTTTTAATGTTAAAAATGTTTTCTATTTCACTGATTTCTGCTTTTTCTTTATTTACATCTTGTTTCCTTAGCTATATCTTTAGTTCTTTTTCTAGCCTATTGAGTTAAATGCTTTGCTCATTTATTTTTGACTTTTGTTTGTATTCTGATAAGTTTATTCAAAATCATAATTTTTTTTCTCTAGGTACTGCTTTGGGTATGTCTCACAGCTCCTGACACACAGAGCTTTAAATGTTGTATAATTTCTTTATGATTTTTCCCTTAACCAGGGGTATTCAGTACTTATGATTTTTCTTCCCAGATATCTGGACTTTCCTTTTTTTTACAATTCTTTTATTTATTGTATTGCATTATAGTGAAAGGATACAGTCTTTATTATGCCAATTCTTTGAAATTTATCACATTTTCTTTTGTGGCTGAAATAAGCAGCCCGACTCCATTTTTTGATGTCTGGCTGCCAACAGCTTTTAAGTGTCCCTCCCTTTTCTCCTGTGCCCCACATCTGGACAAGCTGATAAGAAAGCCCGGGTGCTCCCTCATTTGATGCTGGTGGGGAATTCAAACCACAGAAGGCCCTGCCTGCACATGAAAACTCTCACCCAGGTCCAGCCCTGAACCACAATAAAAACCTTTCCATTCCTTGCTCTCTCAAGCCATTCTTGACCTGCTTGGGAGGCGTGCCCTGCTCTCCTCAGAGACCTCAGTTATGCAAACAATCCAAACCATTTCAAGCCCTGTTGGTGTGTATGTGTGAAGCCATCCGTTCCCAATATTTGAAACAAATTTTGGGTAGGTTGCCTCTGAAGGTGACCATACAGTAGCCTAGCACATGGCCTGTTTTTGTGAATAATAAGTGTGCACAAAAGAAATCTGTATTCTCCATGAGATGTGTAAACTGATAGATAATAGAGGTAATTCAATTAATTTATTATGCCATTCAAATTAAATAGACTTACTTTTGTATATTTAATCTATTGTTTTATAAGAGGAATTTGTCGAAAATTCTAAATAACACAGTTTAGTCATATATTTCTCCTGGTAATATTCTCAGTTGTAGTTTTATATGTTCTAAGACTATATTATTTAATGCATATATATATATATATATATATATATATATATATATATATATATATAATCATTCTATGTTCTTGGTCTGTTGTTCTTTTGAACTAGTCCCTAATATTCTTCTTTGTCTTTTGTGATTTTTTGGCCTTATTTCTATTTTGTCTGACATTAGAATTGCTATCCCACATTGCTTTGGGTGTACATATTTGCCTGGTGTATCTCTTTTCCATCCCTTGATTTTCAATCTTTCTGTGCCCTTTCTCCTTTAAAATGTGTCTTCTCTAAGGAGCATACAGCAGCAGTTTGTTTTTCGTTCAACCTGTGAGTCTCTACTTTCAGATCATTGAGTCTAACTCATTTACATTTATTGTACTCACTGTTGCATTAGGGTTTATTTCTGCAGGCTGGCCCCCCTCTGGACACACTGTGGACTCTGCACTCCGGGACCTGTGATGCACCTAAAGAAGCCAGCCACCCCTGTACTTGCCAGGAATGAAGGAGAGAGAATGCGCATGCACATGTACCCCATGACATTCCTACAGAGAGTGTTGGCCATGGCATGGTAAGCTCTGCCAGGATGGGGTGGCAGTCAGTCTTGTTTCCCACAGCAACTGCAACACCCCACACAAGGCCCACCTGCACATCAAATACCCTAGTTCATGTTATTGTGAGTGGACAAAGGAATAGGTAGGTCCTGGTTCCTTCTGAGCACATGGTCTGGCCTGAGGCCCTACCCTACTTTCAGCTCCTTCTGGGTGTGAGTTTGGGATCCATCCAGGGGCCTGGGAGTCCCTGGAGGGAAAGCATGACCCAGAGAGGGATCTTAGCAGCAGAAGGAAACCCAGAGACCCTGAGCTGAGGGACTCCCCAGAGGGCCGCAGGAGGTCACCCTCCAGGGCTCCTCCTTCCTTTACAAATTGGGAAGCTCCACCCCGAAGGCCAGCTGCCCACCCCTTTCTGGCTGCTGACACAAGTTTTGGGGGCCTCCTTCTTGGGTGCAGGGTAGAAAGAGAAGACTTTAAATACAGTGAAACGGGAGAGTGGATATTTAAGCCCAAAGCAGTCGGTCACCCCAGACCACAGGCTGAGCCCAGCACCATACGGCTGGATGATAAATGGATGCTATTTTTAAAGAGAGACGCTGCTAAGATCGTTTCTATTTGTTCTGTGGGGTTTGTCGGGCCGCTGTGCCTACGTGTTAATGCAGCTCTCTGAGGAAGATAAACTGGAGAGGCTGAGCTCTGAACCCACCTGATACCATCAAACACCCCAGGGAAAAAAAAATGCCACGTAATAATCTCGTGAAGGTTTTCTAAATTAAGACCAAACAGATGACCGGCTGTGCACGGCGCGTACCAGCCACGTCCACACGCGGCCCCATCAGTCTCCGTGGGCGGAGCGAGGGCTCCGGGAGGCAGCGTCAGAGCGCGCAGGCCTGGAGGGCGCGAGGCCGAGACCACACAGATTACCCCCAAAGTCCCGGAGGGGCAGGGCCCAAGCCCAGGATTCCTGAGCAAGGCCGAGGGGGCCAGGGGGCAGGATCCCGGAGGCTGGGGGGCGCTGCGGTCCTTCCTGGGGGAAAACAGGGGCAGGAGAGGGGCCCTAGGGCTCCCGGGCGCCGGCCACACCCAGGGGCCCCCGACACGCGGTTCTGCACCCCCTGCCCAGCCCCTCTCCTGGGCCAAGCCAGGGTGAGCCCAGGGCCGTGACACTGGAGAGCCTGGAAGCCTGGGGATGGGAGGGCAGGATCTTCACAGCATGGAAGGAAGGAGGTGATTGAGGCCTGGGTGGAAGGAGCAGGAGGGAACAGAGTTCGCCGCAGAGCCCAGGCAGCCCCTGCCATCGCTGCCCACAGGGAGGAGAGGCGGCCGCGGGGGCGCCTGAGTGGGCGCCGGGCACCACGTCCCACCCGCACACGCCTGGAGCCCCCCAGACACGGGCCCCGCAGGAGGGGCGTCTGCAGGGCACATGGCCGAGGTCCTGGCTGCGGGGCCCGGGGCCGCTCACACCCTGCCCGGCTAGCCTATGGCAACGGAACCGGCCCTGATTCGGGCAGCTGCTGCCCCATCCCAGCCCAGCTGGGTCACTTTCTCCCCAGTGCCCAGGGCCGAGGGCCCATGCGGAGCACGAGCGGGCGCAGCAGAGGGTCGGGCTTTCTCCGCCGGCGGGGACACAGGCGTCCTGTGCGGGAGCCGGTGGCGGCCAGAGAGGCACCAGGTCCTGGGTCGGGGGCCGGGGGCATCTGAGCCTTCCCGACACCGGCCTCGCGGGTCCAGGGCTTGGCCCAGGCGCCTGGTCTGCAACCCAGACGTTTGGAGTCAGCAGAGGCACCCACGTCCCCGCGCGCCCGCAGGAGGGAAGCCGGCGCGGCAGGTGCGCTCAGCCCAGGCCAGGGGAGGCTGGACCGCGGCCCGGAGCCACGCCAGGGCCCCTCCGAGTAGGGTGAGCTCAGGCCCAGGGCCGCCCCTGACAGTCGCCCCGCGCCCCACGCCCCAACCCGGCTCCCCCCTCGGTAGATCAATAGCTTTGGAAATCTGAAAAGAGCCCAAACAAAGAAGTGGGCTTGTAAGTATCCAGCTTGTATCAGCTGATAAATGGTCCCCTCTTTAAGGGACTTATCTCTTTAGGGCTTGCGGGATGAGGGATGGCGTCATTTGTCCTGGACGCTCGTCTGGACCAGCCAGGCCGGATCTATTTAAAAGATAGCGCGATACTGTCGACAGCAATAGACAGGGTAATTGCAGAGCGGCTGCCGGGGTATAAATTACACGGCTCTAAGTGGTGGAGTGGCCGCGGGAGACTGGAGAAATTCCTGACAATTCACTTGTCCCTCTGCCCTGCCGCCAGCTTATCACGGGCCAGCAGAAGACGCGCGCTCGGGTGAAAAAATTAAGTATTGATCAAATTAACAGTTTTTACTGATCTTTTTAAGGGAGAAAAGGAGTGCAACAATTAAATTTAGAACACAAAGGACGGGGCAGGGTAACTCTTGACCCTGCGTGGCAAAGTCTGTGACACCAACAAGCACGAAATACGGTCTAGGGCAGGGCGGCGTTGCGGAAGGCCGACCCGAGGGAGAGCAGGGGCCGCTGGGGGCAGCTCCCGGGGCCAAGGGTGAGCAGAGACCGCTGCAGGGAGGGGCGCCGCGGGCCCCAGGTCCCCCCAGGCTGCCAGCAGGGCAGCCAAGCCGGAGCCTCCTCTGCGAGGTCCCTGAGCCGCTTCTGGGCAGATTCCCTCCTTCCCTTGGGAGCCAGCAGCGGCCCCGCCTCCAGCGGCCCCACATAGCAGGAGGCAGGACGGACAGATAAACCGATTCACAGGTCACCAGGTCAGGGCTCAGCCTGGAAGACTTCCTGGAGGTGGAAGAAGGGGAGGGACCCAGCACCTGCCCCAGCCTGTGTCCCCTTCTCCTTGTGGGGGGACCCTGGGCAGGATCTAACAATCCCCAGCCTCAGTTTCCCCTCATGAAAAAAGGATGATAGAGGCACTGCCCCCCGGGGTATACAAGCAGGCACAAAAGGCACCCCCCACGGTGGGGGTATTACTGTCATCATGATTATTTTGGGTTCTCTTCTCTATCTTCTTTTCAAAAATCTGGTAATGTGGATCTATGCTTTAATAGTTTTAGGCCAGGTGCAGTGGCTTACGCCTGTAATCCCAGCACTTTGGGAGACCAAGGCAGGCAGATTGCTTGGGGTTGGGAGTTGGAGAACAGCCTGGGCAACATAGGGAGACTCCATTTCTGCAAAAATGCAAAAGTTAGCCGGGTGTGGTGGCTCCACACATGTAGTCCCAGCTACTCAGGAGGCTGAGACAGGAGGATCACTTGAGTGTAGGAGTTGGAGGCTGCAGTGAGCCGTGATGGTGCCACTGCACTTCAGCCTGGGCAACAGAGCAAGACCCTGTCTCTTAAAAAAAAATGTGTAAGGTGCTTAAGTTTTACAAAGTTCACATTGCCTTCATAATATACATTGCCGCCAGGAAGGAGCTCTCGGGTGTGGAGGGGGAAGTCTGTTCCTTCTGCAGACTGCCGGCCCCAGGCAAAGCCGTGCACAGGCCCACTGGGCCATCTGCCACCCCATCCCCCCACAGGATGGAGACACAGCTTGCTCATCGGGGACCAACCAAAGCACCATGGGACCCAGCCAGTGCCAGCATGCCAGGGACGGGGAGGCACAGATTCCAGCTCCCACAGGAGTCAGAGGACAGGGAAGCCGCAGCCACTGAAAGGACAGAAACGCACAACTGGTCCCTCTGCCCACAGGGACCCCCGCCCACCTCCAGGCTCTGGACGGCCACAGGGCCCCAGCAGCAGGGGTGCAAGAAGGCGGGCAGCAGGAGCCCCACCGGCTCCTCTTTGTACAGACGCTGCCATGGTCCTGCGTGGCCATTGGACAGTGGCCAGGACAGGCTCCCCACATCCTGGCGCCCTGCTGACCCTCCCAGGCTTTTGTCTATTGAAGGCTGAGAAGGGGCATGCAGAGGCTGGGGGTCCACCACAGGCCGGGGACAGCAGGGCTGCCCCACCCCTAGGCTTGGTGGTGCTGGGCACATCAGAAACCACTGACACTACGTGGCTGGTGGGGTGGGGCTGGGGTTGGTGGGAGCCCTGGGAAGTCACCACTGGTATAAATCGTGGCACAGACGGCAGACAAAAAAACAGCACCAAGCAGCCCTTGTCCTGTGCACAGACCCCTCCTGACACTGCAAAGCCTGGCAGGACACTTGGAGCTTACCCAGCACCGCGGGAAGCGCCAGCACACAGCTCCCAGGAGCCAGGCCCGGTCCCCAGTCCAGCCGGGCAGAGAGGAAGCAGCAGAATTGCAACTCAGTCCAGGCACCAGCTCTGATGTGTTGAGAGGCCTCAGGTAGGCCCATCTGTGGTCTACTGGGGCCCTTTGTCTCTTCCTCTCTTGTGCTGTCAGAGGAGAGTCCCACCCCAGAGGCCAGTCTGATCCTCTCTGTGGTGCAGGTGCTCAGTGATGGTCCACAGGACCGGGTGTGACCCCTGGTCACTGTCTGCCCAAGGCACGGCTGAGCTCAATGGGGACCAGCACCACCATCTTGAGACGTGGGGCCACAAGAGTGGCCGTCCAGCCTCTGCTGCCTCTCCCTGCTGATGTGGCCCATGAGGGTCCCTGCTCCTGCGCTGGGCAAAAAGTGCACACAGAGACAGAGGGACGAGGGGAGGGTTGGCTCCAAGGCCACTACCAGGCCACACCCACAGAATCACCAGGCCACCTCCAGGGACCATGCATGGTCTGGTGGGGGCTGAGTTCTGACTCACATCCTCGCAGCACAGGGCCAGGCTGAGGGACGCTGGGCTGGCAGGTCCCCTCTACATAATTCCATGCTGTCCGGATTTTTTATTATAGCCACGTATTGTTTTCAATTAAACTTTTTACTTTGAGAAAATTGTAGTTTCACATACAGTTATGAGAAACAACACAAAGAGATCCAGTGCGCCCCCACCCACCTTCCCCAAAGGTACCCTCTTGCCAAGCTGTGGCCAGTGTCACCGCCCAACGCTGGCTACACCGTCCAGATGTGGGCGCTGTTCCCACCTCAAGGACCCTCCTGGCCCTCCACTGCCCACCACACCACCCGAACCGGACACCACTCATCTGCCCTCCATTTCCACAGCTGTGTCACTGCAGGCATGCCCTCTACAGGGACCAGATGGAAGGGCACCTTCAGGGACTGGCTCTTTCACTCACACGGTGTCCGCCCGCCGCGGGCTGCTGTGGCCTCCACCGAGGCCGTGCCACACGGTACATGCGGGTTGCTTCCAGATTCCCAACTGTACTTCTCCCATGAAACTTCCTTTAAAAGGGGGAAAGACAGAGAGAGAGAGAGACAGAGACAGAGACAAGGGGAGAGACAGAGACAAGGGGAGAGACAGAGATGGGGAAGAGACAGAGACGGAGTGGGGAGAGACAGAGACAGTGGGAGAGAGAGACAGAGGGAGAAACGGAGGAGAGGGAGACAGCCCCTGGCAGGTGGGAAAGGCCCCCGGGGGCTCGCCCTGGGCAGCTCCGCACCCTCCTCGGGGCCTCCCTCCAGCATCGCATCTCCCCTACTTCAACGTCCAGGCCACCAAGGCTCCGAGAGGGGACAGGCAGCTCCTCTGGCATCTCTGGATCCAGTGGGGCAGGGCCTTCTTTTCCCTCACTGGGACTCCAGCCTCTTCCCACAGGCCTGGGCTCCCCAGACACCAAGGGCATCTGGAGAACACAGACACCGGGCACCCCTGGGCTCCAGCCAGACATCGGCAGGGCCCTCAGCCGCCTGGCTCTCTATCAGGGGTCCCCCTCGAGGGTCCCCTCACTCCCCTGCCTCTGCTCCTCCCCCCACCACTGCCCATCCTAAACTCAAACCCAGCAGAACCCCACCGGCCCGACACAGCTTGAGGTGAGGGGAGCCCTGAGGACTGCCCCGTGCCCCCACGTCTACCCCCAACTCAGACCCCACAGCAAACACGCACTGGGGGACCAGGTTCTTCCTCGGGGCCAGGCAGGAGCCCAGGAACCATGCTGCTGGGCCCAGGGCCCTGGAGAGCCACACACCCCACACAGGTGTGCCCCCTGCCTGCTCCAGACCCCCAGCCCCTCCCTCAGAACTGACCCAGCACAGTGTGGGTCCCTAAACAGTCCCAAGTTCCTGAGAGGGGAAGTCAAACCCTCCGGGGCCCCCCAACAGTGCCTCCTGCCCCATCCAGCCCTATGTGGCTGCAGGGAGCACCTGGGTGGTACAGCCCATCGTCCCAAAGAACTGAGGACCAGCCGGGCGCGGTGGCTCACGCCTGTAATCTCAGAACTTTGGGAGGCCTAAGCAGGCAGATCACATGAGGTCAGGAGTTCGAGACCTGCCTGGCCACCATGGTGAAACGCCATCTCTACTAAAAGTACAAAAATTCGCCGGATGTGGTGGCGGGCGCCTGTAATCCCAGCTACTCAGGAGGCTGACGCAGGAGAATCGCTCGAACCTGAGAAGCAGAGGTTGCAGTGAGCTGAGATCGCACCACTGCACTCCAGCCTCGGCAACAGAGCGAGGCTCCAAAAAGAACTGAGGACCTTGGCGGAATGACCTCATGGGAACCCCAGGACTGTTCTAAAAGAAACACCTGGAAGGTGCCCTTTGAGAGCCAAGCTGCATCCCCAGGCCCAGCCGAAGGCCACTGCTGCTGCCTACGTACCCCCTTTGTGAGCCCCTAGGGGCCCAGCCCCTTCTTGCCCCTTCTCCGGCTGTGGGGAGGTAAGTGGGAGAAGATTCTGGGAGAAAAACAGCTCCACCGAGGCCCTGGGCGGTGGGGAAGGCACAGCGGACTGCCTGCTCTGATCCGAGGCCTGCAGCCGCAGCTGCATGGAGTGTGCGGGAAAAACGTGGGGCCAACTCCAAACGCTGCGCCTTCCGCCAGGCCCTTGGCCCGGAGGGGCACGGACGGGAGCCAGGACCCCCACTCTGGTTGAGGGGCTGCCTGGATCTGTTTCCTCAAAGCAGAGGCTGACGGGGGCCGCAATCCCCAAACAATGAGGCTGAGAAAGGAAGTGGGTAAGACAGCCACGTTGGCACTCCCAGAGCGGCCACAGAAGCAGTTCTGCAGGCAGCACGTCCCTCAGGAGACGATTTTTAAGCGTGAAGAATTGCTGTCGTCCGATCCTTCTGGAACGCACCCCCTCCCGGTTTGATGCCTTTTCTCTGCATAGTAATGTGTCTTTAAAAAAAAAGAGCCACTGATATATGTTACGAGAAGTGTATCTCTTACACTGAGACAGGACATTTTAATTCCCCGACACCTTTTAGTGATTGCTTCAATTTCCGAAGATTTTGATAAAATCATGCGGTTTAAGAGCCGCAGGATGGAGCCCGGCGGGCGGAGCGTAATGAAATGCTGCTGTTTCACAGCCTTCACGTGGCACAGCCCAGCTCCGGGGCTAATAAATGCTGCGTGATAAATGTTGGAGTCATGATTGTAAAAATATACTTGTAATTGGGTTAATATGCCTTAAAATACTACCCATCAGTTATCTTTCTCTCTCCTCTCTGTAGCGTGCGCAGGGGTGCGTGCGGGTGCAGCACCGCGTTCCTTCCCCGGCCCGCTTCCCTCCTGGCCTGGCAGACCCTTCGTCACCGAGGCCAGGGGATCCAGGGTGCCGGAGCGCAGGGCCGTCGGCTCCAACCCCGCCTGGTACTTCACCGAGGCCAGGGGATCCAGGGTGCTGGAGCTCAGGGCCGTCGGCTCCAACCCCGCCCGGGACTTCGCCGAGGCCAGGGGATCCAGGGTGCCGGAGCGCAGGGCCGTCAGCTCCAACCCTGCCTGGTACTTCACCGAGGCCAGGGGATCCAGGGTGCCGGAGCTCAGGGCCGTCAGCTCCAACAACTCCGCCCGGTACTTGGCCGGAGCAGAAGCACAGTGGGACTCGGGCCAGCCAGGAGCCCATCGGGGGCAGGGCATGGCACCTGGACCTGAGGGACATCTCGAGTGTTTCGCAGACAAGGAGACAAGGCACAGAGGCCAAATGAGTGGCCCCAGGCCCCACAGCCACGGGAGCAGCACTGGACAGGAGGCTGGGGAGGCGTGCGGCCTCGTCAGCACAGGTGGAATGCATGAGAAAGAATTGTGCAAATAGCACAATTTTCAAGGGTGGGGACTGCCCTCAGCCCGGGGGACCAGAGCACCTCCCCTACCTCTGCAAGAGCCTAGGCGGGCCTTGGCCCAGCCCAGCCCACCCCGCTTGGCCCTCTGGGAGGCTGCGCCCCCTCACAACACACACATACATACCCACACTAGTCAAACACACGTGCACAGACACCACACACCCCGCCACCTGCCAGCCACACGCATACTCACCCCAGACACCTGCACAGGCACTCCGAGTCCCAGTGGGGCCAGTGGCGCTGAGTGTTGGCTCCCAGGAAAGAAAACGGCAGGGCAGAGGGTGTGGGCTGCATGGCGCTGTGGCGGTCCCTTGGGGTACTGCCGCCCCTCCCCCTCCTATTTCCTCTCCTCCCCCTCCTCCTCTCCCTCTCCCTTCCCCTGATGCAGGCCCCACCACGTGTGACCCCCTCTCCCACCTAGGCGAGGCCCCTCCCACTTTTCACTGGGTGCTATGGTTGGGGCACAGGCCACTTCCCTAATGCAGGGACCACTGAGCAAGTCCTCCCCTCGCCAGAGTCCAGGCACTCAGCTGAGCCGAGGTGGGGGCTGCCTTGCCAGGGATGAGCCAAGCCCTGCTGCCGGTTTTAGTGTGAGGTGAGCTGAGGGCTGGGGCAGGAGGGGGTGCCCTACTCCAGAAGGGGTCAGAGTTGGGGCTCCTCTGCAGAGGAGGGCTCTGGCCTGAAGTTGGGGCACGCAGGGGCTGGGTTCACCCCCTCACAGGAGCCTCAGGGTGCCCCTCAAGTCAGCAGGTGGACACGGCAGTTCCCCAGGCCGAATGAACCAGAAAGCCATGTCTATAGGCAGGTGGGGCCAGGGAGCCACTCTCCCTCTAACCCTCAGCCCCTCCCCTACTGCTGCCCCCAGCGCAGGGAGGACAGGGCTGCACCAGGAGGCCACCCACCCACCCGAGGCCCTGGCAGGGGCTGGGACCCCACGTGTGCACTGTCCCTGCAGGCCCCACACGGCCAGGGTGAGCAAGAAAGGCGCCATTGCTGTGGCCGGCACACTGCGGTCCCCATCGGCTTGCCTCCCCTCTGCCCTGCTCCACCTGACCACTTCTTTTCTTTTTCTTTTTCGTTTTTGAGGCAGGATCTTGCTTTGTCGTCCAGGCTGGAGTGCAGTGGTGTGATCACAGCTCACGGCAGCCTGGACCTCCCAGGCTCAAGCGATCCTCCTGCCTCAGCCTCCCCGGCTCAGGCAATCCCCCTGCACCCAGCCCTGACCACTTCCCTGTCGCTGTGTCTTCCATCTTAGCATCTGTACCACTGCATCCTCTGCGGGGCAAGTGCGGGTTCGGAGGAGACGGCTCCTGTCAGGCCCAGGCTGTTAGGCTCGACGTCTGGGACATGGCGACCAGCCCTGCCCCAGGGCCCAGCCCTGGAGGGAGGGGCCGAGAAGCTCAAGGCTCCTAGAACAGCAGGCAGACGCCCCCCAGGGCCACGCCCAGGGCCAGCTGTCTTGAGGCCTCCATCTCAAGAGCCCTCCTGCCCAGCCCTGCCCCAGCTGCCACAGTGGAGGTGGGGGTGGGGGTTGGGACAGTCCTCCAGACCCTGTCCGCTGAGTCAGGCCCCCACCTCATCCCAGGCTGCCAACGGGCAGGGCCAGAGACCTCCCAGGGGACCCCTGGAGCCGCAACAGGTCGGACACCCACCTGGGTCCCCCATGCAGGAAAAACCTGCACTTTCCTGGGCACTGCTTTCCGGGGGCCCCCCGTACAGTGGGGACACCAGGCAGCGGCCTCGCCCTTCCAGCTGCTCTTCCGGACACACCACCCTCAAGGGCCCATCCGTCCACCGTTCACACAGGCCAGGGCTGAGCAGTCAGGGCGTGGCGGGAGGAGCTCCATGGGACCCGGCCCCTGTCATCCCAGCTCCTAGGCCTCCTCCTGCACCCACCTGTGCCTTGCTGCCCCTCCCGGGTGCACTGCGCCCCCCAGCCCCCACCTGGAAAGTCTGCAGAACAGGCTGCGCCCCATTTGCCATGCGCCCCATCTGCCATGCGCCCCATCTGCCATGCGCCCCATCTGCCATGCACCCCATCTGCCATGCCCAACCCTCAAGGCCTGCCAGGATCACCCATTCCCCAGGAGCAACATTTGTCTCTCCTGCCCTCCCCTGGCACCCCCTGCCCCTGGGCTGTGAGCTCCTTGGGGAGAGGATGTGTCCCTCCTGGGGGCCCTAAGCTATGGCAGGGCCTGGCACGTGGGCTGCCTGACCCAAAGTGCCCGATGGGGACTAGGTGCCAAACTAGACGGGTGGCCAATCCAGCTAGAGCGAGGCTGGGGGAGGGGGGATGGGCGGCCAGTCCAGCTTGTGTGGGGCCTGGGGAGGTGGGCCAGGGGAGGTGGGACGGTGGAGGTGGGCCGGGGGAGATGGGATGGGGGAGGTGGGACAGTGGAGGTGGGCCGGGGGAGGTAGGACGGGGGAGGTGGGATGGTGGAGGTGGGCCGGGGGAGATGGGACGGTGGGTGTCACCTTGGCGTGCCAGGGCACCAGGGCTGGTTCATGGTGGTGCCGGCGGCTACACCCAGGACTAGGCCTGCCTCATGCATGGCTGATGGTGTCATCCACACAGTGGCTGGGCAGAGATGCAGGGGGGCCTGGCATAATTGGATAATTCCATTTTAAGAGATCTGGGGCAAGAAGCCCTGCCGGGGGAGCTGGGCCCCCACCTCCCAAATTGCCTCCAAATGAAAGTCTGTTTAGGTGGCTGCAGGGGCAGGGGAGGGGCAGTGGGTGCAACACACAGGCAGAGGTGCCGGTCTTGCCGTCAATTCCCTGGCCAGGAAGGTGGCGACAGGCTGGGGTCTCTGGCCCACACAAAGGCTGCGGCAAATGAAATGGTGTCTGCCTGCTTATGTGAAGAGTGATGAAACTTTAAATGAATCGCTGACCTTTCTGGAATGACAGGTGACCCGAGAGATATCTGAGGTGGGTATCGGCAGCGGCCTCGAAAATTGCTGCTGCTGCCCGAAAATAAACAATAAGAGAGCAAATGTGGTTTGAAAAATTGACTCGCTTCAAAGCTGGGGGGAGAGAAAGTGAATTATTTCAGGTCTGGGTGGGCCCCTCCGCGCGCCCCCTCCCCGCCAGGCAGGAGCTGCGAGGCCAGGCTGAGCGAGACCCGGTGTAAGGTACGACAGTGGCAAGTGCGGGTGTGACGGTCCCGGAACCCAGGGGTCTCGGCCCACCCACCGTGGGAAGGAGGTCCACTAGGGCCCCAGGAGGGGTCTGAGGGCAGCAGGAGCCGGCTCCGGCGGGAGGGGCTGCTTGGAAGCCGGCCCACCAGGGCCATGGTTCACACCACTCCAGGACGCCCCCTCCGTCTACCCGCCAGGCCAGCCACGGCACTCGGGTCATGGGGGCCGCCCTCCTGGCTGCCCTGTCCTCCATCCTCTCCCATCTCCCAGCCGTCCGGACACAGCTCGGGGGTGGCGCATTTCACAACGAGGGCCCTGAGTTCAGAGGTTGCGTCCTCTCGCCACCTTTCCCCAAGCCCAGTGCGGCGGCTCCTGCTCGGTGGGAAGCCCAGCTGTGTGTATGAGTGGGGCGAGCCGAGTAGCAAGGAGCCTCTCTGTGCCTCAGTTTCCTTGGATAAGACATGGGATGGCAACAGCCTGCAGGCGTGGGGCCACCAGGAGGGTGGAATGGGTAAACGCTGGTGGGCACACCCAGGAGCCAAGCATCGTCACCCACGGGGAGGGGAAGAGCCAGACCTTCAAGGGGCCCACAAGAGACAGGCCAGCCACAGTCCCTGAGGGGCGAGACGGCTCCCCTCTGCAGGGCAGAAGGCAGAGCCGACCACAGCAACAGAGAGGCGGGGACAGAGGCTGCTGGGCCGCCCACCGCAGGACAGGAGAGGACACCCTGCTGACCAAGGCTGGAAGCCCCAGTGGGTAGGAATGGCCTGGGGCAGCTCAGGGGCAGGGTGGGGCCCGGCACCCCATCCCTCTGCCGATGGTCCCAGGAGGCTTCCTCCCTCTACAGACCCTGGCACTGGAGGGGTCCAGCCTGGCTCTGGGTGGTGAAGGCAGCCCTGCCCCTCCCAAGCATCCCTGGCCCCACTGACACGGCTCCCACCAGGTAGCCCCCACCACCTGGCAGTGTGTGTGCGGCCTGCAGCTTGAAGAGCCCCTCGGGACGTGCTGAAATTGCCCCAAAGAAAGGGTTAAGCAGATTTAAAGTGGAAGAAGCAATGTCACAAAACATGGCCCCAGGGAGCCTGGGGTGTGGAGCCTCAGAGGCTGGCAGGCGTCCTGGGCAGTGCCCTACGCAGAGCAGACAGCGATTGCTGCAGGCCTGACATTGGCCGGTGTCAGTTCTCGGGGCGACAGGGCCAAGGCCACCTTGGGCCAGCCAGGTAGGAGGGTTCCCATCCCTCACAAGCCCTCATGGGCACAGCTGCTGCCTCCAGCCTGCCAGAAAAGCCCTGCCCGGCTGCCCTCAGAGACCCTGCCCAGGCCACACTGGGGCCATCATCGCGGGGTGGTCCAGGCAGGGTGCCTGCCCCTGCTGCCCCCAACTCTAAACATTTGGGGTGGACAGGACCCGAGGAAAGGTTCTGCCCCCGGGAAGGGGCTGCCTGGTGCAGACCCAGGATGGTCCCAGGCTGTGTGGATGGGTGGGGAAGAAGGCTCGAGGCTGCCGCACCCACCCAGGGCTGCCCAAGGGCTGAGTCAGACCCCACGTGTGCAGCGGCCGGAGTAGAAAGGAGATGGGGAGGGCTCAGGCGGGGTGTAGGCGGTGGCTGCCTACGCAGGTTGGGGTGGGGGCACCCAGTGCTGTTTGAGGGCGCAGACCTGGAGCCTGGAATTGGACCCTGGACAGGAACGTGGAGGGTCCCGTACCGTGGGCAGGAGGGGGCCTCAGTGTGCAGGGCGTGGGGGACACCCAAGGTCAGCACATCCCCGAGAGACCCCAGGGAGCCCCCCACTCACAAAGCCGCACGGCGCCCTGGCCTCACAACTGAGACTCAGGGCGGGTCAGGGCCCCTCACTCCCTCTCTCCAACAAGTGCTGGGACCGCATGACCACCCTACTTCCCCCAGGACAGCACAGGGACTGCACTGCCCACTTCCTCCGACGGACACGGCCATCCTCTGGGGCCCTTCCCGGGACTAACATTGCTCCCACGCCCTCCCGCCTCCTCCTGCTTCCCCAGAGCATCCGCTGCAGCCCCCGCCCCACTCCAGAAAAAGCATCCCCAGCCTAAAGCAAAGAAAACCCAGACCGAGCACCACCCCCACCCTGCGGCGGCTCCCCCAGTGCTCTGCCCCGCTCCCGCAGTGCTGTCTGCCAGCTGCTCCCAGGACCTCAACTCCCCAAGGCTCTGGCCCTGCCCCCCTCCTGCCCCCTCTCAACACGCACGTGGGGCCTCCACATCTCCTGCTTGGCAGGAACCTGCCCCTCTCTCTGGGACACCTGCCTGCTGGCATCTGAGCCAGACCCTGCTCCCGCCACCTGCAGACACCGGGCTCCACCTGGCTGCTGAGTCTCGGGTGTGCAGGGTGTGCTGTGGCAGCACCAACCACTCCAAAGCTGAGCGGCTTCCACCGGGCAATTTCACGATGCCCACGGCCTCCAGGCCCAGAATTCAGAGTAGGCGGTGGGGGTGGGGTTGTTTCCGCTCCACAACGTCGGAGGCATTGGCTGGGTGCTCTCAGCGCGGCCTCAGCTGGGACTGGAGTCGGAACTCCCAGCGCAGCCTCCCCATCCTCCCCATGTGGCTGGGGCTTCCTCACAGCCCAGCTCCAGGTCCCAGGAGCAAGTGCTCAGGAGAACCCAGGAGACAGCCGTGCCGGTGACCCAGCCTGGAGTCGCCCATTCCGCCCCCACCAAAGGACCCTGCACCCAGCTTCCAGGGGCTGGGCGTGGAGCCTGACTCGGAGTGTGGTTGTGAGAGGCCCAGAGCAAGATGAGCGTGAGGGAGGGGACGACGCGCAACCACTTTTGAAAAGCGTGTTCTGCCACAGCCGCCCTCCAGCCACACTTCCCATCCCTCCTCTCCCTGCGGGTCCAGGTGTGGACGCGGCTCCTCGGGGTGCCTCCTCCGTGCACCCCAGAGACCCAGGGCTCCCTGCCGACCCTGCAGGGTGAGCTCTGCCCACGTCCTGCACTCAAGGGTGGGGCTGCCCAGAGGCACCTGCAGGCACCGCCCGCAGCAGTTCTGAAACCCTGGGGCGGGCACAGCTTTCGAGGTTGCTGACTGGCGCACCCCTTCTTCCCAGGAGTCCTGGTGGCTCTCATGCTCCCGGCCCAGGCTTCAGAGTCTTCTCCCCTTTCCCCCTCCCCACTGGAGTTCAGGGGGACCCTCGTTGTCCCGTTCCTGTCCTCTTTAGCCCAAACTGGAAGTGCTCTCTTTGTTTTGTAGGCAGCATGACTGACGTTAGCTGGCCTAGCAGGGCCTGTGCCAGGAATTCTCTCCAAAATGCTGCGGGTTTCCTATGACTCTTTTTTTTTTTTTTTTGAGATGGAGTCTCGCTCTGTCGCCCAGGCTGGAGTGCAGTGGCGCGATCTCAACTTACTGCAAGCTCCGCCTCCCGGGTTCACGCCATTCTCCTGCCTCAGCCTCCTGAGTAGCTGGGACTACAGGCGCCTGCCACCACACCTGGATAATTTTTTTTTTTTTGTATTTTTAGTAGAGACAGGGTTTCACCGTGTTAGCCAGGATGGTCTTGATCTCCTGACCTCATGATCCTCCCGCCTCGGCCTCCCAAAGTGCTGGGATTACAGGCATGAGCCACCGCACCCGGCCTCCTATGACTCTTACTGGGGTCTATGTCATTAGACAAAAGCCACACTCCCCACCCCTCCACGGTAAGCTCTTCCCGCCGCGGGCTCCTCGCGGGACTGCTAAGATAGCCGAGACCCGATGCCCTTCAGATTCTAGAAGCCCCACTGTTTCATGCAGAGGACCGAGGCAGACCCCAGACCCCCAGAGTGTGTGAGGTGTGTGTCCTGCCTACCGCGTGACTCAGACAAGTGCATAATGACAAGTGCATAAACGACTCAATTATGTGGGACGGGTCCTCTGACGATGGCTCGTTTCACTCAGCATGGTGTCCCGAAGGTGCGCCTTCCTGAAGCACATTGAAGAACCCCCTTCCTTATCCTGGCTGCATAATAGTCTACTGCACGGATGGACCCCTGTGTAGCGTTCCCCTGCGAGGGACTCGGGCAGCCACGCCCCCTAGCTGTCGGGGAAAGCGCTGCTGTGAATGCGGGTGCAGCTGTCCCAGCCCCTGCTTTCCACTCCCTTGGGCCTGTACCCAGAGGCGGAATTTCAGGATCACCTGGAGATTCTGTTTAACGTTTTGGAAGCTGCCATGCTGTTCCCCACCGCAGCTGTACCACCTCACGTTCCCACCAACAGGGCACGAGGGTTTCGGCGTCTCCACAGCTTCCACAACGCTTGCCACTTTCTGGGTTTTTTGTTTTCTTTCTTTTGAGACGGAGTCTCACTCTATCACCCAGGCTGGAGTGCAGTGGCCCGATCTCAGCTCACTGCAACCTCTGCTCCCCGTGTTCAGGCGATTCTCCTGCCTCAGCCTCCCAAGTAGCTGGGATTACAGGCATGCGCCACCACACCCGGCTGATTTTTGTATTTTTAGTACAGACAGGGTTTCACCCTATTAGCCAGGCTGGTCTTGAACTCTTGACCGCAAGTGATCCGCCTGCCTCGGCCTCCCAAAGTGCTGGGATTACAGGTGTGAGCCACTGCATCCAGCCTCTGGGTTTTTTTTTTTTTTAATCATAGCCATCCTAGTGGGTGTCTCATTCCAGTTTTTATTCTATTATTATGGAAACGTGCGTGCGTACACAAAAGCAGTGAGACCTGTAGCATGGGACCTCGTGCCATTCACCCACGGCCTTCAATCGTCAACTCAGGAGCAAAGTGGCTCCATCTCCACCCCACCCATCCCCCAGAGCATCTTGAAGTGAATTTTCCATATCACATCCTTTCATCCATTCGGGCCTAAGTGAGGCCGCCCCCCCACCACTGATGTCCCCTAATCCACATCCATCCTGTGGAAATCAAGCCATGCCAAGCCCTGGCTTCACCCGCCCAGTCCGGGTGCAGTGGCTCACACCTCTAATCCCAGCACTTTGGGAGGCCGAGGTGGGCGGATCACCTGAGGTCGGGAGTTGGAGACCAGCCTGATCAACATGGAGAAACCATGTCTCTACTAAAAATACAAAATTAGCTGGGCGTGGAGGCGTGTGCCTGTAATCCCAGCTACTCGGGAGGCTGAGGCATGAGAATCACTTGAACCGAGGAGGCAGAGGTTGCAGTGAGCCGAGATCACGCCACTGCACTCCAACCTGGGCAAAAAGAGTGAGACTCCGTCTCAAAAAAAAAAAAAACACCAAAAGTAGCCGGATGTGGTAGCACGAGCCTGTAATCCCAGCTACTCAGGAGGCTGAGGCAGGAGAATCACTTGAACCCGGGAGGCGGAGGTCGCAGTGAGCCGAGATTGGGCCACTGCATTCCAGCCTTGGTGACAGAGCAAAACTTTGTCTCAGAAAAATAAAAACAAAAACAAAAAAATCACCTTCCCAGGACACAGAGAACAAAACCCCAGCTCAGCCACTGATGGTGCCCCTATGGCCCCCCTGGTCTCCTCAGCCCCTCCCGGCCTCTCCGATCTTCTATGTGTTCCACCTGCCGTGCCTGCACCCTGAGACCCCCACCCCAGGCGGCCCCTCCTGAACCTCCAGACCTCCGTGTAAACATGGCCTCCTGAGAGAGCCCCGTCCTGGGTGCCCCCAGCCCCATAATTCCCTCCACAGTGGCGACGGTGGCCTGAAACTGCGTGGATCTGCTGTTTCCATGCTCACGGGCCCCTCCCCGCCCAGGCGCCAGCCACGGGTGGAGGCTGCAGTTGTCTCCGTCTTGCTCTCTGTTGTCCCAGGGGCCTGTCCTGCTGGTTCCTGAGGGGCTCCGTGGCAAGAGGTGAGGCCCCTGGTGGGAGGGCCCAGTGGGTGGGGGAGGCTTAGAGGCAGCAAAGTCAGGTCAGCAGTGGCTGAAACCCAAGGAGGGTCCTGCAGCCGCTACACACACACTCTGCTTAGTAACGGCTCCGGCACCTGACACCCGCTGCCCACCAGTGCCTGGCCTCAGCCCCGTCCATCACTCCCCGTCCTTCACCCATCCCTGCTCGCCGGAGGGAGAGCCGTTTGGATCTGTCCAAGCTGAACAATGCAATACTTCTGCTGAGCTGTGAAGCTGATTAATAATTTGGAAATGAAATCAATATGGGTTCTGCTTTTCATTCCTGGTGAATCCTCGTATGCTGGGCTTACGGGACGGAGGGCGCCAGGGACAGGGACCATGCGGGTTTGGAGGCGGGGCCCAAGGAGGAGCAGGAGGGAGAGACACAGATGGCCCAGCGCTGCACCACTGAGCAAATGGGATGGCGGCTGCCGATGCAGTTCAGACTTGGCCTTGAATCCACGTCAGGAACCAAGCCCAGCGGTGCTGCAGACCCCAAGCCCTGGCTCCTGCTCAGGAGCCCCCTAGGCCTCTGGGAGAGAGGGCTGTCCAGAGTTGTCGCTGGTCTCAGGGATCCCCTCCCCTCAGGATGTGGCTCTGGCAGGGCTGTCTCTGCTGCCTGGGGTCCCCCACTCTCAGAAACAGAGTCCGGGGCCTGGGGTCCATGGCCAGCCCCACACCCCCATCCCTCATCAGCCCCTCGGGCCTCCTTCCAGCCCCCCAGGTCCTGACAGGCTCCAGGGCCTCACTGACTCTCACGGGAAGGCCCAGGCCTGCACCTGCCCCGGGGCCTCTGATATGGTTTGGCTGTGTCCCCACCTAAATCTCATCTTGAATTGTAACTCCCATAATCTCCACATGCCATGGGAGGGACTCGGTGGAGGTAACTGGATCATGGGTGCACATACCCTCATACTGCTGTTCTCCTGACAACAAGTGAGTCTCACGAGATCTGATGGTTTAATAAGGAGCTTCCCCCTTCGCCAGGCTCTCACCCTCTCCCCTGCTGCCCTGTGAAGAGGCGCCTTCCATCAGGGTTATAAGTTTCCTGAGGCCTCCTCAGTACATGGAACTGTGAGTCAATTAAACCTCTTTCCTGGCCAGGTGCAGTGGCTCACGCCTGTAATCCCAGCACTTTGGGAGGCCTAGGCAGGTGGATCACCTGAGGTCAGGAGTTCAAGACCAGCCTGGCCAATATGGTGAAACCCCGTCTCTACTAAAAATATAAAAATTAGCCAGGCATGGTGGCAGGCGCCTGTAATCCCAGCTACTCGGGAGGCTAAGGTGGGAGAATCGCTTGAACTCAGGAGGCAGAGGCTGCAGTGAGCCGAGATCGCGCCACTGCACTCCAGACTGGGCAACAGAGACTTTGTCTCAATAAATAAATAAATAACCTCTTTCCTTTATAAATTACACAGTTCTTTATAGCAGCATGAGAATGGACTAATATGGCCTCCCTGGAACCCAGGGCTTTGTGGCGGCCCCCGAGATGGGTGTCTCAGCCCCTGCGACTTCCCTATGCTTGTGAGCACCTATAACCCCTCATCATGGATGCTGAGCCCCCTGCCAGCTCAGTGCCGAGGGGGCACCCAGGACTGGGCCCGTCCACAGCAGCTTGTCCCCCTTCCCCAACCCCTCCCTACACCCCACTCAACGCGCTGCCCCCACACCAAGAATTTCTCCTCCCCTGGCCCCCAGACTCCAGCTGCCTCCCCTGGCCCCCGGACCCCAGCTGCCTGCCGGAAGACCTGCCACCCGCCTCAGGACACCGCCCGTGCAGGGGAGCCCAAGGGGCAGACGGGCAAGGGGAGGGATGAACAAGTGAGCAGGCTCTCGGATGCCCAGGCGTGGTGCAGGGGCTACGTGCCTCGAAGGTCTGTGGAGATGGTGACCGGGGATCCCAGCAGGGCCCCTGTTTTCGGGGCCAGAGCAGCAAGAGGTGCCCAACACTGGGAGGGCCAGACTAGGGCCTGGAGGACAACAGGGAGGGCAGTGGGGGTGGCCTGGGGTGGAGAGACTGCAAAGTCCCCAGGCAGGGCATCTGGGCTTGGGAGGGATTCCGCGACGTGGGGGGCGGCCTGGGGTGGGGGACAGAGGCCTGGGCACCCCAGCTGGGCAGGCGGCTGAGGTGGCTGTGACCCCAGGCCAAGGCTGGAGGGGCACCTCCCAGGCTCTCCCCCACTGCACAGCCCCATGACAGGGCAGGGCAGCCAGACGCCCCCATCTGCCCTGCCAGGCTCTGCGGCCACACTCAAAACACTGGCCCCTGCCCCCAACCCGGGCCCCGGCTGCCCTCTTTCTGCCCCCGACTCACCCCTGGACCAGCCCTGTCCGCAGCACACCCGAGGCCCTCAGGCTGCCCACACTCTGAGCACCCACCCTGCTCCAGGGCACAGCCCTGCCACTGGCACCTGCTGGTTGCACGGACGTGGGCTGGACCATGTGGCTTTGAACCCTGCCTGGTGACCTCCGGCAGATCCTCAGGGCCCTAGCTGGGGAATGGGGGCACAGAACGGGGCCTCTGGGCCACCCTGAGGTGCGTCTCAGCCGCCTGACCCAGCCCGGCTCACAGGAAGCAGGGGCGCAGTGGGCGGTGTCCCTCATTTGCAGCGACACTGTGTGTGGCCTTCACTCCTCTTGCTCAGCTCAGTCCTTGGAGCACTGGCTGGGCCAGGATATGGGGGTGTGGGGTCTGTCCGTGGGCCCTGAGAGACACCCCTGGCTGGAGGGGGGCCCCCGCCACCCCAGTTCGAAGCCTTGGTGTTCAGCAGTCAGTCTCCCCCCGTCCTCCTGGCCTGTCCTGGAGAGCAGCCCTCAGACCCAGCTCAGGCCACAAGGGCAGCTCAGGTCACAGAGGCTCCTCACCAGTCCCAGGGCAGGGAACTGAGCTGACCTGCACTGGCCCAGCTGGCAGAGCCTCTCCTGAGGTGCCCCTGGTGCACAAGAAGACAGGCAGCTCCTCACTTCAAAGGCCACATGTAGCCCCTGCTGGGCCTCCAGACACAGGCAGGTACCAAGGCCTGGGCGGGCAGCACCGTGCCAGGCTGCTCCATGTGCCAGCAGCAGAGGCGCCTCCGTGGGGGCCCTGGCTCCTGAGCCCTGCAGTCTCTGTCCACACGGTGGGCAAGGGGCCAGCATGGAGGGTGAGGGCCCCCCACCCTGGCCATGCCAAAGGTTCTCAGCACAGGCTGGAGGCAGCCCCTCTGCCAGGAGGTGGCCAGTGGATGGCGGCACATGCAGAGAGAAGGGACGACTCCAGCAGAGTGCTGCTGTCCGGCCGAGCAGCTACCCGAGAGCTAAAGTTCCTTGACCCGTGCCTGGCAGGGGAGGTGGTTTTATAGGAGCCATTGACCGGCGGCATTGATCCCCAAGAATGTATCGCACAAATCATTTTGCACTAAACTGCGGAATCGATGGAGAAATCTCCCGGAAAATTTATATTAAAAGTCTCTGTTTGCCTAAATGAGTTCCCTGTGCCCATATTGAATATTTGGCTGATGAATTGAATGGGTTTAAATTTGAACATTGCAGACCCATTAAAGAATGAATTCTTAAATCAAACCCTGCCGTTTATGATTGAAATGAGATTTCCTCTGCAATGGGCCAGCCACTAAATAAATCAGCTGTATGTTTTATACTGAACCATAAACAAGATATAAGTCTTTTAAATACACAACAGGTGCCTTAAATCTTTTGATGCATCTTGTATTTATCTGAAGTGCAGATTGCTGTATTTACACCAGGTCGTGCAAGACCTCTCACGGTGCTGCCAGTGAAGGTTAAAGTGGCTACTGGGCTCCCGCCAGGGCCTCCCGAGAAGCCCAGGCAGGGCCGAGTGCTCTCAGCCAGCACGCTCGAGGGGTGTGCTCCGCCCCCTCAGACACACACGAAGGCATGCGCGCACACACACACATGCTCACACACACCACACATGCATAGGCACACATGTACACACCCACACGGACCTGCACCCACACATCACACACACTCGCGTAAACACGCACATGGCAGGTGCATAAATGATACCTGCACAGATGCATACAAGCCTGGTGCATGCACACACGCCCAGGCCTGCCGCATGTGACACACGTGTGCTCACACTGACACACGGCACCCACATGCGCACAGCATAAACAAGCATGCACACACCAGCACATGTACACACAGGGCAGGTTCACAAGTGCACACATGTACACACCTGCATCCACTCACCTGCACAAATGTGGGTGCTTGCATGCTCTCGGGCACGTGATCACACACGCATGTATACACTCAAACGCATACTGACACACAGGCACATGGCACCCACTTACACACACATGCCAACACACACAAGGCACATGGCCTGCTACACATATGTACATCTCAGCACAAATTCACTAACCCAGGCATGCACACGCAAGCACAGACACCTGCGCACACACTGGCACGGCCTCCCAGCCCTACCCAGTGACCAAAGGGTCAGCAGAGGCAGCCTCTGCAGCAACCCAACCCGGCAGGGACAAGCTACTCGGGAAAACAGAGAACAGAGAACAGAAAGCAGGGCTATTCCCACCTCTGTGCACAAGGCATGGCCAACTCTTGCCTTAGTCCCGCCCCTGCTGCTGTAACAAAACACACAGACTGAGTAATTTACAAAGAACAGAAAGGTACTGGGGGTGGGAAGCCCAAGGTAGGGGCGCCGGCAGGTTTGGTGTCTGGCGAGGGCCCAGGCTCCGCTCCCAATATGGCGTCCTGTCACCGGGTCCTCACCCTGTCAAAGAGCAGAAGTGAGTGGGCCCAGTCCCTCAAAACCCTCGGTAAGGGCCCTAATCCCAGCCAGGAGGGCAGAGCCCCTGAAACCTAACCATCTCCCAAAGGCCCTGCGTCTTAGTCCTACTGTTGGAGCTAATGTTTGAACATGAATGTTGGAGGGACACAAACACGCAAAACACTGCAACCCTGATGCGAAAATAAGCACACGCAGGCACCACGAGAGAAGAAAGTCCCGGGCAGGCCTGAGATCCACACCGACGTGCGTGGCTATGCGTGTGTGTGTCACAGGCAAGCTGCATTCATGGAAATGAATCCAACAGTGTACCTTAAGTGACACCGTGTGAAGCAGGCCAGGTGTGCCGGGACAGCTCCACACCAGAAAATCACCCCTGTGGTTAGTTCCATCAGGAGCCACAGGAGAAAAACCACACAATTGTCTCAGAAGACTTGGAAATGCTTTTCATAAAGTTCAATAGTTATTTTTTTACATAACTCAAAAACTAGGAAAGAAAGATAATAGGATCATTATATGGAGAACAGTACCTGTACCTCACCTGTACCTCAGGTCCCACGCAAAGAGGGAGAGGCTGGGATCACATCAGCAGGCTTCAGAAACTGATACGAAAACGTCAGAGAACCCCGAAGAAGAAGTGAGCACCAAAGACTCGGCGATTCTCAGGAGGAGGGTGCCAGCTGGCTGGTATGCTCACGCGACCAGCCTCACAGGAGTCAGATGAATGCGGCCAGTCACGCTGGGCACCTGCCACACTCGGTGTGGAGCAGCAGACACTGGAGGGGCATAGCACAGCCACCGCCGGCAAGGACAGGAGGATTGGGGCCTGCAGGCTGCGCGCAGCCCATCCCAGAGGCCGGCTGTGGGGCTTGTGGAAAGGGTGTCTGCAGACCCTGGGGCTCCACGGCCCCACTTCAGGCCACACAGCCAAAGTCACGGGGCCTGCTGAGGAGCACCCAAGCATCACCCACCGGCGAAGGGGTGAGGGGGATACAGAGAAGTGAGGGGGATGCAGAGACGTGAGGGGGATGCAGAGACGTGAGGGGCATGCAGAGACGTGAGGGGGATGCAGAGACGTGAGGGGGATGCAGAGACATGAGGGGCATGCAGAGACGTGAGGGGGATGCAGAGACGTGAGGGGGACGCAGAGACGTGAGGGGGATGCAGAGACGTGAGGGGGATGCAGAGACACACCAGAACAACAGAAGAGGCACAGCCCCAGAGCAGCGTCACCGCAGCAGCAAGAGGACGGGGCGCCAGGTCAGCCGTCGCTGCCCCTGGGGTTCTGTCTAGGAAGCCTCTGCACAGGGAGCTCCTGCTCCTGGGGGCAGCCCAGGGGAGGTTCCTGCCGCCTCCGGTCACAACAGCTCCGTCCGCCAATCAATACCCGGCCCTGCTTTATGTGTGGCCCTATTCACAGACACCGCACTGAGCGTGTATATTGATCCCTTAACATCAAGCTCACAGCCAGCGGTGCCACAGCTCCCACCCAGAGGCAGGTCGCCCCACACGCATTTCTCCACGGGGTGCCCCATGGCCGTCCTATGCTGACGGACACCAGATGGCATTTCAGCACCGGGCACAGGGGCCGCTTTAAACAGCAAAATCACCAAAGGGACACGAGAGCAAAAACATGGCACACGCAAACCACAAAAAAGGACATTTACAGATGAGCAGAGACAGAAGGCAGGATGCGGCCACGCCCACCCCACCTGGGCACACAGAAGGCAGGACACGACCACGCCCACCTCACCTGGGGACACAAGGGAGGCAGGATGCAGCCACGCCCACCCCACCTGGGTACACACGGAAGACAGGATGCGGCTACGCCCACCCTACTTGGGCACACACACGGAAAACAGGATGCGGCCATGCCCATCCCGCCTGGGCACACATGGAAGACAGGATGTGGCCACGCCCACCCTACCTGGGCCCACACGGAAGACAGGATGCGGCCACACCCACCCCACCTGGGCGCACACTGAAGACAGGATGCGGCCACGCCCACCCCACCTGGGCACACACACGGAAGACAGGATGCGGCCACATCCACCCCACCTGGGCACACATGGAAGACAGGATGCGGCCACACCCACCCTACGTGGGCACACATGGAAGACAGGATGCAGCCACGCCCACCTCACCTGGGCACGCACGGAAGACAGGATGTGGCCACGCCCATCCCACCTGGGCACACATGGAAGACAGGATGCGGCCACGCCCACCTCACCTGGGCACGCACGGAAGACAGGATGTGGCCACGCCCATCCCACCTGGGCACACATGGAAGACAGGATGCAGCCACGCCCATCCCACCTGGGCGCACACAGGGGATGGCCCGAATTGTTTGCTGCTCCTCACATGTCCAAGAATGACCACAAAAGCACCACAAGTACTGATTTGGGGGTTGCCACTTTATCAAGGAGGCAAATGTGCAAATGCAGAATCCGAACAAGGGATTGGCTGCATCCACAGATGAAGGACCATGCACTTTTCTCCAAAGCCGCCATGCAGCAAAGACAGAGCAGCGACGTTAGGGCAGGGGCTGGGCAGGGATGGGCAAGGCTGTGGATGGCGATGTTTCAGAGACATCCGTTTGGCTGTTTCAACAGAGACCAACCTGCCACAGCTCAAGGGGCCTCCTGCCTGTCATCACCCCTGGGTGCTGGGCCAGCCACTGTGTGAGAGATTCTGGGATTCCAGGAAGGAAGGATGGGGGATGTTGGATGCAGTAAGCAGGTTCTGGTGCAGGAAATCAAGACACCGGCAAGACGAAGGGGTGGGCACAGCCAGGAGAGGAAGCATGTGAGACTGCGGAGCGACATGAGATGCAAAATCAAACACAAAATAAAACCACAAAATGAAACAAACCCAAAATAAAGCAAGTCACAGGACACATCAGCACTGCTGATGAAGACAGTGCCAGGAGCCCAGGAGCGGCTCACTCAGCCAGGCACGCAGGTCCCCACGGCCAAGGTTGGAAGCGGGGAGGTCCCACCCCTCCCTACTGAGCCCAAGGGCCATCAAGAGGGGCCAAGCAAGTTGGCGCCCAGCAGGCTGGATGACACGGGAGCCGAGCCATGATTGCGCCACTGCACTCCAGCCCGGGTGTCACAGTGAGACTCCATCTCACTGCACTCCAGCCTGGGTGTCACAGCGAGACTCCGTCTCACGTCTCAAAACAACAACAACAACAAAACTAAAACTGTGACTATTCTAGGAAAACACATGTTTAAAAGGCAAAATAGTTTATTTGAGCAAATACATTCTTGAATTGAGCAGCTGCAAACCAGAAGTGGTTGAGGGAATGCAGGGTGAAGGCTTTGATAAGAAGGATGCAGAAGTAAACCAAAGAAAAGCTTGGATTGGTGACAGTCACACTGTTGCCTGCTTCGGTCTGTCCCGCGGAGAAGCCTTAGTTATGTAAGTTTCTTGGCTGCTTTGGCTGGCTGAGCTTCAGCTCTGTTTTTCTTTAATATAGGCTCAAATTAAGTTTCACTTATGGGCTGGGCACCGTGGCTCATGCCTGCAATCCCGGCACTCTGGGAGGCCGAAGCAGGTGGATCACTTGAAATCAGGAGTTCAAGACCAGCTGGGCCAACAGGGTGAAACACCATCTCCACAAAAAATACAAAAATTAGCCAGGCACGGTGGTACGTGTCTGTTGTCCCAACTACTAAGGAGGCTGAGGCAGGAGAATCACTTGAACCCAGAGGGCGGAGGTTGCAGTGAGCTGAGATAGCACCACTGCACTCCAGGCAACAGAGGGAGACTCCATCTTGAAATTTTAAAAAAAAGTTTCATTTATATTTACAAATCAAGCAAGGTTGACAACACTCATGAGGCCTGCATGTTTTGTCTGCTCAGTCTCCATTTTAACTTAACTTTAGCAAACAGGAGAGTATCTTCATGACTTTGGGATCATGTGTTGAGTTATTTATCTGTTGAGCTATTTATGGTGTTTCTGAGTACATCTCTTCATCCACTTTTTTAGTTGCTGTTCTAGGTTATTACTTATACGTGGCTCATGACAGTTTGCCGGTGTTGACATTTTACCAGCTTCAGGGAAGTGCTGAAGCCTTCCCTCCCTGGTGTCCATTTAGTTCCCCACCTATAACATATCATAAACATTTCCTTTACATTTATCAAGAATCACATCAGTCGGTATTCTAATTTTTTTCTTCAACCATCACACATAATTTAGGAAACTCAAGAGGAGAAGGAAACCTATTATGTTCACTCATAATTCTGCCTACTGCGCTCTTTCTTCCTTCCTGATGTTCCAAGGTTTCTTCTTTCACTGTTTCCATTTCTGTTCCGAGACCTGCCTTAGCCACTCTTTTTTAGGTCCGCTGGTGACAAACACGCTTGGTTTTCCTTCATCTGAGGATGTCTTGACGCCCCTTTCATTCCTGAACGGTCTTCTCACTGGGTATAGCATTCTGGGTTGACGGTTCTCTTTCAGCGGTGAGGACAGCAGAGCCTCAGGCCTGAGGGTGCCTGCGCCCACCCCTTGAAGGGAGCGCCTGCATGTCAGGAGCACCCAGGAGCAGTCGGCAGCTGCTGGTGAGCAGCAGCAACTCCTTCACCAAGAGAGAAGTCGCTGCGATGGTGCCACCACAACAGAACTGACGTGTGTCACGAATGCTTGGCATAGAGCCGACCAGTGAGGAGACGGCTGTCAGATGCCGTGAAGATGGGAAGATGGAGGGCCGTGCTATGTCATGGCAACATACTTGGTGAAACAGTCCGTGAGGCAACCTGGAAGGAAGACAGAGGCAGGTGAGTGCTGCCTCTTGGGGAAGAAGTAGAACCAGAAGACAGGGCACGTGCTGCCTCGCAGAGACAGTGAGGCTGGCCTTGAGCCCGAAGGCCCATCACGGCAGGGGTGCATCCAGGCTGTGGCCCCCAGGTGGCCACCCTCAGTGGGGATGGCATGGGAAAGTGTGTCTGAGGGTAGGCGGGTGAGTGAATGGCCAAAGACCTGGCCAGAATCCCAGGAAAACCAGGCCCGGACTGGAACACCAGTAACTGTTGGGGCCTGACCACAGCTCCAGGCCCAAATGTCCCTGGGTGGGAAGTGGGCTGGTACCACAGCCGGGCCCCCAGGGCCCCCTTCAGACAGCCCCAGACAGGTGAGCAGGGATGGGAGGCAGAGTCTCCTGGCCCTGCTGTGCCCACCTGGAGGTGTGGGCTGGAGCTGCATGGGGACGGCAGCTCTGGGGAAGGAAGACGGGAGGGGAGGCTGTTTGGCAGCCTGAGGGGTGGACTGTGGCTCATGGCTGTGGCCGCCAAAGATGCCTTTCCCTTCTGGGCTGAAGCGATTCCATGCCGCCGGCCTCCCAGGCCATGGGGTATGGCCAGGAAAACGTGGCTGGAGGGATGGGACCCAGCCACAGAACCAGCCATGCGGGCCTGTGTGCAACCCCAGCACCATCCCAGCGGGGGAATGCCACCGCACAGATAAGCCAGCCCCGACCCCCAGCCCCCGACCCCCAGCCCTCTCACTGGGCTGGGCTGAGGCCTCCACGGCCCCCCGAGGGCTCAGGGCTTATCTGCGGCAGCCACAAGCTCACCTCAGTGAACACAGCACAGAAACACATCAACCTGCACCCAACCCAGCAACGCTGCTCCACGCTGCCAACAAGACGGGGAAGGGGATGCCGCAGAGCGTCCACAGGTGAGAGCTGGGGGTCCACTGAGCCCCCACCCCAAAGCAGCCCACATAACGGCCTGGGCTCTCTTCCTCCTGGGGTCAAAGACAGGCAGGCTCTGGGCCCACGCTGCTCACCCATCCTCCCTGAGCTCCAGCACCTTCTAAGTGAAGCAGGTTACTAACGAGTCACTGAACTTTGCAGCCACAGGCTGAGGCAGGAGCTGCCAGGATCCCACCTTGTGGCGAGCGGCCCCTTACCACTGCCCGGGGCTGGGCAAACACGGAGCTGGAGAGGGAACGGCACGCACTGCCAGGGCGGCCAACGACCCGGCCTCACCAGGGCAGGCAAGGCAGGAGGGCAGAGGCCAGGGCCAGCTGGTGGCGCGCATGGAGGGGTATGGCAGGCATGGCCTGGGCTCCCTTGCCCAGCTCGGCGTCTCTGGGGTTGGCCCACTTCAGGACTGGCCGGCCTTCCCGCCCTGTTCCCAGACTCATGCACCTGTGGACATGGGCACTTTCCTCCAAGCCGCATCTCCCTCCCGCACCAGGTGCTGGCCTATCTCTGGGTCTATACCCTGCAATCGGCTTCTCAGGTCTTCACCCCCCGGCCTCCCGTGACCACCCCCGCCCTTCATCTCCAGCGTCTCTGACTCACGCACCGGGCACCGGCCTTGCGCTTTGTCTTTTACTACAGATCCCAGTTCTGCTGTGCATTGGAGCTCCATTTGTACCACTCAGGGCCCTGGCAGGAATGGGGGTTCACGGCGTCCACACGCAAAGCCCTGTCCTGGGCATGTCAGGTCCCTTTCGCCCACACTGGCACCTGGATCTGCTTCACTTCATCTGCCCTGCGATCATCTAAGCTGTCCTCTCTCGCCTCATGGTCTCCACATTTCCTTATACTTTATTAAAAAACAAGTCAGCCGGGCGTGGTGGCTCACGCCTGTAATCCCAGCACTTTCGGAGGCTGAGGTGGGCAGATCACAAGGTCAGGAGTTCGAGACCAGCCTGGCCAATATGGTGAAACCCCGTCTCTACTAAATATACAAAAATTAGCCGGGCGTGGTGGCGGGCAGCTGTAGTCCCAGTACTGGGGAGGCAGAGGCAGGAGAATCGCTTAAACCTGGGAGACAGAGGTTGCAGTGAGCTGAGATCGTGCCACTGCACTCCAGGCTGGGTGACAGAGTGAGACTCTGTCTCAAAAAAAAAAAAAATTAATTAATTAAAAATAAATAAATAAATAAATAAAATGTCATCTTATTTCCCATAACAGACCTTTCTCAAGTGTGCCTGGACACAGCTGTGGAAGGAAATGGCCCCTCCTCCGCAGACATCCCACAGAAGCACCTGAGCTCTGTCTTCTCACTTTGTCTTGGAGCAAGGGAGGCCTTTCCGGGAGTTGTTTCCACAGAGGGGGGATTCTCTTTGGTTCCTGCCACAGTCAGGAATTGTACTGGCTGCATACAAAACACCATCACCACCAACAGGACCGTCATCACTACCACCACCATCAGCAATGCCAAAAACCTACAAAAGCACCACCACATAGGACGCCTGTAATCCCAGCTACTTGGGAGGCTGAACCCAGGAAGTGGAGGTTGCAGTGAGCTGAGACTGCGCCACTGCATTCAAGCCCAGGTGACACTGCAAGACTCTGTCTCACAAAAAAAAAGAAAAAGAAAGAAAGAAAAAACACCACCACCACCACCACCACCAAAAACAAAAACAATGATGAAAACATCAACAGAAATAACATCACTGCCAACAACAACAACATAAGCAACAGCAACACCAAAACACAACACTGCCATCAACACGGTAGCAGCAACCACAGCAAAAGTCAACTTCTCTCTCATGAGACCAGAGTTGGAGGTGGCCATGCCAGGCTGGGATCGGGTCCCCAGGGTCACCACATACGTAGGCAACCTCTGGCTTTTTTCTGCTCCACCTCCTCGCATGTGGCTTCCTGCCCAAGGTCACCTCATGGTTCAAATGGCTGCCAGAGCCCCAGCCATCACGCCTCAGTTTCAGGAAGCAAGAAAGAAGGAACACAAAGAACAGGGGACCCTTTTCCTAGCTGAGTCAGCTACGCTACTTTTTTTTTTTTTTTTTTTTTGAGATGGAGTCTCGCTGTCACCCAGGCTGGAGTGCAGTGGCACAATCTCGGCTCACTACAGGCTCCGCCCCCCAGGGTTCATGCCATTCTCCTGCCTCAGCCTCCCGCATAACTGGGACTACAGGCGCCCGCCACCTCACCCGGCTAATTTTTTGTATTTTTTAGTAGAGACGGGGTTTCACCATGTTAGCCGGGATGGTCTCGATCTCCTGACCTCGTGATCCACCCGCCTCGGCCTCCCAAAGTGCTGGGATTACAGGCATGAGCCACCGCGCCCGGTCAGTCGGCTACTTTTAAGGAGTCTTCCTGAAAGTCCTGTCTAACACTTTCACTCACATCTCATCAGACAGAACTTAGTCACATGGCCACACTCCACTGCAAGGAAGGTTGGGAGGTGGGGCCCAGCAGCTTGGGGTGGGGGACAGTGGGGTGGATCTGCCGCCACCCAGCCTCCACAGCGGGGAGCGAAGATGGTGAGGGAATCAGGATTAGCTCCACTGGGTCCTGTCCCAGGTCACGGAGGCAGTGCCAGCCCCTCCCACTGGACTGGGGCAGTCCCCCCATCCAAGGCTGTCACAAGGTCCCTGCCTTCCCCAGCTCTGAGACCCCAGCCTGGGTCTGCAGGAACCAGCAGGTCACACAGAGCAGGCTGAACGTCTGGCCCGTGCCGTCCCTGGCACCGTGTTGGGGGAATATCCCTGCGGCCATGGGGCTCCCCACCCACTGTGGGGTGAATGCGTCCCCCAAGGCTCATGTGTTGGAAACCTGATCCCCACAGTGGTGGTGTGGGGAGGTGGGACCTGATGGGAAGTGTTTGGGTCGGACGGCACCGCATTCATGAACGAATCGATGCTGCTGTCTTGGGAACGGGGCACATATTAAAGGGCAGGTTCCGACCCCATCTGCTCTCTCGCCTTCCTCCTTCCCCTCTGCCCTCTGCCACCTGACGACACAGCAAGAGACCCTCCAGATGCGGCTGCGCAATCTGGGACTTCCCAGCCTCCAGAAACTTGAGCCCGCCGACCCCTGTTCACGATCAGTTACCCAGACACGGTGCCGTTACAGCAGCAGCACGGAGAGAGGCAGGACCCGGAGTCACATCAGGATGCCAGCCTCGGCTCATACTCTCCAGCCAGCGTGACGGTCAGAGTGCAGCCCCCAGTGTGGGGGTGACGACAGGGGCAGAACAAAGGCGGCTGCTTCCCTAGGAGTCACTGCAGCAGGAGCCCCCCGGCTGAAGGTGGATCTGGCTGGGGTGGGCACCTTCCCTGGGGACTCCTTTGTGGCCCCTCAGGCTTCCAGCCAGGCCCTGGCCCCACGGCCCCTCCCATGACCTCCTTCCACTGGGCTCCTCCTCCCTCCCAGGGCACTGCCGCTGAGGGGCCGCCCCACCAGCCCTGCCCTGTGACTGGCAGTACAGCCGGCCCTCTGTGCCCGTTTTAAATGGCCTCAGACACACAAACAGGGGCAGAGGGGCAGGGTCTCCAGCCCTGCATGCCCATTTGGGGGTCTGGCGGGGGCTGTGAGGGGACGGTGGAGCTCTGGGCTGGCTCGCTCGGGGAGGGAGGTCGGGAACAGCGGCTGTTTGGCTGGGCCCAGGCTGGGAGTCAGATCCTGCCCGCAGCCATCTCTGCCTCCCTCAGACTCAGGCACCACATTTCCAAGCCCTCCAAAGGTCTCCTGAAGCCCCCACCAGGCCTGAGGCCAGAAGCAACCACCCTCTGCCTCGAGGGGCCCCTGCCAGGGACAGGATAAGTCAGCACCAAGGGGAAGGGGAGGCCACACGCACACGGCCAGCATGAACCTCACGCTTTGCCTGGGCCTCCCGCGTGTCCCTCCCTAAACCACAGATGGAGGCAACCTACGATCGCTCTTGTGCCCATGGGGAAACGAAGGCACAGGCGCTGAAGCAGCCCCCACGGTCACAGGGCTGACAGTGGCACCTGAGGCTCTGTGCCTCCCACTGTGGCCACCAGCCCGGCATGCGGTCCCCCACGCTGAGCAGCAGAAAGTATGGCAGGTCCAGCCCTCCAGCAGTCCACGGCCAGGGCCCTGGCATGCCCGCTCCAGGACGGGGACATCAGCGGTAGAGGAGACTGTGTCCAGCTGCAGGTGGACCCTGAGATGGGCCCAAGCTCCCCCGACGTGAAAGGCAGCTGCTCCGTCCTGGGCAGCACCTTCCTCAGGAAGAGGCCTGGCTCCTGCTGCCACCCCCACCCCCACCGCAGCCCCGGGAGAGGAGGCTGTGGCAGCCTCAAGCAGAGTTGCGTTTCCGGCCCCCGAGGGATGGCAGCTGTGAGGCTTGGCCACGGTCTCAGGCCACCAGGCCCCCGGGCTCGCCAGCGCTTTCACCGGATGGCCACCGGCTGGGCAGTTCTCGGGAGTCCACTTGGTCACCCGCTGCAGGGCTGCCCGCCTTCCCCGGCGGCCTGGCCGGCCCCTCCTGCGGTGGGTGGCGGCTGCACGGTGACCTTGCGGTAACCCAAGTGCCATCCGTCAGCAGACGGCCGCCCGCTCCGGAACACGGCGGCAGCTCATCTGAATTCAAATTACCCCGGGAGCCGCGCGATGCCAGCCATAACTCAGCCTGCGGAGGAGTGCGGCCGCCGCGGATCGGACGTTACCATACATTCCCGGGGCGTCGGACAGGGCTGCTAATGAAAATATCAATCAAAAACTTGCCTGACTTAATGGTCAATTTAAATTAATTAATTGGGGAGGAGAAAAAAGTTGAGGAGGGTGGCGTTGATGGGCTCCCTCTCTGGCGGGCGGGGAGAAGTGGGTGCCCGGCTGGGCACAGCCCCCAGGCCAGGAGATGGGGCCAAGCCTCCCCCGGGACCCTGGGGCATACCTGAGGGCCCAGGGGCCATGCCTGCCTGGGGCGGGTGTGAGGCCTGAGATTCCCGTCCCACATTTCTGGGCAGGCTGTGGGTGGCCTGTCCTACTCCAGCTGTGTCGTCTGCAGGGACCACTGGTGGCCAGGTGCCCCCTCCCTGAGGCATAGAAGAGCCCCTTGCTCAGTGGGGCCAGGGAGGGCTGGCATTGTGGGCATGGGCATGGGCCACGACTGGCTCAGGTCCCTGGGCCTCATCTTGTCTGTGACACAGTGGCCATGTCCACTGCCCAGCACTTCGCAGGGCCCACGGCAGGCAGGGTGGGGCTGGACGCAGGGCTCACCAGGGATGCCCCCAGGTCAGGCGCTGTGTCAAGGGAGACACAGGTATCCCTGCTTCATAGTGGAGAAACTGAGGCTCTGAGGGGGACTGGTGCTTCAAGAGGCAGAAAGCGCCGTGACCCCCCGAACCACAAATGTGACAGTGCGGAGGCTGACGGGTCATCCAGGAGTGAGACGGAGAAAGGAACAAGGCCCAGAAGGACGGCAGGGGTGACTGCGCAGGGACTCCAGGGCCCCCATTCCAGGCAAAACCTGTAGGAAGATTCCCACTCAGCCCCTCTGGAGACATCTACATCCTCAAAGGCAATAACAGAACCCTCCGCGCAAACCAAAGGTGAGGACTCACAGCCAGGCCAGCCCGCCTCCCCGCCACCACGCCAGGTACCGCCACGCTGCGGGTCTGGCTGAGAAGGCACCTGGAATTCTGTCCCAGATGCTGTGTTTCACGCCAGATGACAGCAAAGCTCTCCCCTGACATGCGGGCACACTCCAGACTCCCCCAGAGGCCCTCCTGGAAGAACCACTCAAGGACCCAAGGGCCCAAAAGGCATCAGAAGGTCCTATGTCCCGGCCCACGTGGTCAGGGGTCACACCAGGTGATCAGAAGCCCCCACGTCCCGGCCCACGTGGTCAGGGTCACGCCAAGTGATCAGAAGCCCCCACGTCCCGGCCCACGTGGTCAGGGGTCACACCAGGTGATCAGAAGGCCCCACGTCCCAGCCCACGTGGTCAGGGTCACGCCAGGTGATCAGAAGGCCCCACGTCCCGGCCCACGTGGTCAGGGTCACGCCAGGTGATCAGAAGCCCCCACGTCCCGACCCACGTGGTCAGGGGTCACACCAGGTGATCAGAAGGCCCCACGTCCCGGCCCACGTGGTCAGGGGTCACACCAGGTGATCAGAAGGCCCCACGTCCCAGCCCACGTGGTCAGGGTCACGCCAGGTGATCAGAAGGCCCCACGTCCCGACCCACGTGGTCAGGGGTCACACCAGGTGATCAGAAGGCCCCACGTCCCGGCCCACGTGGTCAGGGGTCACACCAGGTGATCAGAAGGCCCCACGTCCCGGCCCACGTGGTCAGGGTCACGCCAGGTGATCAGAAGCCCCCACGTCCCGACCCACGTGGTCAGGGTCACACCAGGTGATCAGAAGGCCCCACGTCCCGGCCCACGTGGTCAGGGTCACACCAGGTGATCAGAAGGCCCCACGTCCCGGCCCACGTGGTCAGGGGTCACACCAGGTGATCAGAAGGCCCCACGTCCCGGCCCACGTGGTCAGGGTCACGCCAGGTGATCAGAAGCCCCCATGTCCCGACCCACGTGGTCAGGGTCACGCCAGGTGATCAGAAGGCCCCACGTCCCGACCCACGTGGTCAGGGTCACGCCAGGTGATCAGAAGGCCCTACGTACCAGCCCATGTGGTCAGGGTCACGCCAGGTGATCAGAAGGCCCCACGTCCCGGCCCACATGGTCAGGGTCACGCCAGGTGATCAGAAGGCCCCACGTCCCGGCCCACGTGGTCAGGGTCACGCCAAGTGGAGCCTTGGGGGAGACTGAAGCCACCGCCCTGGCCAGCACAGGTCATGTCTGGGCAGCCAGGAGCTGTCCAGAGACCCCAGAGGCAGGTTCAGCGGGTGGGATCTGGGCTTCCAACCCCTTCCCCAGGATCCGCCCATCAGAATCCTCCACAGGATCCTCTGCAGAGCCTTCCAGGAGGCGGCCCAGCATGTTTTTCCTGCCCCGACTCGGTGTGGCTGCCTGCCAGGGTGCAGGGGAAGTGGTGTGAGCCCCTGCCGTCCTTCTGGGCCTTGTTCCTGTCTCCATCTGGCTCCTGGATGACCCTGGTGCATAGGGCTTTCGTCTTGTGCTCTGCCCACACCAGGAGCAGAGCAAGCCAGGGGCGGTTGGCCCAGGAGGAGGAGGTAGGGGTCAGGCCGGACCTTACCCCAAGCTGAGCCCAAGTGACTACAGCTGCATGGAGCATGAACAGACGGTGGCCGTCACGAGCCGTCCACGTGGGCTTTCCTTCCACAGCATCTCACAGCAGAAGCTGACCCAGACAGCAGAGCCCAGGGAGCCCGACGCAGACCAGAGGCTGCCAGTCACACAGAACAGGAAGAACCCCGATCACCAGACCCAGCGGGGAAGTCGGGGAGGACCCAGTGTAGACTCTCAGCCACGGCCATGCCCTGAGCCCGGGGGGACCAGGGGAGGACCCGGGACAGTGTAGACTCTCAGCCACAGCCATGCCCTGAGCCCGGGGGGACCCGGGGAGGACCTGGGACAGTGTAGACTCTCAGCCACAGTGATGTTTTGCATCTGGGGGACCCGGGACAGTGTAAACTCTCAGCCACGGCCATGCCCTGAGCCCGGGGGGACCCGGGGAGGACCCGGGACAGTGCAGACTCTCAGCCACAGTGATGTTTTGAGTCTGGGGGACCCAGGACAGTGTAGACTCTCAGCTACAGCCATGCCCTGAGCCCAGAGACTCAGCCTGGCAGTGCCAACACACAGCCCTGAGTCTCCATCACAAACCCACCCACTGTTCATCCAACTGATTGAGCCCCTGGCCAGGGCTCAATCACAGGTTCTGTGGCCTGTATGTGGGGAGGGGCCAGCCCTCCCCCAGCCTCCAGATGGAGAGGGTGGGGGCCTGGCCTGGAGGCTGCCTGAGGGCAGGGGCTGTGGGACAGGACAGACTAAGGCTTGGCAAAGAGTGGCAACCATGGGCCCAGTGAGGCCAGCCAGAGGCACAGGACCAAGCGTGGCCATGTGGACGCAGGCCAGGAGGGTGGGGCTTCGCTCCGGTGCCCCCAGGTCGGCCCCCAGGAAGCCGTCCAGCTTGGCCTTGCACCCTCACACACAGCCTCCCTCAGCCAACCAGGTCCCCACCGGCCCCAGCACTGGGCACTCAGGGCCCAGCCCAGCAGGAGAAGGGAACACGACCACTACCATTTGACCCCAAGGCACCCAGAGTGCTCAGGCAGGGCCTGATCCTGCTGAGGCCATGGTGGCCGCTTGGTTGGTGTTTCTGTTCCCTGAGTAGCTCACGCCCTCGGGTGACAGAGCAGCCGTGAACTGCCGACTGACGGATACACCTCCCGGAATGTTTATGGACCACAGTCACTTGTATAACCACGGGGCTGCTTACGCTGGAGACTCAGATGGAAAGCACCCTGGGGTGCCACACACACCCAGTCCCCTGCTTGGAGCCCACCTGGCCACAGCTCCCCAGCAGACCCTGCCAGGCTGACCCCTCCCCACAGCATGGTGGAGAGCTGGGGCTCCCATCCGCCGTGGGCCTGATCCTTCTTGTCCTCTCCACATTCTCCAGGGCAGAGACAGTGTCCACACTGGGGCCAAGTGGCCAAGAGCTGCAGCTGAGGCCTGCAGGGGAAGGGTGTCGGGGAGGAAGCCCAGGGCCAGAGGGTCCCACTCCCTCCCTCCACCACCCCCTTGCCCTCTGGCATGTGTCCCAGCAGCAGCCCCACCTGGGGGTCTCCACTCAGCAGGGCAGCCCCTCCAGAGGTCATGCAGGGGGCCTGGAGCTTGAGCCATGAGCCTCCCACCCACCATGAAGTGACTCTGGGAGAGACAGGCTCTGCTTGTGAGCTGATGCCCGCAGGCAAGTCCCATCTACCTTCAGGGTCCTCCTGTCAACGGCAGCATCCAGTGATGAGGCTGAGAGGATTCCATAGGCCCTGGGGTCAACCCACATGCACCTGGGTGGGGAGGGTGGCACGGGGGGAGGGTGCACCTCAGGGGGTGGGTGGCATGAAGGGAGGGTGCACCTGGGCGGGGAGGGTGGCACGGGGGAGGGCACGCACGTGGGCAGGGAGGGTGGCCCAGGGGAGGGTGTACCTGAACAGGGAGGGTGGCATAGGGGGAGGGTGGCACGGGGGGAGGGTGGCATGGGGGGAGGGTGTACCTGGACGGGGAGGGTGGCACGGGGGGAGGGTGCCACGGGGGGAGGGTGGCATGGGGGAGAGTGGCATGGGGGGGGTGGCATGGGGAGGGTGGCATGGGGGAGGGTGGCATGGGAGAGGGTGGCATGGGGGAGGGTGGCATGGGGGAGGGTGGCATGGCGGGAGGGTGGCACGGGGAGGGTGGCATGGCGGGAGGGTGGCACGGGGAGAGTGGCATGGCGGGAGGGTGGCATGGGGGAGGGTGGCATGGGGGGAGGGTGCACCTCGGGGGGTGCGTGGCACGAAGGGAGGGCGCACCTGGGCGGGGAGGGTGGCACGGGGGGAGGGTGGCATGGGGGGAGGGTGGCAGGGGGAGCATGCCACGGGGGGAGGGTGGCATGGGGGAGAGTGGCATGGGGAGGGTGGCATGGGGGGAGGGTGGCATGGGGGAGGGTGGCATGGTGGGAGGGTGGCACGGGAAGAGTGGCATGGCGGGAGGGTGGCATGGGGGAGGGTGGCATGGGGGAGTGGCATGGGGGGGAGGGTGCCATGGGGGGAGGGTGGCATGGGGGAGTGGCATGGGGGGAGGGTGCCATGGGGGGAGGGTGGCATGGGGGAGGGTGGCATGGGGGAGGTTGGCATGGGGGGAGGGCACACACTTGCACTAAGACTCCCCAGGCTTCGCCCACTGCAGGGTCCCCTACTCCGTAGCCCAAGATAAGGGGGCCTTGGAACACCTGAGTTTGAGTACCTTCTCCCCTGGGGCCCTGTGTGCCTTAAATCCACGATGAGTCCCCGTGACCGCGTGGTCTCCAGGAGGCAGGGGCCGTGGGGTTCTCCTCTCACCCACGTCCACCCCAGGATGTGCGCCATGCCTGCGTTGGGGGACAGCACCTCGATCCCCTCCAGGCGGATACCTCGCCCAGCCCAGCTGGGAAGAGGAAGGAGCAGGGTCCCTGGGGCACTAGAGTGGGCCAGACCCATGGTGGAGGGAGCCCCATCCCCACCGCACCTGGGACCCCAGGGGGTCTGCACTCTCCACCAGGACTCCAGGGCCCACAGAGGGAGGCCGAGGCTGTGGCCACCACCTAGAGTCAATCTCTGCTGCCACCCAGCGGCCTCCAGGGGAAGTGCGGGCGAAGCCTCAGGCCAGGCCAGACCACCCGGCAGCTGGGCCCGCCAGGGAAAGCGGAGCCTGGGGCCTCAGGACCCCTCTAGGGTGGCCCGAGTCAGTCCTGGGCCTCGACTGTGCCCTGGAGGCCTGGCCAGGGGGCAGTAGGAGACATGTCCGTCCTGAGGGCCACTGGCCATGGCCTTGGCCTGGGGTTGGGCCTGTCCAGGCTCCACCAGCTCTGGGCCACCCCCTCATCCTGCCTGTGGCTGCCCGCACGGGTCCTCAGCAGACAGGAGCTGCCCAGGGCTAAGGCAGGGCCTTGCCAGTGCCCAGCTTCAGTGAAGAGTACAAGGGGGACTCCCAGAGCAGGGCTCTCAGGCCCAGACTCAGCCCCTTGGGAAGAGGGACCCAACCTGGGGTCCCTTTGGGAGGCTGAGGCAGGAGGATCGTTTGAGTCTCCGAAGGCAGTTAGTCCCGGAAGCAGCTCTGAGAACAAGGCTGGGCCCACCCCGGCCCACCCACAGCTCATCTCTGTGGCCAGAGGGCTGGCCCAGCTCCACCACACACGGCCTCGCTGGGGACAGCCTGGGCCTCACACCCCGGCTTAAAGCTGTGGTTTATTCAGATGGGCCCTGGCCTGAGCAGATGCCGGATGGAGCTTCCCCTCTCCCAGACCTTCCCTTCTGTGCTCCCTTCCTCATCCTTCCCCATGTCCCCCTGCTTCCCCCTCCGCCCAGCACAAAAAGACCACAGTGAGACCCCGCTGGACACCTCACCCGGCTGCCTGCCTGCCAGGTGTGGTGAGGGTATGAGTCCTGGACAAGGGGACCAACTCCTCACACACAGGGGTAGGTCATCCCCTTCCAAGCTGTCGGAGCTGCCCACGAGGCAGGTGCACAAGACAGCCTGGCCCTGGTGCCACCTGCTGCAGGGGCCTGAGACACCCTGTCCTCTGAGCTGCCCGTGACCAGGGGGTCAGAGCCCACCTTGGTGTTGTGGCCCCCATGGTGTCTGCTGAGACCACTCACCTCTGCCACTGCAGCCGAAACAGCCACAGCCAAGGTCTACACAAATGCACGTCGGGGAGTTCCCATCAAACTCTACGGAAACAGGCCGCGTCTGTATGTGGCCAGTGGGCCGCGGTTTGCCGACCCCCAACTCATGGATCACGTGTCACGAATCGTGTATGGGGACACACAGGCAAGAGCAGGGTCTACAAAAATACACGCCCCGGGCCCCGTTCAGCCAGTCCGTCCCACACCTGAGGCAGGCTCAGCAATTCCCCTCAGCCTCACCGCCACTCCCAAGACAGGCCAGGAGCCTGCTCTAAACACCATCGTGGAAGCCAGACAGAAAAGGCCCGCACAGCATGATCCCACGTCTACGAAATGCCCAGCTCCACAGAGACAACAAGCGGAGGGGAGGCTGCCAGGGCAGGGCAGGGTGGGGAGCGCCCACTCGTGGGGAGGGGGCTCATTTGGGCGATGGGATAAAATGGTTTGGAACCAGAGAGAGGCGGTGTCTGCACCATCTCACGAATGTACTAAATGCCAGTTAACTGAACACTAAATTTTATGTTGAGGCTGGGCACCATGGCACGCGCCTGCAGTCCCAGCACTTTGGGAGGGTGAGGCAGGAGGACTGTTTGAGCCCCAGAGGTCAAGACTGCAGTGAGCCATGATCACACCACTGCACTCCAATCTTGGTGACTGGGGGAGACCCTGTCTCAAAAATAATATAATAATAAATTAATAAATGTATTAATACTAACAATAAAAACAATGTTTCCAATAAATTATTATAACACTTTAGAGGAGAAAGACTGGAGTCAGGATGGCTCTGACTCTGCCACCTGTCACTTGAGAGGCATACGACTTGGAGCGGGGCTGAGGCAGGCGGAGACCCTGCTTGGGGCTTCCCAGCAGCCTTTTGCCCCGGGAGCTGCAATAGCAGCGGTGGACAAGCCAGAGGCAGCCCCAGGCCTGCTGTGGGCAGCAAAGGTCTCCATCAACCCCATGTCCCAGGCAAGGCCAGGTCTCTGGGCCTCAGTGTGGGGCAGTGAGGCCAGCTTGCAGCCCAGGCCGTTCCCACACATGCTAACCTCTGAGAGTCCAGGGACAGCACTGTGGGGCTCCTGTGCCGGGCATTACGGCTTCCTGTCCCTGGAGTGTGTCCCCCGCTGCCTGGGAACTCCTCAGGGAAGGGCACACAGCAGTCCCAGGGAAACAGCCTCTGAGCTGAAGGCGCCCAACCACAGAGGGAAGGTGCCATATCCACGGTGCACTGGGCAGCCTCTGAGACGCCCCAGAGAAAGAGAGTGGGGAGACTGAGGCACCCTACAGAAGGAAAAAGCTATAGAAACACTGATTCAAGAAGCTAAAAAAAACAGCCAAATCAACCAGCAAACACGTGGAATAAACACACAGAAAAGCCGCTCCCACAGGCAACCCACTGAAAACCAAAAATACAGAGATCTTAAAAGCTTCCTGAGGACGGGGGACACATGATATACAAGGAAACAGCAACAAAAAAATTGCTCCTCACTTTTAAAAATTATCCAAGCCACGGCCAGGCATGGTGGCTCACGCCTGTAATCCCAACACTTTGGGAGGCCAAGATGGGTGGATCACTTGAGGTCAGGAGTCTGAGACCAGCCTGGCCAACATGATGAAACCCCGTCTCTAGTACAAATACAAAAAATTATAGGGGTGTGGTGGCACGTGCCTGTAATCCCAGCTACTCAGGAGGGTGAGGTAGGAGAATCGCTTGAACCCGGTAGGTGGAGGTCGCAGTGAGCTGAGATTACTCCACTGCACTCCAGCCTGGGTGACACAGTAAGATTCCATCTCAAAAAAAAAAAAAAAAAAGTTTAGTATTTGGAGATACGGTCTCTAAAGAGGTAGTTAGGGTTAAATAAGGTCACACGAGTCGGTCCTAATCTAATCTGACCTGTGTCCTCATAGGAAGAGGAAGAAGATGAGGACACAGACACACACAGAGAAACGACCACGTGCAGACAGGGAGATAGTGGCCGCCTTTGAACCACAGAGCGAGGCCCTGGGAGAAAGTGGCCCTCCTGATGCTTCCATCTCGGACTTCCAGCCTCCAGAACTGGGAGGAGAGACAGCTCTGCTGTTTAAGCCCACTGTGCAGTATTCTGACATGGACCCCCAAGAAGACCGACCCACAGATGACAAGAGAACTGTCACATGACCGTCTCAACAGACAACTAACAAATAATAAAAGCAACACCCATTCGTGACGTTTTATCATCTGCGCCCTTAGAGTAGAGCCACGGGGACAAAGCTGGAACGAAGCCTGAGTCCTCTCATCACCATCCTTGACTCAGCAGCCGTCTGAAGCCACAGAACGCTCCACAGGCGTGCATGCACGTGGGCAGTTTGCACGCCTGTGTATACACACCACGCAGGCACACACTACACAGTGCTCACACGTGTGCATATTATACAGTTGTACATGGACACACATGCCCATGTGCACACAGACCCACCTGCAAATACCTGTGGACACACAGTTACACGTGCACACACACAGGTACACTTACACACAGACTCCCATGCAGAAAATGTAGGCACACATGTAGTTATGCCTGTAGGCACATATGCACACACGTGCACAGACATACATGCATGTGCACAGGGCGCACGCAGGCATAGGTACACACTCGTGCTCACACGCATAGGTACACGCTCATGCTCACACGCATAGGTACATGCTCATGCGCACACACATAGGTACACGCTCATGTGCACACACATAGCTTTACACTCATGCTCACAAACATAGGTACTCATGCTCACACACATAGGTACACGTGCTCACATGCATAGGTACACTCATGCTCACACACACGAGCGCATATCTCCCTGCATTCCAAACGGTGAAACACTCACAGGCTTCATTATTTAAACCATAATTTACACCAATGCAATAAACCTAGAAATGAATGCAAAGGTCTAAAGAAGCAGCCAGATGATTTGAAAGTTTAGAAATGCTCTAAACAACTCCTGGGTCAGAGGGTAAATAAAATTCGCCTCAAGAGACGATTTTATAATTATATGGAAAGAGAAATTGCAGGTCCACGAAGCCAGATGGAGGAGGAGTTGGTGGAGAATTCACAACTTTAAATGCTTTTATTACTGAGCAAGAGAGACTGGAAATAAATGAACAAAATACTCGACACAGGAGGGAAAAACAACCATAAAGCAGATTCACGGGAGGCAGGAGAGGCGGGAATGAAGATAAAGGCAGAATTAATGAATTGGAAACAAGAAGAATGGGTGAGCCCATCAGTAAATCCAAGAGCCGGTTCTTCCCAATAAATAAATAAATAAAATAAGCAAGGCTCCAAGCATCTCATCAACAGAGCGGGGAAGCAAGGGAGCCCGGGACCGAGAGGGGATCAGAGCAGCCCAGGAGATTGAAAGTGACAGCTAATGCATTCGATATTCCTCACAAAACTGACCATTCTCCAAGAACATATACATTACCAGAATTAACTTAAAGAGGTTTTAAAAAAAAAATCTATATCCATAACTGCAGGAAAAGAGAAAAGGGGGCATGACTGGGGGGTCTGGCTACAGGACCTCACTTCCTGTTCAGCACCAACGCAGAACCCACCATTCAGGGCAATGAGGCTGTGGCTGGGGGAGCGCCCGGGGTTTCAGGGACACCCGGGAGGACCAGCAGAACACCAGGAGGGGCCCAGGGAGGGGCTCTCTGGCAGTGAGTAGCAGGTGGCAGAGGGAGTGCGGGGTTTGCAGCCTGTGAGGGAACCGGGGCCTCTTCACTGGCTGTCCGGGAAACTGGATTGGAGCCCACAGTGGACTCTGCCTGCCTGTGACCCTGACCTCGGGGTGTGGCAGGAGGTGTCTAAGCTGCTTCGTGCAAACAGGACTCCCCTGTATGGGGTCCAGTGGAGACAGGGCAGGGTGGGCAGGAGGGAAGAGGTCTCTGCTGAGGGCTCCTGTTACCCTCTGAGCTCCATCCCTGCCCCCACAACCCCTCCACACCCGTCCACACACACAGAGGAAAGCAGGGAAGGGGCAGAGTCAGCCCTGAGGTCTAATACAGCTCTCAGGGCCACCACCTCGGCCACCATGTTCAGCCATCAACCAGCAGCTCCCTCCCCTGTTCCCATCTGGTTTCACATCAAGATCATACGTGCCTGGGACATAATTTGGGCACGGTCTTTTTTTTCCATTCTCTGAACGGAATTATGAAAGGCTGGAATTTCCTCCCTTATGCATTTTGTGGAGGTTGTCTATAAAATCATCTGGGGGCCAGGCATGGTGGCTCACGCCTGTAATACCAGAACTTTGGGAGGCCAAGGTGGGTGGATCACCTGAGGTCAGGAGTTCAAGACCAGCCTGGCCAACATGGTGAAACCCCGTCTCTACTAAAAACACAAAAAAATTAGCCAGGCATGGTGGTGCGCGCCTGTAATCCCAGTTACTCGGGAGGCTGAGGCAGGGGAACTGCTTGAACCCAGGAGACAGAGATTGCAGTGAGTCAAGATCACACCACTGCACTCCAGCCTGGGCAACAAGAGAGAAACTCTGTCTCAAAAAAAAAAAAATAAAAAAATAAAATCATCTGGGGCTGAGGCTTTCTTTGCAGGAAGATTTTAAACTACTGTTTCATTCTGGTAAGTGGCTGCAGGACTATTTACAGGTTCTCTTTCTCCTTGAGTCAGTTTTTAGCAATTTTTTCCAGGAATTTGTCTGTTTCCTCTAAGTCATTCATAATATCCTCTATCTTTATAATCCAGACTGCATCTCTAGTTCTGCCTCTCTTTTCATTCCCAGTAGTATTTATTTGCTCATTCTCCCCTTTTCTCAATTAAGCTAAAAGACTTTTGCCAGTTATTTGGTCTCACAAAGAAAACCTTGTGGGTCTTCTCCGCTGTGGCTTTGTTGTCAGTTTCATTCATTTCTGGGTTTTGTTTTGTTTTTTTGAGACAGGGTCTCGCACTGTCATCCAGGCTGGAGTGGAGTAGTGTGATCTTGGCTCACTGCAGCCTCAACCTCCGGGACTCAAACAATCTTCCCACCTCAGCCTCCTAAGAAGCTGGTACTACAAGCATGAGCCACCACACCCAACTAATTTTTTTATTTTTAGTAGAGACGAGGTCTTGCTATGTTGCCCAGGCTGGTCCCAAACTCCTGAACTCAAGCAATCCTCCCCGCTGTTGGCCTTCCAAAGTGCTAGGACTGCAGGCGCCAGCCACTGTGCCCAGCTATTTTTCACTCCTATTTCTTCTAATACAGTCACTGAGGACTGTAAATTCCCTTCTACACACCACTTGGGATCTACTCCACAAGCACGGATCTGCCGCGCCCACTGCCAACGGTTCTAAGTCTTTTCTCACTTCCGTTGATTTCTTCTATAACCCATGAGTTACATCAAGTGCATTTTTGGAATTTCTGAAACACATGAGGTTTTGTTTGCTTTTTGGTATTGAGTTGTGGTCAGAAGATAGGACCTGTATAATACTAATTCTTTTTTTTTTTTTTTTTTTTTTTTTGAGATGGAGTCTTGCTCTGTCGCCCAGGCTGGAGTGCAGTGGCGCGATCTCGGCTCACTGCAAGCTCTGCCTTCTGGGTTCACACCATTCTCCTGCCTCAGCCTCCCGACTAGCTGGGACTACAGGCACCCGCCACCACGCCCGGCTAATTTTCTTTTTGTATTTTTAGTAGAGATGGGGTTTCACCTTGGTAGCCAGGATGGTCTCGATCTCCTGACCTCATGATCTGCCCACCTCAGCCTCCCAAAGTGCTGGGATTACAGGCGTGAGCCGCCACGCCCGGCCATGATACTAATTCTTTGAAATGTACTGGCATTTGCTTTCTGGCCTATAAATAGTCCATTTCTGATAGGCTCCATGTGTGCCTGAAACTAATGTGATTTCCCAGCTGGGTGAGCCCCATTCCATAGACACCCCTCCGCTCAAGCCCAGGAGCCAGCACCATCAAACCTCATGTATCCTTATTGTTTCCTTTTGAGTCTACTTGACCGATTAACCACCAAGAGGATTACGAGACCTCTGCCTAGGACGGGGGTTGTGAATTTCTCCTCGCAGTTGGCTGGGTTTTGCGGCAGTGCATTGCTTTGGGAAACAGCTAACTTTGTGGTGTTGCCCCGTTCACGGGAGATCCCGTCCGTCCTCGCGCTTCAAGCTTCCCGCTGTACGTGGACTCACTCCTGCGCTCTCCACCTGAGCCCACGGCCTCGGGCACCTGGCTCACTCGTCCCTCAGGGCCTTCACACTGGCTGTCCTGGGTGGAACTCACTTCCCCAGATCCCATGCCCTCACCTCCTGAGTCTAGAGCAGCAGCCAAGAATTGGCCAATCCACCTCTGTCAGAGGAGAAAGTGCGTGCCTGCCCAAGACCTGGGTTTTTCGGGTACAGAGGGGTCCGCGTCTGCGTCTGCCAGACCAGGCATCGGGAGGCCACGGGGCTAGCATGGGGCCCAGGGTCCTCAAGGGAGACCTCCCTCCCTCCACCCAAAGGCCAGCCAGGAGGAGAGCTGAAATTCCTGCTCTTGCTGGGGGGGGGTCCCATCTGCAGGGCTGGAACAGCGAAGGTGCCCCTCCAGTGTTACCCATGGCCCCAGCATCTGCCCCTCCTCCCCCCAGGGCACTGGCTGAGCTGCACATGCGGCGGCGAGCACGAGAACAAGGAGCTCCCGCTGCACCAGAGCACGGGCAGGCTCCTCTCCTGGTGAGGGCTGCCTGGTGAGGGCCACAACCGTCTGGGGCTGGGGAGTGCCTGGGCAGACAAGCTCTCGGCACAGGGAGGTCCGGGGCTCTCAGCTGGGCTGGGCTGCCATGCCTCCGGCACCCATGCTCGGGTGGGGGGTGGGGGCGGGGATGGCCAGAGAATAGGCCCAGGATAAGGAACAAAAAGTTAGACAAGCACGGGGCCTGTGACTGCAGGGGACTGGCTGGCTCTGAGGCCCTGGCACAGAGGCTGCCACCCCACGCTGCCAGGGAGGCTCCCAGCCAGGCCGTCCCCACCTCCCCGGGTCTTCAGAGGCTCTGGGCAGGGCTGGAGGGAACGGTTGGGGGTGAGGCCAGCCCTCGAGGGACAGAGGGAGCCTGGGGGAGGATGGAGACGTATTCAGGAGAAGACATAGGTGTGGATGCTCTGGGAAGGGTGGGGAAGCCATCCCTCTCTCATCCCCATATCCCTGCCCCACCTCGCCTCAGCCTCTTCCCCTCAGGAGCCCTCCACAGGGACAGGAGCCCTGCAGTGGGGAAGGCCCCAGGAGAGGGGGAGGGCTGGGGGCAGCCCGGCAGGGGTGGGCAGGGGTGGGCAGGGGTGGGCCACTGCAGCAGTGCTGGGGGCTAGGGGCAGGGAGGGGCCTGTCTGAAGGATCCCAGCCTTGGGACTGAGGAGTGGCCTCACAGGCCCCCAGCGCAGGAAGGGAGCTGTCCCAGGGTACCAGGCACAACCCCGGCCCTCCCACCATGTCTGCCCAGCCCAGTGGATCCCACACGGGCTGACCGCTGAGGTGGGTGCCCAAAGCAGGTCCCAGGGACCCAGGGGCTGCACTGTGCCTCAGGCCCCCCATTCCTCCCATCCACCTGTCCACGGCTCTGGGGTCACCCCAGAGGGCCCTGGGACCCCCTGCCTGTGGCTAGTCGAGGAAAGACCAAGTCCAGGCCCACCGTGGGTGACACAGCTGAGCAGCCCCCACCCCACCAGAACTTCCTGCAGCTTCAGCAGCAGCCTCTCTCCATCCCCAAGGGGCCAAGCATCCACACGAGGCAGCAGGCCAACCCCCAAGGCTGCCCCCGGCCTCAGGCAGGTGACCCTGCAGGGCCAACCAAGGGACTCAAATGCCCCTGGTGAGGGTCCTGGCCCCCCATTCCAGGAAACACGCAGACACGCCCAAGGGAAAATACAGCCCTGGGGACAAGCCCCAGGGGCCGGGCTGTGAGCTCACTCGCACACACACGCCACCCTGTGCTAGGCAGACAGGGGACCCAAGGGTGCCCTGAACCTTCCGTCTCAGTCTCCCCACCCGCAGAGGACACAGCAGGTCGGCACTGCAGAAGAACCGGCTGCACTGCCCCACCGAGGGCCCCACCAACCAGACACCCTACATCAAGGGCACCGAGGGGAATGGCCCTGGGCTCGGGCCTCAGGAGGAGCCTCCAGCCCCACTCACCAGCCAGCCGGAAAGGTTCTGCCCAGGAGAGCCAGAGGTTTGGGGAAGGAGGAGATGAGGTAGGGTAGGAGGTGAGAGAGGTGGGGAAGCCCTGGGGGAAGGTGGCAAGTCCAAGGGTTGCAGGCAGGACCAGACGCTCCGTCAAGGGAAGGGGAGTGTCGGAGGGGTGGGGGGCGGCTGGTGACTGCACACGTAAACCCCAGCTCACCCCACATCCCCTCGCTCCCACACACCCAGGCCAGGCTCAGAGCTGGTGAGGGGCCCCTGGGCTGGGGTGTGAGCAGTCAGTGGCCCCCCTCCTCCTGCCTGTCCTTGAAGGGGACTCAGGTAGCGAGAGTCAGCTGGGAACTGTTCTAGACTCCAGGTAACACAGTGGACAGATCTCCCAAACCTGGGTCACCATCCAGCGGGAGGGGACGCCGGGTGGACTCAGCGTAGAGAGTGACTGCAGGGAGGGGGCGAGGCCCCACCTGCCCCTGGGGCATCCAGGCCTTGGTGGGGACCTCGGGCCCCTCTGCAGCCACAGCGACACACCCTGCCTCATCTCTGACGCCCTCCCCGACCTGCAGCAGAGGGCCCTGTGGGACCCTGGCAGGCCTGACACCACCACCATGCCAGCCCCACAGCCCTGTCTCCCATTGCTGTCCAGATTGCCATGTCCTGCAGACCAGTGGCCGGTGCCCTGGAGGCCACTCCAGCCCCACAGCCAGCCTCTGACCTGAGGGACCCTGCCCTGTACTAAGTCATCTCAGAGCACCGCCCGCCCCACCCCAAATCCCAGCACCCTGGATGACTACGCAGGTGACTGTGGCTTTTGCTAAACCACCCGGAGCTGATCTCCACAAATTTAATCCAAAACACAACCTTCCTGTGCAGTCTGGCAACTGTGTCAAAGTCCAATGCCAGGGCCCTCCCTTCCCTTCACACGAGGCCAGGGGTGGCTCTGGGGAGCAGGTGACACTCTCTTGAGCCCCTGTTCTGTCAGTCCCAGCACAGGAGCCACCCAGGGCCTGCCAACGACAGGAGGGCTCCTGACCCCGGGCCAGCACAGCAGGAGAGTAGGCACTGCCCCAACGGAGGAGGGCAGAGCCTGGCCAGGAAGGGGGATCCCACTTGCTAAGGCCCCAAACTCCCCAGCGCCATCCCCCGTCTTGCAGGGCAGAGGCAGGAGGGTCACCCGAGAGCCAGAACCCCACTTTCACCCAAGCAGCTCGGCCTCAGGAAAGCTGATCCAACAAAACCACACCACTCGCCACCTTTGCCCACCTTTGATCTGTGGCCCATGTCAGTTAAGAAAGTGGCATTGATTAACTTCAATGACCTTTCATGAATTGTATTGAGAAAAAAACAAGAAAATTTCAAAAAAGTATTAATGTTTTCTTTTGCTATCGCAAACTCGAAACCCCTACGATTTTATTAAAAGTGCAAGAATGAAAAACAGGAAATCCCTTGCCTTGTCTGGTTCTGAGCCAGAGACCAGAGGCCTGAGGCGCAGCCAGGCCCACTTCAGATGGTGGAAACGAAAATTAATCAGAAGTCGTATGCACAAAGCAAAGGCCTTGTATTAAATTCACAGAGTGGGTGCTGACGGGTGCTGCCGGCAGGACAGCCTTCCCAGAGGTCTGGCACTACACCCCACCTGAAGGTGCAAGGGCCCTCCCAGGCCACGGGAAGCAGGGACTCATGGCACCTTGGTCTGCCCCAAAGGCCATCACTGCCACCGGTGGAAAACCAGGCGGCCACAAGCTGGCGGTTCACTGGCACGTGGGTGACAAGGTTCATGGGCACAGATGCCCATGCGCAAGCCCCAAGCACCGTGACCCGTCGGGAGGGGGGGACACACGGGGCCAGTGGGACTCTGACCACCAACGCCCGGGGTTTCCTAGCAACTAAAGCACACAAGGCGCCCTGCACAGCAGGCCTTTCGTGGGGAACACAGACGCATGTTAATCTGTTTGCAGATTCATGTTTAATAGAACGCCCTTCTGAAATGCATCCAAAATAGAGAAGCTTTCTCCCGAACTGCAAAAGCCATAAAAATGCAAAATGCTTCTTTAGGAAAAACTGAATCAAAATTACGCCTTAATGTTCCAAGCAACACGAAACCTACTCTGTGCCCCAGGGCAGGTGCCGGCAGCAGCCATGGCCCCGACCAGCTCACATGAAACCTAGTCTGTGCCCCAGGGCAGTGCAGGCGGCAGCCGTGGCCCCGACCAACTCACAGGAAACCTACTCTGTGCCCCAGGGCAGGTGCCGGTGGCAGCCATGGCCCCGACCAGCTCACAGGAAACCTACTCTGTGCCCCGGGGCAGGTGCAGGCGGCAGCCATGGCCCCGACCAGCTCACAGGAAACCTACTCTGTGCCCTGGGGCAGGTGCAGGCAGCAGCCATGGCCCCGACCAGCTCACAGGAAACCTAGTCTGTGCCCCAGGGCAGTGCAGGCGGCAGCCGTGGCCCCGACCAGCTCACAGGAAACCTACTCTGTGCCCCAGGGCAGGTGCCGGTGGCAGCCGTGGCCCCGACCAGCTCACAGGAAACCTACTCTGTGCCCCAGGGCAGGTGCCGGCGGCAGCCGTGGCCCCGACCAGCTCACAGGAAACCTACTCTGTGCCCCAGGGCAGGTGCCGGCGGCAGCCGTGGCCCCGACCAGCTCACAGGAAACCTACTCTGTGCCCCAGGGCAGGTGCCGGGCCGTGGCCCCGACCAGCTCACAGGAAACCTACTCTGTGCCCCAGGGCAGGTGCAGGCGGCAGCCATGGCCCCGACCAGCCCCCACCAGCCTCAGTTGTTCTCGATCTGCTCCAGGTCCAGCTCCCAGCGGGCCCGGGGGAAGACGCCCTCCTCCCCGACACTGTCCCCATCACGGGGGTCCCCGCTGCTCCTGCGGGAGCCATCACTGGTCACCGACTCCCTAGAGGCCCACAGGTTGGGGTGGACAGGGCTGGTCCTGAGGCCCCTCTGGCTGCAGCCAGGCATGGTGATGCCAGGGAGGCCCCGGGAGTCACATGGGGAGGACAGAACCGTCTTCACTGGGGTGTCATCCTCATCGTCATCTTCGTAATTGAGGGAGCAAAGGCTTTTTGAATTTTTTAAAGTCTGCAATAGAAAAGATACGGGCTTAAAGCATTTCTAGCAGATCACACAGGAGGCAGCATCCCACCAACCCATCGAGGGCTCGGTGTGCTGGGGCTCTGGCCATCCCCAAGACCACACAAAGCAGGGGCCTTGGTCCCCTGTACACCAGCCACAGCTCTCAGAGCCCCTTTCTCAGACCCTGCCCATGCCCGCCCCAGCCCAACCAGCTGGCCCCTCAGCTCTCCTCAGCCCCCGCCCAGCTGGTGTGGGCAGAGACGCACAGCCTGGCCCTGCCCAGACCCAACGGACCAGGTTGGTGGGCACCTGACACCTAAGCAAGCCCCAAGATGCCCAGGGCTCACAGGTGACAGCCTTATCCCAGTCTTGTCCTTGGCAGGTGGCCTGTCCAGAGAGGGTGCCTTGTGCCTCCACTTCTGACAACAGCCCCACCCAGGGCCGCTCTCAGCAAGCACCTCACAGCCACCTCTGAGGCCCTGTGGTGGCTCTGTCTCTCCTCCACCTGCCCCCATAAGGCCCCTGGAACCCCACCTCGTCGGTGTCCTCAGGGGCCCACCAGACGCAGCTCCCACCTTCTCTGTCCTTGCACCTCCTCCCCTAATAGTTACTCTAATAGAAACACATGCAAATCCTTCTCATCTCAAAATACGTGCGACAAACAGGTGCACACACAGGGGTCTCCCCTGGGCAAGGCCCGCCCTCATCCCAGGCGAGTAGCTTCCAGTACCCCCATGCCACGCCCAGGCCTGTCCACAGCAGGTCCCTGAGTGCCAGGCTCCGGCCCTCCCTCTGCCCTCCGGAGGTGCCGCCACCACCCCCTTCTCACTCTGCCCCCCGGCTATATCTCACTCAGTAGCCTCCCTTCCCAAGGCCTGTTAGGAATAGGGGGTCCCCCCAGGCTGCACCCCCCAACCAGAGCACTCTGAGCTGCAAACAGTCTCCATCCACCCAGGCGTGCTCTCTTGGGCGTCTCCAGGGCCCTGAGACCCAGCAGGTGTGTCCAGCTGGGGCACGAGTCCATGGCCACGACCAGGGCACCAGCCCCTCAGCACTCCCGGGCCCCCACCCCCCGCCACCTCCCAGTCCTTGCCTCAAGTCCCCCGTCTGTGGTGCCCAGCGCCGTCCATGCCACTCGTCCACTGCCACTGGGAGCAGCCTTCCTACCCAGCCCCACCTGCCGGGTCACCTCCAGGCCTCCTCAGGGTCAAGGCTCCCCTCCTCGACCACACCACGCTGGCTTCAGACGCCTCACCTCGTGGCTCAGGCTTGTGAGGGCACGTGGGTGCCACTGGCCACGCCTGCAGGGCACAGGGGCGCCATGATGCCGATGACAAGGCCACACTGACACAGCACCCTCGGCCACCTAAAGTTATGACCTAGAGCACAAGCTCACCAATTCCACAGGACCCAAGAAACTCCCCAAATCACCTTCGTCCAGAGCAAGGAAACACCCCACAGACGGGAACCTCAAACACTTCCTGGAAACACTTCCAGCGACTGATTTTTATAAAAGCACATGGCCCTCGGGGACAGAGCTCCTTTTTTCTAAGGATATTATTGGGCTCTAAAAGACAAATTGACGCCAGGCATGGTGGCTCACACCTGTAATCCCAGCACTTTGGGAGGCCGGGGCGGGCGGATCACGAGGTCAGGAGATCAAGACCATCCTGGCTAACACGGTGAAGCCCCGTCTCTACTAAAAATACAAAAAATTAACCAGGCGTGGTGGCGGGCGCCTGTAGTCCCAGCTACTCGGGAGGCTGAGGCAGGAGAATGGCGTGAACCCGGGAGGCGGAGCTTGCAGTGAGCCGAGATTGGGCCACTGCACTCCAGCCTGGGAGACAGAGTGAGACTCTGTCTCAAAAAAATAAATAAATAGACAAAAGACGAATTGACATATTTTCTGTCTTTGTGGTTCTACTATAAAAAGTGAATCACTGAGAAGTAAAATTCTAAAGAATAATTTTTTTTTTTTTTTTTGAGACAGGGTCTTGCTCTGTTTCCCAGGCTGGAGTGCAGAGGTGCAATCATAGCTCACTGCAGCCTCGACCTCCCGGGCTCAAGCAATTCTCCCACCTCAGCCTCTCAAGTGGCTGAGACAACAGGTACATACCATCATGCCGGTCTAATTTTTGTATTTTCTGTAGCGATGGGGTCTCGCTTTGTTGACCAGGCTGGTCTCAAACTCCTGGGCTCAAACAATCCTCCCGCCTCAGCCTCCCAAAGTGCTGGGATTACAAGCATGAGCCACCACGCCCAGCCCCACTCAAATCTTTAAAGATACAACTGGCCACATGTTTTGGTCACAAAATAGGGATGCATAACTTATTTTTCATTCAAATCAAAGTGAATTTGCCCATGGACATCACTTGTCCGTACAAGCCCCAGGCCCGGCATGAGGATGTGGCTGGTCTGCTGGGCCCCTGCTGGATGGCGTGGAGGTCCGGGTCTCACCAGCTCGGTCTGGTGTCACCCGTGACCTTGCAGACTCTGGCTGCCGTGCTGCCCACACAGGATGGCCTCCAATCCACAGCACCACCAGGCTGCACTACACACGCACCGGGGTGGCGGGGACGCTACGCACCTTCAGGGGCCAGGTTTCCTTCCATTTCAAACCACGGCGTTTTGTTTTCATTCAGAGTCGACCCTCTGGACTGACTGCTCGGACCCGACAGATGCTGTAAGCTCACGCCGAGGCCTCGGACGCGGGACTCGCACTCGCGGGCACAGCTGTGCGGCTAGAGCGTGAAAACAGCAGGCTCTGAACGCCTCTGGACGACACAGTCGGTGCAGGAGAAAAAACTTCTGCCCACAGACACGGCAGCTGTACAGCTCAGCGCCCAACAGCGCTAGCGAAGGCCACACGGAACTGAAGGGGCCACCCACGCTGTAGAGACGGTGGAAACCGAGGCCCACGGGGCCGATGCTGGCCTGGACTGCGCCACCCATCCGCCTCGCGCCCCCTGTCCCTGGGCGCCAGCCCCGGGGCTCCGTCCCAGCTCCTGCTACCATCACTCTGGTTGGATGGTCACTTCCATCTGAGGTTAAACACAAAACAGTTGTCCAAAACACAAAGGTCAAGCCTTCAAGTTCCAAATTGGGCTCCAAAGCGCAGAGGCCTTTCAAACTGTGTGCGAAGCCCTCCAGGCAGTCTGGGGGGTGCACGGACCCCAGCTGACAGCTGGAGGGCCTCCAGCACCTGAGGTGGGTTAACTCAGCTACCGGAAGCCGGTGAGACCCTGGAAGGTCAGGGAAGCCTCCTACGAGCTGACCTGACGTCACTCAGCAAACGTCCAGGGCCCTGTCTCAGCCACATCTGTACCTGCCCCTTGCCAAAGCCTCTGGCTTTTGTCAAACTAAAACACGGGTTTACTCTCTTGAGAAAGCGCAAGCTCCATCCACCATGTGGGAGGGGCTCACAGGGTCCCCTCACAGCCAAGGCGGCCCTGGCCGTGGGCCGCTCTGCAGCAGGGCCAGGCAGCAGTCAAGGGTGGGGGGTGCTCCCCAAGGGCCTGGCAGTGCCTGGAGCGCAGCACAGTGCATGTTGAAACAGGCAGCCAAGCAGAGCCAAGCACCTCCCTCCTGCCACAGGGAGGCACAGGCCGGCCAAGCCACAGAGGCCCACAGGGCGCAGGGATGTCCATGGCACAGGCAGGGACAGAGATGGCCAGAGCAAGCTCCGTGCGTGTGTCAGGCGAGGAGGCCAGTGTGAGAAGCACCGGGACCCTAGACCCCTTGTTGCCTCTGGTGAGCGCCCTCCCAACCCTGCAGAAGAGAGGGTTATTAGGAAAGTACGGACTGGAGCATTCTAGACAGGGGAGCTGGCCGACGGCACATGAAAAAACTGGCTGAGTGAGCCCTGCTCAGACAACCTGCTCGGGCTGTGAGGGGCACACAGCCTTACAAAGCCAGGAAGCTGGAGAACAAAGATCCTCCCTGTCTCCCCAGCCCTCCACACAGAGGCAGAAGGAGGGGACTCTCCGCCCTGACCGTGCAGCCACTGATGGCACCGGCTCCTCATCCCAAGGGGGATGGGACAGCCAGTGCCCATCAGGAGGTATGGAGTGAGTGCCCAGCAGTGCGCCCCCTGCCCAGCACTCGCTTCTGCCACCTCACTCACCACCTCTGACCACCCTGGGCATGGCTCCTGGAGAGAAGGTCTGAGAAAACAAGCAAGAAAAATCAGCAGCTACAAATTCCAGATTTTCGGTCTGCGCCGTCTCAAACATTCCATGTTCTTGATGGTCCCTGCTACAGTTTGAACGTATACCTCCAAATCTCTACCATGGTGTTGGGAGTTGATCAGGTCCTGCGGGCCTGCACAAGACACGAGAGCCTCATAAAGGGCTGGAGGGAACCAGCCTCAGTCCTCCGCGTCCTCTATCTCCTCCGCCAGGTGAGGACACAGCCACAAGAGGCCATCTTGGAAGCAGAGGGCAGGCTCTCACCATACACCAGACTTGCTGGGGCCTGGGTCTTGGGCTCCCAGCCTCCAGAACTCTTTTTTTTTTTTTGAGACGGAGTCTTGCTCTGTCGCCCAGGTTGGAGTGCAGTGGCGCGGTCTCGGCTCACTGCAACCTCCGCCTCCCGGGTTCAGGCCATTCTCCTGCCTCAGCCTCCCAAGTAGCTGGGAATACAGGCGTCCGCCACCATGCCGGCTAATTTTTTGTATTTTTAGTAGAGACAGGGTTTCACTGTGTTAGCCAGGATGGTCTCGATCTCCTGACCTCATGATCTGCCCACCTCGGCCTCCCAAAGTGCTGGGATTACAGGCGTGAGCCACTGTGCCCAGCCCAGAACTCTTGAGAAATACATTTCTCTTATTTATAAGTGACGTCGTCGGGGGTATTTTGTTACAGCAGCAAAAACAAACTAAGTCAGTCCTTTTCTTGGTACCAGGAGCTGCTCAAAGCTTTTGGTTTTTCAATTTTCACCCAGGAGGCACAGAGAAAACAGCTCAGCAGGTGCAGCAGAGGCCCCCCCATGGAGGACAAGCCTTGCGCTCTCGTGACTGAGGCCGCGGAAGGCACCATCTGCTCACTAAACCCAAGACCTCCAAAAACGCAGCGGGCCTGAAGGTGTGAACACGGCCACATGCACCTCTAGCTTGTCCTTAGGTTCTAGCCCATGATGTAACTGCTGGCCCCAAAGCTGCCTGCCTGTCTGAAGAACTCCTCAGGCTCTGGGTGACCCAGCTGCAGGGCCACATAGGAAGCTGTTTCTTTCTCTGCAGCAGCCTCGGTCTCTCCAGAGGCAGCTGAGCGCCTTCTCTACGTGGCAAAAGCTTTTCAAAGCCCTAAAAGCACACGCTTTTATAGAAACCAGCAGCTGCTTCCACACTCTGCTGGAACCATAACTGATGTGCATATTTTCAATGGTCATATTTTAATTTCAACTTTGAAACATAGCTTTGCCAATAAAAACAGAAAAAGTAGCTTCGCCAGTAAAAGCCGGGCATGGTGGCTTATGCCTGTAATCCCAGCACTTTGGGAGGCTGAGGTGGGTGGATTTCCTGAGGTCTAGAGTTCGAGACCAGCATGGCCAACATAGTGAAACCCCCTCTCTACTAAAAATACAAAAAATTAGCCAGGCATGGTGGCAGGCACCTGTAATCCCAGCTACTCAGGAGACTGAGGCAGAGAATCGCTTGAACCTGGGAGGCAGAGGTTGCAGTTAGCCGAGATGGCACCATTGCACTCCAGCCCGGGTGACAGAGCGAGACTCCATCTCGGGAAAAAAAAAAAAAAAGCAGAAAATCCTAAATGTTTTCCTAGGAAAACATGCACTGTTTCCAAGGGAAAGGCAGGGAAGGCAGTGCCCCTGCACCCTGCTCAGAGAGCAGCCCTCTGACACCTGGGGAAGCTGGTGTGAGCCTAGACTCAGAGCAGACAGCAGGGGGTGGCGGGGGGTTGAGGATGATCGCCGAACGGTCCCACTGATAAGCCCCGACATAGGAGCCCTGCAGGGTGAACACAGTTGCGCACGCAGACTGCACAACACACGCCAGGGACGCCGGACTAGAGCTGGGCTGCGCATACCGAGTCCGCCAGGTGCAAGCACAGCACAGCCGGGGTGCGGATGTGAGCGAGCGTGAGCATGCAGCGGTGCACATGAGTGGGAGTGTGCACATGAGTGGGAGTGTGCACCTGAGTGTGCACATAAGCGTGGGGGTGAGTGTGCATGGTGGGTATGTGTGTGTGCCCACCCAGAGTCAGGACTAATTGTCCGGTAACACACAATTATAAAAGTTGTAGAGGAAAATCAGAGCATTTCTTTTTGGCCCTGAGGTGGAGAGGAGCTTGACACAAACAGGAAGTGGCAAAGCCTGGGCCTGGTGGCGCACGCCTGCAATCCCAGCACTTTGGGAGGTGAGGCAGGAAGATGGCTTGAGCCCAGGAATTTGAGACCAACTTGGACAACATAGTAAGGCTCTGTCTCTTAAAAAATTGAGAATATTAGCTGGGCACAGGAGTGTGCACCTGTGGTCCCAGCTACTTAGGAGGCTGAGGTGGGAGGATCACCTGGGTCCAGGAGATGGAGACTGCAGTGAGCTGTGATTATACCACTACACTCCAGCCAGGGCAACAGAGAGAGAGACCCTGTCTCCAAAAAACAAAACAAAACCAGGAACTGACAGGTAACCCAGGCTGGGGGCCAAGTGTTCACCAAAGGTGCCACATATTCAGGTGATGCGGTGCAGGCAGGGGTAGGTGGGTGTGGGTGAAGACTGGTTGGCTGACAGGGAGAGGGGCACACAGACGGCAGATGAGGGACACAGAGAAAGGTGGGAGCCAGTTTTTGGGTGGGATGAGCAAAGAGCTGGAAAGAGGGAGAGCAGGCAGCCCTGGCCCCTCAGGAGTCTTGGCACTGTCCTCTGCAGCCGCGGTCAGGAGGGCTCTGGGTTTGCAGACGTGGCCCCTGAAGACACTGCCTGTCTCCTCAGGGGCTTTCCTGACATTTGATGAGGCCCTCTCCCCACAAACCTTTTTACCAGAAAGCGATGACTACGGTCACACTGAAGACACTCGTGAGCAAGCAGACCAAAGCGGCTGAATTTAAGGCAATGCACACTTCAGGGCGGGCAGGTATTACCTGGCCCCCACATGAAGCAAATAAACGAAAAGCTTTTATTTCAGGTGAGGTTGAGTCCCAGGAGCAGAATGGGGTGTGCAGCACCCACATCACTGTTCTGGCTCATTAACAAAGTCACTGAAGAAAACGGGGCAAGCCGGGAGTGGTGGCTCACGCCTGTAATCCCAGCACTTTGTGAGGCCAAGGCAGGCGGATTACCTGAGGCCAAGAGTTCAAGACCAGCCTGGCCAATATGGTGAAACCCCATCTCTACTAAAAATACAAAAATTAGCCAGGTGTGGTGGTGGGCGCCTACAATCCCAGACACTTGGGAAGCTGACGCAGGAGAATCTCTGGAATCTGGGAGGCAGAGGTTGCACTGAGCTGAGATCATGCCACTGCAGTCCAGCGTGGGCAACAAGAGCAAAACAGAAAGGGAAAGGGAAGAGGAAGGGGAAGGGGAAGGGGAAAGGGAAGGGGAAAGGGAAGGGGAAAGGGAAAGGGAAGGGGAAGGGGAAGGGGAAAGGGAAAGGGAAGGGGAAGGGGAAGAGGAGGGGAGGAAAGAAAAGGAAAGAGAAAGAAAGAAGGAAACAAGGGAACAAAGAAAGCTCTGCACCTGCCTATCCTCTCTGTAAGCCCCCTACCTGTCTGTGGCCAACCAAAGTCCAGCACAAGGGGTGGGAGGCACCAGAGCCAGCATCAATGCTAACACCATTCCACAAGCACCGTTTCTGACCGACACTCCTTACGGAGAAGAGCGGTTTTGAAATCACTCCCTTCAAAAAGTGGAGCCCGATCCTCCTCCCACTGAGTAAGGGCTAGACAGAGTTAAGGAGCAGACGAAATCTCAGCTGGTGAGGACCAGGTCACACAGGGCTCTGTGGGGCCCGCTCATGCCCACTGGGGTCACTCATTATGGGAAATCAAGCTGCCACATCGTGAACACACTCAGGCTGCCCCTCAGGGAGGCCCATGTGGCAAAGAAATGAGGCCTCCTGCCAAAAGCCACATGGGTGAACTTAGAAGCAGGTCCTGCAGCCCCAGTCAAGCCTCCAGGTAACCACAACCTGGCTGACTGAGCTCCAAGGAGGCCTGAGCAGAGCCTCCCCATCGGCCTCCGGGACCCCTGAGGTGGCTCAGGCATGGTGTTTGTGAGGTGGCTCAGGTGTGGTGTTTGACAGTGAGGTGGCACAGGCGTGGTGTTTGTGAGGTGGCACAGGCGTGGCGTTTGACTGTGAGGTGGCACAGGCGTGGCGTTTGACTGTGAGGTGGCACAGGCGTGGCGTTTGACTGTGAGGTGGCACAGGCGTGGCGTTTGACTGTGAGGTGGCACAGGCGTGGCGTTTGACTGTGAGGTGGCACAGGCGTGGCGTTTGACTGTGAGGTGGCACAGGCGTGGTGTTTGTGAGGTGGCACAGGCGTGGCGTTTGACTGTGAGGTGGCACAGTCATGGTGTTTGACTGTGAGGTGGCACAGGCGTGGTGTTTGTGAGGTGGCACAGGCGTGGCGTTTGACTGTGAGGTGGCACAGGCGTGACATTTGACTGTGAGGTGGCACAGGCGTGGCGTTTGACTGTGAGGTGGCAAAGGCGTGGCGTTTGACTGTGAGGTGGCACAGGCGTGGTGTTTGTGAGGTGGCACAGGCATAGTGTTTGACTGTGAGGTGGCACAGGCGTGGTGTTTGACTGTGAGGTGGCACAGGTGTGGTGTTTGTGAGGTGGCATAGGCGTGGTGTTTGACTGTGAGGTGGCACAGGTGTGGTGTTTGACTGTGAGGTGGCACAGGCGTGGTGGTTTTTGGTTTTGATTTTGGTTTTTTCTGTTGTTTTTGTTTTTGTTTTGAGACAGAGTCTCACTCTGTCGCCCAGGCTGGAGTGCAGTGGCGTGATCTCAGTTCACCGCAACCTCCGCCTCCAGGTTCAAGCGATTCTCCTGACTCAGCCTCCCAAGTAGCTAGGACTACAGGCGCCCACCATCATGCCCAGCAAATTTTTGTATTTTTAGTAGAGGCGGGGTTTCACCATGTTGGCCAGGCTGGTCTCGAACTCCTGACCTCAAATGATCCACCCGCCTCAGCCTCCCAAGGTGCTGGGATTACAGGCGTGAGCCAGTACACCCGGCGGGTTTTGTTTTTTTTTTAACACAGGTGTGAAGTTTGAAGCTGCTGGATTCAGGCTTGCTTGTCCCAAGAAGAGGACTAGGACAGTGCTCACGCATCTTCATTGCAGAGAATTCACTCGGGCATTGATATCAAGATTGAGCTGGCTAGATGCAGTGGCTCACGCCTGTAATCCCAGCACTTTGGGAGGCCGAGGCGGGTGGATCACGAGGTGAGGAGTTCGAGACCAGCCTGGCCAACGTGGTGAAACCCCGTCTGTACTAAAAATACAAAAATTAGCTGGGCGTGATGGTGGGCACCTATAATCCCAGCTACTCGGGAAGCTGAGGCAGGAGAATCCCTTGGACCCAGGAGGCAGAGGTTGCAGTGAGCCAAGATCACACCATTGTTCCATTGCTCACCAGCCTGGGACAGAGCGAGACTCCATCTCGAAAAAAAAAAAAAAAAATTAAGAGAGGGCCGGGCACGGTGGCTCACATCTGTAATCCCAGCAATTTGGGAGGCCGAGGCAGGCGGATCACCTGAGGTCAGAAGTTCAAGACCAGCCTGGACAACATGGTAAAATCCTATCTCTATTAAAAATACAAATATTAGCCAAGCGTGGTGGTGCATGCCTGCAACCCCAGCTACTCGGGAGGCTGAGGCAGGAGAATTGCTTGAGTCCGGGAAGTGGAGGTTGCAGTGACCGGAGATCGTGCCACTGCATTCCAGCCTGGGCAAAAAGAGCGAAATTCTGTCTTAAAAAAAAAAAAAAAGATGGAGATTAGAGGCAACAAAGCCAACTAGGATGATGTCTCAGTAGCCGAAGAGGGTATCAAGGCCTGAGGCAGAATAACCGGGGTCAAGAGGAAGGAGGACTGAATCACAGAAACATCCAGAGGACGGGACACCAGCCTGGGTGACCAGCGCTTGCATGGACAGGGACACGCAGGCTCAGCAAGGGACCCAAAGCTGGGGACAGGGACACACAGGCTCAGCAAGGGACCCAAAGCCGGGGACAGGGACACGCAGGCTCAGCAAGGGACCCAAAGCCGGGGCTGCATGGATCTGAGGGATGGATGCCCCGCGCAGCCCCAGTCCTAGGGGTCACGGCTCCAGTTCCCACACAGCGGGGGTTTCTCCTCCCAGAGAGAAACCAGGCACCCACCTATGCATCAGACACACACACACACCATGCACGCACACACCACACGCACACCTCACACACACACCACACACGTCACACACACACCACACACGCCACACACACACCACACACGCCACACACACACCACATACACCAGTCACACACACATCACACATACCATACACACCAGACACACACACGCCACACACACCTCATACACCACACACACCACACGTCACACACACACCCCACACGCCACACACACCATACACGCCACACACACCACACATGCCACACACACCACACACACTAGTCGCACACACACCACACACACCACACGCCAGACACCGCATACACCAGACACACACATGCCACACACACACAAACACCACACACGTCACACACACCATACACACACGCTATACACACACCACACGTCACACGCACAACACACACAACACACATCACATGCACACCACACACACCAGACACACACACGCCACATACACACCACACATCACACACACACCACCCACCCCACACACACGACACACATCACACATACCACACACGTCACAAACACACCACACATTCCACACACCATATACTCTACCATACACACAGGCCACACCACACATTACCACACACACACCACACACAGGCCACACATCACACACACCACACATCACTCACCACACACACACACACCAGACACACCCACCAGACATATCCAATACACCACATATACACCACACCACACATACCACAGACCACACACCACACACAGAACACACACCACACACACTACCAGAGACCACACACTGCACACACACACCACACACAGACTACACACCACACAGCACACACCAAACACACCACACACGTCACACACACACCACATACTACCCACCACACACCACACGCTACACACCACACAGCACACACACCACACACCAAACACCACACATACCACAGACACCACACACTACACACCAGACAGCACTCACCACACACACCCCCACCACACACATACCACACAGACCACGCATACACTACACCACATACACACAACACACATCCCACACACACATCACACACCACACACACTACACACACACAACACATAGACCACACACCACCCATAGACGTCACATACACATCACACACCACATACACCACACAGAGCACACACTACACACACCACACAGCACATAGCACGTGTGCCACACACACACCACACAGCATTTGACGGCAGCCCTGCCCTTCTCCCACCCATCTCCCCAACACACCACACACCCGGGTGTCCATGAGCCCTGGTCCTGGGTCTGGCGAGTCCTTGCCTCTACCCACACCTCACACTCTACCGGGGGTACCCCATGTCCACACTGAGCCCCATGCAGCCTCGATCACCAACTCACCCAACCACCTGGTCTGTCTCCCAAGGCATCTGAGAAACCCAGGGCCGCTCTACATTAGGACTGTTGTCTGGTCATCAATACGTCGCTGGCACCATCATTCCCCGCCCCACAACGTGCTGAGCCGGCAGCTCCCTCCTCTGCTCCCATCCCTCCTGGTCCCCGTGGGGCCTGACACCCACGCCATGCACACCCCAAGCCCTGGCAAGCAGGGACAGCCTGCTTGTGCTATGTCCAAAGCTTGCCACCAGCTTTCCAGCATTTACTGGCTTCCCCAGGTCAGCCCATCTCATAGCAAAAGATCAGAGCCTTCTCTAAACCCTGCTCTCTGCAGAAAAGTTTCATAGCAGGGAAGTCTGGGTTTTCAACTCACCTCAAGCCCCCCGGAAGAATCAACTGGAGAGCCCACTGATCAGAAGAGGCAAAGCTCACGGTGCCCTCAGCGTGGCCTAGGACTAGCGTCCTGGAGGACCCTGGGGGATCCCACCTGGCACGCCGGCCACACTGCTCTCCAGCTCTGGGCTGTGGCCAGGTCGAGGAGGACCTGGGCCATCTGTGCCCCTTCTCCAGTCACTGTCCCCACAGGATGCCCAGGCCCAGCCCACCCGAGCAAGACAGTGCAGCCACACTATGGACAGCTCCACCCACATCTACAGCCCCCAGAGGCAGGGCATGGGCAAGCCTGTGGCCCGGAGGATGGGGCTGGGGATGAGAGTTCAGGGGGCTGCCAAGGCCACAGGTCATTGAGGAGACAGGCTGACACTGATCCCGCCCCACCCTAGCCACAGCCCCACTCGGCCCTGGCTGGTACTCAGTTGGCATCGGGAAGTCCTGTTAATTTCTGCCACTGCCCAAAGCTTCCCCGACACAGATGACCCAGTGAGTGTGCACACAGCCCACCCTACTCTGTCACGGCTCTGCCATCTCCCTCCCCGAGCGCTGCCGGGCCCCCAGAGGTCTCTGGTGAATGCACTCCCTTAGTAACACAGAGCAAGACCTGGGAAAGCCTCCTCAGTCCTGTTTCCTTCCTTAACTCTGTGCCAACCACGGCCTGTGACGGGGGTGTGGAGAGGTGGGTGGCACTGAGAATCTTCAAGTGGGTGAAGGCTCTCTCCTACATCCAGACAGTTTCTGCAGGAGGTGCCTGTACAGTCCCAAAGCGCACAGGCGCTGCTGGGCTCTGAGCTGCAACATGCACACCCACCAGCTCCCACAAGAGAGGACCCCGGGCTCTGCCTCGAATGGGGCTCCCAGGACAGCTTGTTACTTCCTGAGCCATCACCAGAAAAAGTCAGGGGACTCCCCAGCAGCTGAGGCGGGGGGCGGCTCAGCCAGGCCAGAAACCCACAGCTCCGTTCTGCTGCCTCCCCCAGGCCTCACTGCAAGCCTGGCCGGCCACCCTGGGCCGTGTGTGGGGCTCTGCCTCTGCGGGAGCAGGCGGGGTGAGCTGGGTGCTCTGACACCAGGACAGGCCCCCGATCGCTCCCACGCACTCCAGATGGCTCTCCTCACTCCTTTCCTCCCAGCCCAGAGAAGACCAGCCGGATGCTAACAGCCACATCCAGAGAATCAGCCAGCCTCACCCCAGCACCGCCCTGTCCAGATCTACGCCCCTCTGAGCCCCTGGAAATAAGAAAGCCTCACCTGGGTCATTTTCAGGAAGTCCAAGGATGGGCGTGTCCACCTGGCGTCCTCCTCACGCCTCCGTTTGCGCCGGCTCCTCTTCCCACTGAGCACGCAAGGCTGTGAGCGGCACCGGAGCAGCCCACGGCGCCCGCCCAGCGCAGGCGTGGACGTGGGGCTGCTGCTGGCCCAGGGCAGGGGAGTGCCCGCACCCGCGAGTCGCTCCTGTGAGAGGGACGGGCGGCGCCTCGTGGAGGGCAAGCAGGACTCCGCGGAACACCAGAGCGGGCCTGAGCCCGCACTGCCCTCGCTGCTGTCCACGAAGCCGCCGCTGGCGGAGGACGGCCGGGGCGTGGCGGGCGAGGTGGGACCGGTCGACCACACAGCACTCCTCGGCAGGACGGCGCCGGGGCTTCCCTGCCGCGTGGCACTCCCGCCGCTGTCGCACCGCCTCTTGGAGACTGGAGTCCAGACCTTGGAGCTGCCGGGGCGCCAGGGGGACCGGCAGCGCACAAGCTCCTCGGGTTCTGACAAGGACCGGCAATGCCGCTTGGTCGGTGGGGCCGTGGACGAGCCTGTGCTTTCACTGGGGTCCACGGTGCTGGCTGCACCCAGGCCTGCGCCTGGGCGCGGGGACTGTGGCTGCCACTGAAGACCCATGGTGTGAGCGGCAGCAGACAGGCCCGGCAGGAAGGAGAAATCAGGGCCCGTGGCTGCCTGGCTTCTGACGGGCGGTCCTCCACTGAAGACCTTCCAGGGACTCTGGTCTACAAAAAAAGACACAAAGAGGCAGGGGAAGAGACAGGTGAGCCACAGGGCAGGCGACATCCATCCCGGCAAACAGCCTGGCAGAGCTGTCAAGGGCACAACCCCATCGCCGCCACCCCTGGGCGTGCTTCTCCAAGATGTCCGTGGCGCACAGTGGACACCAGCCCCGCCTGCCCTTGCTGGGTTAGCTGCGGGGCTCGGCTCACTTCTTAAAGGGGACACCGTGTCTGAAGGAGGTGTCAGCCTCCCCACCGGTGCCTCCCTGAGAACAACCGCACGGCTCTGCTCTCCCGACAGCTTTGCTAAAACATTCTTCCCGCATCCTCAAAATGCCCCTCTCCCTCTGTGACCAGGCATCTCAAGGATGTGCGGCTACCCCGGCCAGGACTCTCCAGGGCCCCTTCTTAAAGCAGCTCAGGTCCCTTAGTAACATGGGCAACACAGGGTCACACCTGCTGCCACGGTCTTCAGGGAGAGTCTGAGCCCCAGAAACTCCTCACAAACCTCAGAGCCACCAGGTCCAGGCCTGGAGCCCCTTCCCAAGTCTCACTTCCTGCACAACTGTCCTGGGGTTGCCTGTCTAACGCGCTCCCCAGCCCACTGCCTGCTGGTTCGGAGAAGCCTGGAGAGCAAGGCCAGGTGCATGGGCCTGGCATGGAGTCTGCCCAGTGGCTTGTGCAGTCACTGTCCAGCTGAGGAACTTGGAGTGGAGGCTGTGAGACCTGCCTCTGGGGAAAGGCCCTGGGATGACCTTGGGGTGACTGGGAGAGAGATGGGGGCTGTGGGGAGGAGACGTGGAGGTGTAGGCAGGGAGAGCGGCCGGCTGGGTGAGGAGTGTAGGAAGCGCTGCGGGGCTCTGAGCCAGGATGGAGGTGGCTGGTCTGACCCCGTGTGCAGGATGAACCCCAGGAGGCTGAGGTGAGGACATCGCACCACAGGCCCGGCAGGGGGTGGGGCTCTGGCCAGCTGGGGCCTCACACATGCTACTTCCATCTACTCATGAAAGAATCTGGTAAAACACCTTCACTTTGGTCATCTGGCGCTCAGCAAGGTGAGCCTCCTAACGGGCCCACTCTGCGTGACACAGGGCGCTGGGCGTGTCACAGTCAGGTAAGCAGGGCCAACAGAGGGAGATGCCCCTGGGACCTTCGCTGGGGGAGGACCTGGGACCCCAGGGTTACCTGGCCCGTGAACACCAGCCAGCCTCCATACTCGGGGCACCTGCTCTCCATCAATGAAGGGCCCACCTGCGGGTGAACCAGGCACAGCCACACCCTCCACTGCACGGACAGTGGGTGGGCCGCCCAGTATGCCATGGCACGCTCCAGCTGACGCTACAAGCCCTGCCAGCCACGCCGTCCTCTTCTTTTCGTGGCCACAGGGTGGGCCTTGCACCTTCCAGAAAGGGCGCAGCAGACCCCTGGGCCCCACCAGCTGAGGAGGGAGAGACCTGGCTGGGCCCGCACCCTACACGAGCCGTCCTGCTCACAGACCACTCTTGACCACGGGCCCAGCCGTTGGAGGACGGCAGCAGGGACCACCCCACGCCCCAGTGCAGGGCACACGAACACCTTCCTGGGCTTCTGCAGATCCGGCTCATGTTCTGCGTCCAGGACCCTCCCAGCCCAGGAGCCCAGTCCCAGCCCTGCTCAGGCCTCCGGCCACAGCTCCTAAAGTGCTCACCGTTGAGCTCCAAAGGGAACAGACGACCGCTCTTGTTCAGGGTTTCCGCAGAATACTGCAACTGACAGGAAAGAGAAGTTTCAATACTGTGACTGACACGTGAGAATTCGGCAATAATATCCCCCATTTTCATCACTGCAGCACGTTCTACCTTTCCCCAGTGTTTTCTTTCTAGTGATTAAAATAAGCACAGTTTTATTAAAACCTAACAAAATTCAACTGAGTAAATGGACAATTTTTTATTTTTTTAGATGGAGTCTCGCACAGTCACCCAGGCTGGAGTGCAGTGGCGCGATCTCGGCTCACTGCAAGCTCCGCCTCTCGGGTTCACGCCATTCTCCTGCCTCAGCCTCCCAAGTAGCTGGGACTACAGGCGCCCACCACCACGCCCGGTTAATTTTTTTTGTATTTTTAGTAGAGACAGGGTTTCACCGTGTTAGCCAGGACGGTCTCCATCTCCTGACCTCGTGATCCGCCCGCCTCAGCCTCCTAAAGTGCTGGAATTACAGGCATGAGCCACCACGCCCGGCTGTAAACGGACATTTTTAAATTTTTTAAAAAATTTTTTCTGTTTTTAAAAGAGCTGTTAACACTAAGCAGACTTTTTTTTTGTCTGTTTTTGAGACAGAGTCTCGCTCTGTTGCTCAGACTGGAGTGCAGTGGTGCTATCTCTGCTTACTACAAGCTCTGCCTCCCGGGTTCACGCCATTCTCCTGTCTCAGCCTCCCGAGTAGCTGGGACTACAGAAAGCTGCCACCACGCCCAGCTAATTTTGTTTTTTTAAATATATTTTTCGTAGAGACAGGGTTTCACCGTGTCAGCCAGGATGGTCTCGATCTCTTCACCTCGTGATCTTCCCGCCTCAGCCTCACAAAGTGCTGGAATTACAGGTGTGAGCCACCACGCCCGGCCTCAGACATTTTTATTCCAAGCCACAGGCATGCATCCTGTCCCTGCTCCTGAAGCTCAGGCCCTCCTGCCTTTCGGCAGCCTCAGCTGCAGCCGTCTTTGCAAACCTCACCACTTACTTACTTTTCAGCAAGAACTTCAGCCAAGACCCAAGGGGCCCTTTCCCACCTGCAACAGCTCAGACACGGGACCTGAGCGCCTAAGCCAGGCTCTGGAGTGTGGTGCTGGTCCAGGGAGACGTCCAGAGGGCAGGGTCTCCCTCCCTGGAAGCAGGAAAGCCACAGGGCGTGGTGGCAGCTGGAGGGTCTATAGGGAGGGCACTAAGGGAAATGCCACAGGGCTCTCTTCCCTACCCCATGAAGTGTCAGGGAGCTGCTTGGCAGGTCACGGCTTGGAGGCCATTAATGTGTCTGCTTCCACGCACTGGCCCGTGCAGGCGGGACACAGGGCCCTGCAGAGGATGGGGCACAGGAGGGGGGTCCTGCCGGGTGCCCGGCAAGCTCCCTAACCTCCCAGAGCTTCCTCGTCTGTGAGAACACAGAAGGCCACCCTGTGACAAGGACACGGCTGTCCCGCAGGGTCCGGGCACAGCAGCCCCTCTGCTTTTTTGCCTTAGAGTTGTGGGGCTCCTCTGCCACACCTCAGAACCTCTCAGTTAACGCCTAAGCCCATGGCATCACGTCCTATGATAACATTTCCAAACACGATAAAATTAAAAGGAAATCCTTCACTGCTTCCTGTAAAGGGAATAAGTTAAAAGTTGGGTTTGTGACCCCGAAAAAAGACAGGCCGCCTACACACGGGGTCCCACCTCAGCCAGCACGGCGGTGTGGAGCTGTGAGCACCCGGCCACACCATGAGGACAGGGCCTGGTGCGGGCCCGGGAACCACACGACCTCCAGGTTCTCCCACCCCGGGACCCGGGTCCGATGGAAGAGAGGAGAGGCAGCTCTGCTAAAGGACTTGAAGGCTTTCACGCCACAGGGACCCTTGTTGCTGTCGATCCTCCCAGCCCCGGGCCTCCCCGCAGCAAGCACCAGGACCTCGCTCTCCTCCTGTTCCGCACAGCACCCGTTCCCCGGGGCCACATGAACAGCACCCAGCTCGACGCTGCCACGGAAAAACGTCTAGCAAGGAAAGGACTTTCCCAGCCGGCACAGATGGCTCTCACGGGCAGCTTGAAGGAGCCACAGGCCCGCACGGTCCCAAATGTGACCACCTCTATGCAAAGACACGCCGGGGGCAGCAGCTACTCCCAGTGGCACTGGCCGTGTGGGATGTGGGTGCAGCAGACAAACAGAGCCAGGGTCCCCGGGAGACAGGAAAGGCTGGGCAGCCAGGTCCCACAGGCTCAGGCAGGGGGCTTGTCAAAAACACTTATTCCTCACAGTCCTGGAGGCAGAAGTCCAAGATCAAGGGACAGGCAGATTCAGTGTCTGGTAAGGCCACCTCCTGGTTCACAGACGGCTCTTCCGGTTGTATCTATGCATGGTCGAAGGGGCTGGCTTCCTCTCTGATGCCTCTCACATATGCGCACTTAATTCCATTCATGAGGGCACTGCCGCCATGACCTAAGCACCTCCCAGAGGCCCCACCTCCAAATATTCATCCCGTCACCTTGAGGGTGAGGACTTCAACATATGGGTTTCGGGGAATGTGAACATGCAACCCTTAAGCCTAAGGAAATCTGGACTTCAGGGCTGGGCACGGGGGCACACACCTGAATCCCAGCACGGCGGGAGGATCGCTTGAGCTCAGGAGTTTGAGACCAGCGTGGCCAACATGGTGAAACCCTGTCTTTACTAAAAATACAAAAATTAGCTGGGTGTGGTGGTGGGTGCCTGTAATCCCAGCTACTTGGGAGGCTGAGGCAGGGGAATCGCGTGAACCCGGGAGGCAGAGGCTGCAGTGAGCCGAGATCACACCACTGCACTCCAGCCTGGGCAACAAGAGCAAGACTCCGTGCAGAAAAAGAAGAAAAAAACGAAATCTGTACTTCAGGGCCGGACACAGGGAAATCCGGGAAATCCCAGCACTGTGGGGGCTGAGGTGGGAAGATCACTTGAGCCCAGGAGTTTGAGAACAGCCTGGGCAACACAGGGAAACCTGGTCTCTACAAAAAAAAAAGCAGATATGATGGCATGAGCCTGTCATTCCAGCTACTCAAGAGGCTGAGGTGGGAGGATTGCTTGGGCTAGGGAGGCCAAGGCTGCAGCGAACGACTGAGTGCACTGCGCTCCAGCCTGGGCAACACAGCAAGACCCTGTCTTTAAAAACCTAAAAGTTTTTAGGCTGGGCACGGTGGCTCACGCCTGTAATCCCAGCTCTTTGGGAGGCCGACACAGGCAGGTGACAAGATCAGGAGATCGAGACCATCCTGGCTAACACGGTGAAACCCCATCTCTACTAAAAATACAAAAAAATTAGCCAGGCGTGGTGGCGAGTGCCTGTAGTCCCAGCTACTCAGGAGGCCGAGGCAGGAGAATGGCGTGAGGCAGAGCTTGCAGTGAGCGGAGATCACGCCTCTGCACTCCAGCCTGGGTGACAGAGCCAGACTCCATCTCAAAAAAAAAAAAACTAAAAGTTTTTTAAAAACCAGCTCTCTACCAATCAATCCCAGCCTGTATCTGCACAGCTGCACAGGGCTGGAGGACACCACAGCCCGCCACCCACCCATACCGTGCCCGCCAGGCCAGCGGCACAGTGAGCTTCCCTGCGCCTACAGCCCCCAGCACAGCCCCATCACACCGCCTCCTCTCTCCCCTACCCTGACATTCTCAGCTCTCCCTGCTCTCCGCCCCTCAGCCCGGGAACTGCTGCTCTGGTCCTGGCTGCCGCGGCCCTCTACTCTGCCCTCTGGACTCCTGAGAGTCAGATCCCAGATGCCTGTGCCCCCAGGCTCCCACCCTCACAGGCTCCCACGGCCATGGGAACCTCCACCTGGCTGACTCCCCAGATGTCCATATGGCTCATCACCCACCTTCCAGCTCCACCCGGAGGTCACAGCCCGGCGCCCTATGTAAACTCCCAGCACCCCTTGGGCTCTACTTTTTTCCTGATGCACTATCGCGACTCCTCAGTCACCTGCTTCCCACCCGCCTCCCTGCAGGAAGTGAGCACCATATTGCTAACCCAGCACAGCCAGTGCAGCACAGACGCCCCAACGCGCTGAATGACCTTCACACGTGACCTTCAGGCCCTACCGCCTCCTGGCTGCTGTCCCGGGCTCTCTGGGGAAGCCCCAGCCAGAGCACAGTGAGATGCTGGCCCCACCCACCCATCCACGTCCCCCTCCCTGTGGCCCCAATGGCCTTTGCCCACCCCAACATTAAGACCCCGCCCATCTTCCAGCACTCAGCCACCATTACACCTCCAACCCTCTTTGCTGCTCCGGCAGCTCAGCGAGGCACCCGTGCCCACTCCCCTCCCACCGCCTCATGCCTGTGGTTACTGGTCGTCTGTGTAGGTCCCCCATGAGGACACAACCCTAAAAATCACGTCATGATTTGCATTAGGACGCAGCATTCCTCCACATGGTTACACAGAGTGCACCTCCATGCCACGGAGCACCTCTTGGTGGCGCAGAGGAACCGCCGGACGGATCTCCAGGGAAGCATGCTGATGGAAAGGCAGAACCCAAATGCTTGTGCACTGTGTCACTCCATTTACACACCACTCTCGAGATGACAGAATGACAGAACGGGGGAAGAAACCATAAAGAACTCTTACTGGCCAGGTGTCATGGCTCACACCTGTAATCCCTGCATTTTGGGAGGCTGAGGCGGGAGGACCCATTGAGCACAAGAGGTGGAAACCAGCCTGGGAAACACAGTGAGACCCCCTTTCTAAAAGATATAAATTTTTAAAAAATAGCTGGGTGTGGGGTGGGCGTGGTGGCTGTAACCTGTAATCCCAGCATTTTGGGAGGCCAAGGCAGGCGGATCACAAAGTCAGGAGTTCAAGACCAGCCTGGCCAACATGGTGAAATTCCATCTCTACTAAAAATATAAAAATTAGCCGGGCGTGATGGTGGATGCCTGTAATCCCAGCTACTCAGGAGGCTGAGGCAGAAGACTCTCTCGAACCCAGGAGGTGGAGGTTGCAGTGAGCCAAGATCGCACCACTGCACTCCAGCCTTAGCAACAAGGGCAAGATTCCATCACAAAAAAAAAAAAAAAAAAAAAAAAGCTGGGTGTGGTCACACATGTCTGTAGTCCTAGCTACTCAGAAGGCTGAGGGAGGAGGATCACTTGAGCCCAGGAGGTCGAGGCTGCAGTGAGCAGTGATTGAGACCCTGCACTCCAGCCTGGGCAACAAAGCAAGGCCCTGTCTCAAAAAAAAAAAAAAAAAGGGTTCTTACAACTCAAAAATAAAAAGAGAAATAACCCAATTTTAAAGTAAAAATGGGATTTCATTAGATATTTCTCAAAAGAAGAGATACAAATGGCCAATGAGCACATGAAAATATGCTCAACATAGCTAACCATAGGGAAATGAAAATCAGAACCACAATGAGATACCACTCCACACCCATGCAGGTGGCTTTTATCAAAAAAATGGACAATAACACGCGTTGATGAGAGTTGGAGAAATTAGGGCCAGGCACAGTGGCTCATGCCTGTAATCCCACCACTCTGGGGGGCCGAGGCAGGCGGATCACGAGGTCAGGAGATTGAGACCATCCTTGCCAACACGGTGAAACCCCGGCTCTACTAAAAAAAAAATACAAAAAATTAGCTGGGAGTGGTGGCATGCGCCTGTAGTCCCAGCTACTTGGGAGGCTGAGGCGTGAGAATGGCGTGAACCTGGGAGGCAGAGTGAGCCGAGATCGCGCCACTGCACTCCAGCCTGGGCGAAAGAGCCAGACTCTGCCTCAAGAAAAAAAGAGTTGGAGAAATTAGAACTCTCATACATTGCTGCAGAACGGAACATGGTACAGACACTGTGGAAAACAGTTTGGCAGTTCCTCAAAATGTTAAACATAGAATCACCATATGACCTGGCAATCCCACGACTAGGTTTGCACCCAAAAGAAATGAAGACCTACTTCCACACAGAAACTCATACATGAAACTTCCACACAGAAACTCACACATGAATGTTCACAGCTGCATTATCCCTAATAGCTAAAATATGGCAACCACCCAAAGGTCCAAAAACAGAGGAACGGATGAGCAAATGGTGGTCTCTCAAACACGAACCTGATCGAGCTTCGAGCCTCACAGCACTGCCTGCGAGAACATTCTGTGGTGAGGGACAGCCAACAGGCTGTCCACCACGGCAGCCACCAGCCACCCAGAGACAGTGAGCACTAGAAGTGTTTCTGGTACAAGTGAGAAACAGCATTATGTGGGTTCCACTTTAACTGTAGGCTGGGCGCAGTGGCTCACACCTGCAATCTCAGCACTTTGGGAGGCCGCATAAGGAGGGTCACTTGAGGCCAGGAGTTAGAGACTAGCCTGGGCAACACAGCAAGACCCCGTCTCTACCAAAAACATTCACAAATTAGTGAGACCCTGTCTTTAAAAAAAAAAAAAAAAAGCTAAATCAACTTTAATTTCAGTTTAAAAATCTATGTGCAACTAGAGGAAACCATAAGGGGCAGGGCAGTGCTCACTCCAACCAGCAACTCCCAGAACACACATGGGAGGGGAGCGCACGAGGCGGCAGCCGGGGCATGCAGCCTGGACACTCCGGGACAAGCAGCTGGGTCCTCAACACACAAGCTCCAAGGAGCACCCTATGGGGAAAAGGGACATGAGACACCCTGAATCTGGACTCCCTGAACAAATTCTTAAACTCAGACAATTGGAGAAGTTTGAATGCTGACCGGATAGAGATATTAAGGAATCTCTGAGAGTTTTAGGTGTGAAAATGACATTCTGGTCATGTGTCTTAAAGTCTTTATCTTTTGGAGATACAGAGTGAGATATTTACAGAGAAAGTATGTCTAGAATGCGCTATGAAATCATGGCAGGAAGGGACTGGGTAAAGGCGCAGATCAAACAAGGAGCCCTGAGCTAACAGCGCCCGCCTCGCTTGCTCACTGAGGCCGGGCCATGGGTATGTATGAAGACATACTTCCACACAGAACCTCATACATGAATGTACGAGTTGCTACTCTCTAGAACTGTCTACACTTATTTTTCATAAAAATACTATTTTAAGTCACCTTTGAAAACATCAGTTTCTATTTTTATACAATGAATTGGCTATTTAAAATACTGACTTGTTTCCTTGAATGTTAGAAGTAACTTGTGTTTAGATATTCAGTTGACATGGGAGAGCTGGTCTCACGTGTAAACAATCTATCACTGAGTAACTGGGTTTCCTCAACACAGGCAATCACACTGTCCGAATTACACAGATTAAAAATCCTGGCCAGGCACGGTGGCTCAGGCCTGTAATCCCAGCACTTTGGGAGCCTGAAGCGGGTGGATCACCTGAGGTTAGGAGTTCAAGACCAGCCTGACCAACATGGTGAAACCCTGTCTCTACTAAAAATACAAAAATTAGCTGGGCTTGGTGGCATGTGCCTGTAATCCCAACTACTGAGGAGGCTGAGGCAGGGGAATCGCTTGAACCCAGGAGGCGGGGGTTACAGTGAGCCAGGATCGCACCACTGCATTCCAGCCTGGGCAACAGAGTGAGACTCTTGTCTAAAAGATAAAATAAATAAATAAATGAAAAATAATTTTTTAAAAAATCCTGATAAAGGCTGGGCATGGTGGCTCATGCCTGTAATCCCAGCACTTTGGGAGGCTGAGGTGGGTGGATCACTTGAGGTCAGGAGTTCAAGACCAGCCTGGCCAACATGGTGAAACCCCATCTCTATTAAAAATACAAAAAAAATTAGCCGGGCGTGGTGGCGCATGCCTGTAGTCCCACCTACTCAGGAGACTGAGGCAAGAGAATTGCTTGAATGCGGGAGGCAGAGGTTGCAGTGAGCCGAGACTGCACCACTGCACTCCAGCCTGGGTGACAGAGCAAGACTCCATCACTTTAAAAAAAAAAATTAAAAAATAGGTTGGGCATGGTGGCACACCCCTGTAGTCCCAGCTACTCGGGAGGCTGAGGCGAGAGAATCGCTTGAGCCCTGGAAGCGGAGTTGCAATGACGTGCGATCACTCCACTGCACTCCAGCCTCGGCAACAGGGCAAGACTCCATCTCAAAAAAAAAAAAAAAGTAAAAAGACTTACATTTAGGGATAAAAAGGTTTGTCCTCCTTTTTCAGATAGAAACCACCGCCATATTCACAGGCCGTGTTTTAAGAAAACAGGAGTCATTGGGAAAAACCATCTTCGACAGCAACAGACTCAACAGTGGCCCTGGCTGGCCACTAACAGAGCCGGCAGGGTCAGCAGGAGCAGGAGCAGGCTGTGATGGAACCCCCGTGACCACTCACCCTGTAGGGCTCCCAGGGCTCCTGTCCCAAGGCCGAGGCCTACCAAGGAACTGCCTATGCTGCCTTCTCTGTCAATGGACAAGTGCTCCACAAAGAGATGAAGAATGGGAGGGAGGGAGGAGGCAGGGGCTGAAGAGCTACCTACTGGGTACTGTGCTCACAACCCGAGTGCAATATAGCCAAGTGACAAACCTGCACCTGCACCCCCTGTATCTAAAATAAAACCTGCACCTGCACCCCCATATCTAAAATAAAACCTGCACCTGCACCCCCTGTATCTAAAATAAAACCTGCACCTGCACCCCCTGTATCTAAAATAAAATCTGCACCTGCACCCCCTGTATCTAAAATAAAACCTGCACCTGCACCCCCTGTATCTAAAATAAAACCTGCACCTGCACCCCTGTATCTAAAATAAAACCTGCACCTGCACCCCCTGTATCTAAAATAAAACCTGCACCTGCACACCCTGTATCTAAAATAAAACCTGCACCTGCACCCCCTGTATCTAAAATAAAGCCTGCACCTGCACACCCTGTATCTAAAATAAAACCTGCACCCCCTGTATCTAAAATAAAACCTGCACCTGCACCCCCTGTATCTAAAATAAAACCTGCACCTGCACCCCCTGTATCTAAAATAAAACCTGCACCTGCACCCCCTGTATCTAAAATAAAACCTGCACCTGTACCCCCCTGTATCTAAAATAAAAGCTGAAAAAAAAAGAGGTGAAGAGTGGCCACCTAAAGCACAGAGGTCGTGGGGGCCCGTGGGTCACCCCACACCAGGACATCCGTCCAGACACCTCCCAGGCCCGGCAGGCATGCTGCGTAGCCACCTCCCTGGAAAGCTGCGCACGCCCTGGCTGACGTCCACTTGCCAAAAATGTCCTCAGAGGCACACAGCCATCTGATAGGCATGTGCCGCTCTGTATCCTTTGGTCTTGGTTAGAGACACCTTAAAAATGTTTTCTCCATTTAATCAAAAGGAAAAATGGGGCCAGGCGCAGTGGCTCACGCCTGTAATCCCAACACTCTGCAAGGCTGAGGTGGGCGGATCACTGACCAGCCTCGCCAACATGGCCAACATGGTGAAACCCCGTCTCTACTAAAAATACAAAATTTAGGCTGGGTGTGGTGGCTCACGCCTGTAATCCCAGGACTTTGGGAGGCCGAGGCAGGCAGATCATGAGGTCAGGAGCTTGAGACCAGCCTGACCAACATGGTGAAACCCTGTCTCTACTAAAAATACAAAAATTAGCCAGGCCTGGTGGCGTGCACCTGTAATCCTAGCTACTCAGGAGGCTGAGGCGGGAGAATTGCTTGAACCTGGGAGGTGGAGGTTGCAGTGAGCCGAGATTGTGCCATTGCACTCCAGCCTGGGCGACAGAGCAAGACTCCATCTCAAAAAAAAAAAAAATACAAAATTTAGCCGGGTGTGGTGGCGTGTGCCTGTAACGTTAGCTACTCGGGAGGCTGAGGCACGAGAATCACTTGAACCCGGGAGACGGAGGTTGCAGTGAGCTGAGATGGTGCCACTACACTCCAGCATGGATGACAAAGCAAGACTCTGTCTCCAGAAAAAAAAAGAAAAAATGAGAACCGGCCACAGCATCTGGAAAGAACATGGCTCTGCAGCCAGCAAGGCACTGAGACATCAGGCAAGCACTGCCTTCCCCGCCTCGGCCACCTCCACCCGTGGACTGACAGCCGGAAACGTACTAATTACAGGACACAGCCAGCGCTGCCACGGTCACCTCAGTCACAGCGGCCCTGAGTGCCAGGCCCCACAAGCAGTGCTTGCGAAGGTTCAGGCCACATGCCACCTCCCACAGCCCAACACCCACACTCGCCAGCTCTCGGGAGGAGAGGCTTCAGCTTGGACCCTCAGACCCTCACTGGAACCCCCTGCGGTGAAGATGGGTCACACGTGCCCAGTCCAAAGGCCCGAGACCCACAGCTTTCCCTTCACCCTCTCATTTCCGTAACACGCAAGGGGCTACAAATGCAACGTGCCCACGTCTCCAGAGCCACAGCCAAGCCAGGCCCAGGATAGGCAGGCGCTCCAAGCACCCCTGCTGGCTCTGAGGGCCTGGCAAGACCCTCCAGGCTAGACATCAGCCACCTCCTTCTGGATCTGCCATCTAACTAGGGCGGGGGGGTCCTGAAGGTGGCACATCCAAAGTTCACTTCACCATGACTGTAGGAAAATCAAGCTGCCCGCAGGAAGCTAACGTGGTGATCAAATCCAAGACAGAGGCTCCCTTGGGAGGCGCGGCTAGGAGGGGAGGGACAGGGAGCCTGGCGGGGTGCAGTCTGCTGCTTGATTGGATGGTAACAGGCACACCTGCGCTTGGGGCTCCAGCTTCTGTGTGTAAGTCAGCCTTTCAGTAAAACTCTATTTTTTTAAATAGCAAGTCAAGGCTCTTTTTTTTTTTGAGACGGAGTCTCGCTCTGTCCCAGGCTGGAGTGCAGTGGAGCGATCTCGGCTCACTGCAAGCTCCGCCTCCCGGGTGCATGCCATTCTCCTGCCTCAGCCTCCCGAGCAGCTGGGACTACAGGCGCCTGCTACCGTGCCCGGCTAATTTTTGTATTTTTAGTAGAGACGGGGTTTCAACATGTTGGCCAGGCTGGTTACGAACTCCTGACCTCAAGTGATCTGACCGCCTTGGCCTCCCAAAGTGCTGGGATTACAGGCATGAGCCACCACGCCCAGCTGGCATTTTTAATAAGTCTATTTTTTTTTCAATGATGGTGAAAATCCGCTGTGATTACACTGATGGGCTCTGGGGCCCACATGTGCACCAGACACCCCCATCCCTGGCCCAGCAGGGCCCCCCAGGCCCCTGAGAACTTAGCCCTCACCTCCACCTCCCAGTGTGGCCATTCCCCTGTGACAGCACGGGGGAGGGGCACCCAGCCTGGTGCCACCTGCAGCTGCTTACCGGGCCAGCCTCCGCCTTGCAGGTGAGGTCGTCCAGGCTCTGGCTCTGCAGCTTCTCAGTGATGAGTGTGACCATGGTCGGGGCCCCGTGTCCTCCGTCCACACCAACAGGCACTGGAGTCCTGGAACATCAGACTTGCGAAGGCCCCAGCATTGCTGGGTCAGCCAAATCTCAAGGTCATGTCTCCACTTTCTTTACAGATGAGCAGTCCACGCCCACGGGCTCTTCAGGATTTGTGCCTGTTTCTCAGAAGAGAGAAATCATCATGTGATTATACGCAAAACCATTTTGTTGATGTTTCTGCTACATGTTGGGTCCCCTCTGTATAAAGTATTTCTGATATCCCACCTCACAAACACCCTCCCATTTTCAAAACTACCACGCGAGTTCTCTTCTGGAAAATCTAATCACGGTGGTCTTCTGGCTAAAGGCAAAGACACACATTAGACCCACCCGCCCCGGAAGCCTCAACTGAAAGAAGAAGATAGGCCACCCCAGGCCTCTGCTCCAAAAAAGAGGAAACAGGATGGGAGATGATGGCAAGGACATTCTGGAAGCTGGGAAGCTGCTGGAAAGCCAATATCAAGCCAGGAACACAGAAACTCTGACTACCCACCCCCTTCTGCTCCAAGTGGCCAAACACCCCTCCCGCTCCCATGCCAGCCAGCTAGGCAAGCGCTCCACACTGAAGCTGGGGCACAGGAAGCCTGCCAGGGTCTGCACCTGGCGTGCTGACAGCAAGGGGCCGGCGGAGGAAGGGCGAGGGCTCAGGGGGTCTTTCAGGCTCTGAGCTCTCCAGCCTCAGGAGTGGGCAGATCCGTCTGTACTGCAGGCAGAGGCTGCGGGGCGGCCCCAGGGCTGCTCCCAACAGACACCAACCAGCCGAGGTGCCCAGCAAGGTGGCCCTGCACCCAGCGTGTCCCCAAACTGCCCCGGCTTTGACCCTTCTCAGGGTCCCACTGTTGGGTGTGAGCAGCTGCCAAGGACACCTAGTTCAGACCCAACAGAGGCCAAAACAGACAAGGTGCAAACAAGCAAAACCAGCAACTTGGAGAAGAGTGCTAGGTGAGAGGGCAAGGCCTTCCTCAGCAGCAGCCCTCTGCCCTCGGAGTGATACGGCACCTCCATGAACACCAGGACACCCTCAAAAAGGAACTTCCAGAGAAAAAGAAGAGTGCCTGGGAATTAAGACAGCAGTGACGGAACGTCCACACAACCTCCAGGGTGTGCGTCCTCAGCTGCCGCCCGGCTTCAGTTTCCGGCCAGTCTTCTGGGGCCCACAGACTGCTCCTAGGCAAGGATTAAGGGCGGACAGGACGCCAAAGCCCAGGCCTCACCACCACCAATGAAGGCAACCCGTAGGCAGCACCGCTCAGGAGCATCTGCCCCAAAAGCCTGGCACGTGGGAGCCACGTGAGCCGCCCCATCAGAAGGACCGCCCGGCCACGTGGGCCATGCTAGGAAGGCAGGCGGCATCCAAGTTCACTACACCTGCCAGTAAAGTAAAAGGGCAAAGGAGACTCACACGCACACTTCTGCCAATGCTGGAAAGGTTTCAACACGGTTCGATACCTGCGTTCCACGCTTAAAATGTACACACACAACCGCTCTCGACAGAAACCAACATGCACTTCCCTAGAGCCCAAAAGCCAGCATCTTCCTGAATGAGGGCCAGGGCAAAGGCGCCACCACCAACACAGCAGCGACGCGCACAGTGGGCCACCCAGCCTGGCTCAGAGCCTTCCCGTCACCAGGCACAGCCCCGCTGCTGCCAGGTCCAGGGGACTGGGCAGACCAAACCCAGGCAGGGTCTGTGCACAGGTCCTGACGGGTGCCACCCACCCATGGGGCTGTTCCAGGCCAGGGGACACACCACATCAGCTAAAGGCTGTGCCCGCCTGGCTCACTGGATCTGAAATCGCGTGCTCAGCACTGACCACTCCCACCACCCTCGGCAGCCACCACTGTCATCTCCAGCCCACAGCCAAGAACCCCAGACTCCAAGAGGGGTGTCGTGCACTGGGCTAGGGTCAGCCGGGCCCACTTGTGATGCTTCAGAAGGAGGCCTCTCCACAGCAGTGGCTCCATTCAAATTGTCTCAAACTAAGGAGCACAAATCAGAGCCAGCCACACTGCACACCCCACGCTGGTCGATGTCAGCTGGGGAAAAACCACCAGTAACTGGGGTGCCAGCTCACAGCCACAGCCCAGACTCACCTCTGTCCCAGCGTCAGAGCCCCCAGCTCACAGCCACAGCCGGGACTCACCTCTGTCCCAGCGTCAGAGCCCCCAGCTCACAGCCACAGCCACGGCCCGGACTCACCTCTGTCCCAGCGTCAGAGCCAACAGCTCACAGCCACGGCCCGGACTCACCTCTGTCCCAGCGTCAGAGCCACCAGCTCACAGCCACAGCCACGGCCCGGACTCACCTCTGTCCCAGCGTCAGAGCCACCAGCTCACAGCCACAGCCATGGCCCGGACTCACCTCTGTCCCAGCGTCAGAGCCACCAGCTCACAGCCACAGCCCGGACTCACCTCTGTCCCACCGTCAGAGCCCCCAGCTCACAGCCACAGCCACAGCCCGGACTCACCTCTGTCCCAGCGTCAGAGCCACCAGCTCACAGCCACAGCCACGGCCCGGACTCACCTCTGTCCCAGCGTCAGAGCCCCCAGCTCACAGCCACGGCCCGGACTCACCTCTGTCCCAGCGTCAGAGCCACCAGCTCACAGCCACGGCCCGGACTCACCTCTGTCCCAGCGTCAGAGCCACCAGCTCACAGCCACAGCCACAGCCGGGACTCACCTCTGTCCCAGCGTCAGAGCCCCCAGCTCACAGCCACAGCCACGGCCCGGACTCACCTCTGTCCCAGCGTCAGAGCCACCAGCTCACAGCCACAGCCACAGCCGGGACTCACCTCTGTCCCAGCGTCAGAGCCACCAGCTCACAGCCACGGCCCGGACTCACCTCTCTCCCAGCCTCAGAGCCCTCACAGGATGGGGCTCTATGGCTGACAAGCCAGCCTCCCTCCCTAATCCCACCAACCACTCCTGCAAGGTGAGGGGCCAGCTCCCTTCACACCGTGCACCACGAGGGGCTGCACACCCACCTTCCAAACCCTCCTGATTGCACAAAGCACACACACAACCCTAGAAAGGCAACAGCAGCCACACTATAACTTGAAAAAATAATAACTAGGATTTTATTTTAAAAACAGGCCTCACAGTCTGTATAGAAACGGCTGATTTCAGGGCTGGGGCAGGGAAAAGAGCTGGAGCCTGTTGAGGTACAGGAAGTGAGGATGGCTCCCCAGCAGCCTGCCTGTGACACAGAGCAAAGCGAGCAGCAGTGAACACAGGCACCCAGGAACCCATGAACCTCAGAACCCAGGAACCCATGGACCCACAGACCCAGAACCCACGAACCCACGAACCCAGGAACCCACAGATCCAGGAACCCAGGGACCTAGGGACCCAAAGACCCAGGTACCCACAGACCCAGGAACCCAAGAACCCACGGACCCACGGACCCAGGAACCAGGAACCCACAGATCCAGGAACCCATGAACCCAGGAACGCACGGACCCAGGGACCCACAGACCCACAAACCCAGGAACCAGCCACCCACAGACCCAGGAACCCATGAACCCATGGACCCACAAACCCAGGAACCCATAGACCCATGGACCCAGGAACCCAGGAACCCACGAACCCACGAACCCAGGAATCAGGAACCCAGGAACCCATGGACCCAGGTGAGGTGGGGGTGGCGGGAAGCGCCTCCTCACGGGGTGGTGGGGAGCCACTAGTGAGTGCAGAGAGAATGAGGGAAATGCTTTAAAATCACCACTTGACCAATGTCCCAACACAACAGTCTCAGGCAAGATGCATCCATGATGCTGGACCCGCAGAGAACGTATGGCGAGAAACAGAGCTCACAGCCTCAGAGTGATCCCCAAAAGATGCTCGGCAGCCACCAAGGAAAAACAGTAACAGCAGGTTTGCCCGGAAGGCACCTGAACCCAGCGATCAATGTGAACACCCCGAGAGCCTCCTGTGAGGTGCCCAGGACACAAACACAGGAACCTGAATTTCCTTTTTTTTTTTTTTTTTTTTTTTTTTTTGAGGCAGAGTCTTTCTCCATCGCCCAGGCTGGAGTGCAGTGGTGTGATCTCGGCTCACTGCAACCTCCGCCTCCCGGGTTCAAGCGATTCTCCTGCCTCAGACTGCCAAGTAGCCGGGATTACAGGCACACACTACCACACCCAGCTAATTTTTGTATTTGTAGTAAAGACAGCATTTCGCCATGTTGGCCAGGCTGGTCTCAAACTCCTGACCTCAGGTGATCCACCCACCTCAGCCTCCCACAGTGCTGGGATTACAGGTATGTATCACCACCACGCCTGGCCTGGAACCTGATTATTTAATTCTGAAGAAATGTCAGACAATCTCAAAACAGGCCAACTCTACAAAATGACCAGCCAGAGATCTTCAGAAGCATGGAGTCAAGAAAGAGCTCGACGAGGCCCTGCCCAGACTGGAGGGGGTCCCAATGCAGCACGTGACCCTGGGTCAGAAAAACGGCAGGGAGGACATGTCCCAAATCTGCCTCAGCACCGTCAGATGCCAGCACCATGCCACACTGATGCCACACTCCTGGCTGTGACTACTGCCTGTGGTCACGTGTGATGTGAACGCCTGGAGGGTCTGCACGCCCTCGACAGAGAAACGATGACGTGTGTGCAAGAGTCACACGCTCATAACTCACAGACTTTAAAACATCAGACAGGCTGGGCGCGGTGGCTCATGCCTGTAATCCCAGCACCTTGGGAGGCCGAGGAGGGTAGATCAGGAGGTCAGGAGATCGAGACCAACCTGGGCCAACATGGTGAAACCCCATCTCTATTAAAAATATAAAAATTAGCTGGGTGTGATGGCGCACACCTGTAGTCCCAGCTACTCAGGAGGCTGAGGCAGGAGAATCACTTGAACCGGGTGGGGCAGAGGTTGCAGTGAGCCGAAATCACACCACTGCACTCCAGTGTGGTGACCGAGCGAGACTCCGTTTCAAAAAAAAATCAGATAAAGTGTGCCCGCCAAGCACCAGCCAGGGCAAGTGTCCAGCAGCGCCAATGCGGAGCACCCAGCAGTGTCAAGGCAGCAGCTCTGGCACGCGGGAGGCGCATGCAGCGCGGGAGGGACCACGCCTACTGCCAAAAGCAGCTCCCTGCTGGGAGCCCAGGAGACGACGGGGATTGTGAGTGCTGGGCAGGGAAGAGACCCTCGTGTGGAACATGCATTTCCTGCAGGAAGGAAGGCGTTAGTCAGGTCATCACCGACACGTGTGTTGGCTTCCAAGATGCCAGCAGGGCCGTTATAACAATCTCCCATAACTGAGTGGGCTTCAAACAACAAAAGTTTACTCTCACAGTTCTGGAGGCCGGAAGTCCAAAACTGAGGTATCAACAGGTGCCTCCTTCTGGAGGCTGAGGGGGAACCTGTTCCAGGACTCTCTCCAGTTTCCAGGGGCTCTGGGAGTCCTCGGCAGTTCCTGGCTTATAGCTGTACCACTGCAATCTCTGCCTCTGTCACCATGCGGCCTTCTCCCCAGCGCCACAGAGTCTCTGTATCGCTATCTCTTCTTATAAGGACACCAATGATTGGGTTAGAGCCGACTCTAATCATATGACTTCATCTTAATGTACATTAATTGCAAAAGCATCTGGCCGGGCGCGGTGGCTCACGCCTGTAATCCCAGCACTTTAGGAGGCCGAGGCAGGCAAATCACAAGGTCAGGAAATCGAGGCCATCCTGGCTAACACGGTGAAATCCTGTCTCTACTAAAAATATAAAAAATTAGCTGGGTGTGGTGGCACGTGCCTGTGGTCCCAGCTACTTGGGAGGCTGAGGCAGGAGAATTGCTTGAACCCAGGAGGCGGAGGTTGCAGTGAGCCGAGATCATGCCACTGCACTCCAGCTTGGGCAACAGAGTGAGACTCTGTCTCAAAAAAAAAAAAAAATTACAATAGCATCTGCAAAGACCCTATTTCTAAATAAAGTCACATTTGCAAGTATTAGGGGTGCAGACTTGAACATAACCTCCTGGGGGATGCGATTCCACACACACAATGTCAGGCCCGTCTCCCCTTACAAGAAACTGAGCCATGAGGATGCAGCACCAGTCACGAGGCATGATGGACAGCAAGTCCCTCCCCCTTGGCAGTTCTGAGGCCAGTCTCCAGTCTGCGTGAGGGAAGTCTGGGGAAGGAGCAGTTCAGGACCAGAGGAAGCCCCTGCCGGAGCTGGGAAAGCCCAGAGATACAGAAACAGTGACGGATGGTGGCAGTGAGAAGGATGCCGTAGGACCCCACCATGGCAGGACAGCCTTTTCGAGGGGCGATCAGAGAGGCCCCTCTAAGGCAGTGACATTGAAGCCAGGACTGAAAGCTAAACAAGAGGGTCCCGGAAAAGGAGACAAAGGCCAGGACAAGTGGGAAGAGACCTCTGGGTTCCAGGTAGATGTAGAAGAGACGTGGGAAGTGAGAGAAACCTGGCTCCCGCTGCCAGAACTCACTGTCCCTGCCACCAACAGGTGAGGAGTGGGACCCAGCAAGAACAAAGAGGACATACCACCTGAGCTCCGGGAAGCACAGCCGGCATCAGGCATCCCTTGCCCCTACTCCAGGACCTCTCGGCGCCGGCCCCTCCAAACAGGAAGTGGTCCCTCCCAAGCCCACGAGCACTGCCCTGAGCCCAGGTGATGCCTTCTCCCCACACTAAGTGGGCTCACTTCAGAGGACGGCTACAACGAACTCACTTCCACTTTTCTGGCATTAAGTCGCCGTCCTCGCTCCCAAAGGCTCCTTGTAACTGCACCGTAAATCCCTTCCTTGTAACTGCACTGGTGACTTAGCCGACAACCCCAGGAGGTTTCCCTGCCTCTCGTTCCACCTCTGCACCCAGCTCAAGCCTGATCCTCAAGGTCTGGAGGACCGCAGCAGCCTACACTCATTCCCATACACTGGGCAACCCTTGGCCCGACCTCAGCGGAAAGCAGATCACAATGCTCTGGCCCCCAGAAACAGCCTCCTCAGCCCTTAGGACAGAGGCCAAAATCCTCACCCTGGTCCTCCAACTCCCCCATCTTCTCCCCTCGCTCCCCAGGATCTGGCCACACCAGTGCCCTGCAGACCCCTAGGAGGGTCAAACCCAGAGCTGGAGCTCCACGGGGGCAGCAGGGACGAGCCCCCACCACAGGCAGTGCCTCAGCTCAGATGGCCGCCTCACGGGACAGCGGCAAAATGCCCTCGGCTGGCGGCTCTGGCCACTCTCATTCTCCAGGACTCCATCCTCCAAAAAGGCACCAAAGCAGGTTCGATTTTTCTGTGTTTTAATTTAATTCGATCCACATGCAGTCAGATACAGCATTTGTAGAGCCATGAATTAGCTTCCTATAACCAAGAATCACAAAGTGGTGGCTTAGGACAGAAACGCACTGGCCAGCCGTCCTTGGAGGCTGGGAGTCCAGGACCAAGACGCCAGCAGGGCCATGCCCCTCTGAAGGCTCTGGGGAGGGACTGATCAGGCCTCCCTCCCGGCTCTGGCATCACTCCAGTCTTCCCACCGCATTCTCCCTGCGTGTGCCTGTGTGCAAGTCTCCCCATTTTATAAGGATATCAGTCATTTTGGGGCAGGACCCACCATGCTCCAGTGTGACCCCATCTTAACTCATTACATCTGCAACAACCCTATTTCCAAGTAAGTGCACATTCTGAAGTACTGGGGGGGGTCAGGACTTCAACATGTGACTGTTGGGGCCGGACCTCACTCAACCCCTAAAACAAGCTGTATTTTATTTCACCACGGCGACACACACAGGGTGCTGGCTTACAAACCAATACTGAGCTACTCCCAAACGTGCAGAGGCCTCACCCCTGCCACTCCACAGTGGCCACTTCCACCCCTTCAGCCCTGTCCTTGGGTACTTACTACACCCATGCACACAGCCCGCAGACACTGCTGCTCCTGGACTGTGCCGCAGCGCGCCCCTCTGAGCATCATCTGCTGGCTTGAAGGCACGTCACGGTGTATCTCTTTGCCAACACAGCCCCACCCCACACCTCCCAATACGGCCGTGTGAACATTTTGTCAAGTCATCGCTGACATTATCACGTCACTATAGTGTTTCCAGTTAGGCCACACAGTGGGGTCTGTTCTCCAAAGTTCATAATTCCTTCCTTTTTACAAGTGCAAAGTTTCTGCCTAGTATAAACTCTTGCCCCAATCTCCCCAGCAGATTTATAAACCTCCTAGGAATAAGCCCTTTGGTCAAAGACATCAGGACACCTTCAGCCCTTTTGCTCCTGGAGTCCCACCTTGTGCTCAGCACTGGCGGGGCTGTGCTCTAGCCCACTCGGGGCACCCCTCCCCCTCATCTTGCAGCTTCCTGAGAAGGGGGGCACGTGAAGACCACACCTCTTCTCTCCTCCACTTCTGTAAGAAGCCCACTCCCAGGATGCCTGCTCAGCTTTCAGGGTCTTCTCTCGCCCCAACTTTAGAAAATGCTCAAGGCGCCTCAAGCAAGGTCTTCCTTGGTCCAGAGACCACGTCCTTCCAGCCTGGCTCATGGCGCACTCTGCACCCCACCCTGGTCTGCATCTCCGTCTGTTCCTGGACTCCGTGTCCCACGCTTGCTGCTGTTGCCGCTGTTCTAGGATCTATCCTCCGCTCCTCCAACCCTTCCAATGACGTGTGTATGCTTCACCCCCAAGGGCTCCCTCCTCTTCTCCAAATGCCCATGTCGGGACCTGTCTTCACGCTTATCTCTAAGCCTACATATACAGGGCTGCTTTTCATGGGGGGTTTTAAATTACTTTTTCTGGTCCCTGCACTCTGTATCTCAGCTCCCTTAGTCTTCTCTGCTTTTCCTGGCTTCTGCTTTCACACTGGAGGTTTCCTCTGATGTTGCTCACTCTGGCTCTCCATTCACACAGAGAGGGAAGAGCTGTCAACACGCTGTCTCACTGCAGAGGGATACAGTGGCCGTGTCCTCCCTTCAGATGGCAAGAGAACTCACCCTGAGACCAGCCTGGCCAACATGGTGAAACCCCATCTCTACTAAAAATACAAAAATTAGCCGAGCGTGGTAGCAGGCGCCTATAATCCCAGCTACTCAGGAGGCCGAAGCAGGAGGTTTGCTTGAATCCGGGAGGCAGAGGTCGCAATGAGCTGAGATTGCACCACTGCGCCCCAGCCTGGGTGACAGAGTGAGACTCCATCTCAAAAAATAAATAAATAAAGTTTATACAGAGAGGCAAACAACCCAGAATAGCCCACATGATATTACAGGAGAAGAACAAAGTTGGAGGACTGACACTATTCAACTCTAAGACTTATTATAAAATTGCTGTCATCAAGACCGTGTGTGCCCAGGCACAGCGGCTCACAACTGTAATCCCTGTACTGTGGAAGGCTTGGGCCCAGGAGTTCAAGACCAGCCTGGGCAACATAGCAAGACTCCATCTCTACATAAAATTTTAAAATTACCTGCGTGACTACAATCCTAGCTACTTAGAAGGCAGAGGTGGGAGCACTGCTTCAGCCCGAGAGGTGGAGGATGCAATGATCCATGATTGCACTGCTGCACTCCAACCTGGGTGACAGAGCAAGACCCTGTCTCAAAATAAAAAGACAGTGTGGGATGGGCAAAAGAACAGACAATTGTATCAATGGAACAGGCAGAACAGAGAGCCCAGATATAGAACCACACAGTCACTGATCTTTGACCAAGGAGCAATGGTAATACAATAGAGAACAGAGAGTCTTTTCAACAAGTGCTGCTGAAAAACTAGACATCCACAAGAAAAAAAGACATGAGGCCGGGTGCGGTGGCCCACGCCTGTAATCCTAGCACTTTGGGAGCCCGAGGTGGGTGGATCATTTGAGGTCAAGAGTTCAAGAGCAGTCTGGCCAACATAGTTAAACCCCACCTCTACTAAAACTATAAAAATTAGCCAGGCGTGGTGGCGTACATCTGTAATCCCAGCTACTCGGGAGGCTGAGGCAGGAGAATCACTTGAACCCGGGAGGCAAAGGTTGCAATGAGCTGAGATCACACCACTGCACTACAGCCTGGGCAACAAAGCAAGACTCCATCTCAAAAAAAAGACATGGAGTGTATGGACCCCCTTCATGAAAACTAACTCAAAATGGATCACAGACCTAAAGTAAAAGGCAAAACTATAAAAATCCTACTAGATAGATAACACAAGAGAAAAATATAGATGACTTTGGGTTTGGCGATGACTTCTGAGATACAACACTGAAGGCACGATCCATAAAAGAAAGAATTGTTATGTTGAACTTCATTAAAATTAAAAATATCTGCTCTGCAAAAGACACTGTCAAGAGAATAAAAAACAGTTCCAGACTGAAAGAAAATATTTGCAAAAGACTTATTTGACAAAGAACCATTATCCAAAATATAAAAAGATATTTTAAAATTCAACAATAAGAAAACAACCCCAGCCTGGCCAACATGGTGAAACCCCATCTCTACCAAAAAACTACAAAAATTAGCCGGGCGTGTGGGCACACACCTGTAATCCCAGCTACTCAGGAGGTCGAAGTAGAAGAATCACTTGAACCCAGGAGCTGAGGTTGCAGTGAGCCAAGATCATGCCACTGCACTCCAGCCTAGGTGACAGGGTGAGACCATGTCTCCAAAAAAAAAAAAAAAAAAAAGGCCAGGTGCAGTGGTTCATGCCTGTAATCCCACTTTGGGAGGCCAAGGCGGGTGGATCAACTGAGGTCAGGAGTTCGAGACCAGCCTGGCCAATGTGGTGAAACCCCATCTCTACTAAAACTACAAAAATTAGCCTGGCGTGGTGGCACGCACCTGTAATCCCAGCTACTCGGGAGGCTGAGGCAGGAGAATCCCTTGAACCCAGGAGGCGGAGGTTGCAGTGAGCCAAGATAGCACCACTGCACTCCAGGCTAGGCAACAAGAGGGAAACTCCATTAAAAAAAAAAAAAAAAAAAAGAACCCAACCCAACTAAAGAAAAAATTGGGGCAAAGACTTTCACAGACCCCTCACCAACTGGGGCCGGGTGTGGTGGCTCACGCCTATAATCCCAGCACTTTGGGAGACCGAGGCGGGTGGATCACCTGAGATCAGGAGTTCGAGACCAGCCTGGCCCACACATCGAAACCCCATCTCTACTAAAAATACAAAATTTAGCTGGGCATGATGGCAGGCGCCTGTAAGCGCAGCTACTCGGGAGGATGAGGCGGCAGTTGCAGTGAGCCAAGATCGCACCATTGCGCTCCAGCCTGAGCGACAGGGCAAGACTCCGTCTCAGAAAAAAAAAAAAAAGTCCGGGCACGGTGGCTCACACCTGTAATCCCAGCATTTTGGGAGGCCGAGGCAGGTGGATCACCTGAGGTCAGGGTTCAAGACCAGCCTGGCCAACGTGGAGAAACCCCGTCTCTACTAAAAATACAAAATTAGCCGGGCATGGTGGCACATGCCTGTAATCCCAGCTACTCGGGAGGCTGAGGCAGGAGAATCATTTGAAACCAGGAGGCGGAGGTTTCGGTGAGCCGAGATCGCACCATTGCACTCCAGCCTGGGCAACGAGAGTGAAACTCCGTCTCAAAAAAAAAAAAAAAAAAAAAAAAAACACACCACTACACACAAGGTACCACTACACACCAATTAGAATGTCCAAAATCCAGAACACTGACAACACCCAAGTGCTGAGGAGGATATGGAGCAACTGTGTACATGATCCAGCAATCCTGCTCCTTGGTATTCACCCAAAGGAACTAAAAACTTATGTCCACACAAAACCTGCACACAGATGCCCATAGCAGCTGTATCCATAAGTGCCAAAACTTGGAAACAACCAAGATTTCCTGTAGGTGAGCAGATAAAGTGTGGTACATCCAGACAGTGTAATATTATTTAGCACTAAAAAGAAATGAGCTATGAAACCACCAAAAAATACAGAAGATATTTAAATGCATGTCACTAAGTGAAAGAAACGGGTCTGAAACGGCTACGTATTGTATAATTCCTACCATATGGCATTCTGGAAAAGGTTAACTGTGGAGACTATTTAAAAAAACAAACAAAAAAAAAACCGTGGCTGCCAGGGGCCAGGGGTAGAGAGAGGTGAGGCAGGGCACAGATTTTTAAGGCAGTGAAATTATTCTGCATGATACTATAATGGTTGACAAAGGTCATTACACATTTGTCTAAATCCATAGACTACAACACCAAGAGTGAAACCTGATGTCAACTATGGACTTTGGATAATAAGCATGTGTCCATGTAGGTTCATCAACTGTAGCAAACGTACTACTCCGGTGGGGGATGCTAGTCATACAGGAGGTCCTGCATGTGTGAGGGCAGAAGGTATAGTGTCTAGCAACTCGATTTTTTTTTTGAGATGAAGTTTCGCTGTTGCTGCCCAGGCTGAAGTGCAACGGCGCGATCTCAGCTCACTGCAACCTCAGCCTCCCGAGTTCAAGTGATTCTCCCACGTCAGCCTCCCAAGTAGCGGGGATTGCAGGCACCCGCCACCACATCCAGCTATTTTTTGTATTTTTTAGTAGAGACGGGGTTTCGCCATGTTGGCCAAGCTGCTCTTCAACTCTTGACCTCAGGTGACCTACCCACCTTGTAGGGTCCAGCCCCACAAGGTCGATGGGTTTCTCCCCGTGTCTCAGCCTCCCAAAGTGCTGGGATTACAGGTGTGAGCCACCACGCCCGGCTGAACTCGCTATTTTTAAGTGCACTGAAACCACATTCGAAGTGTTCCTTTTGCAACCCAACAAAGGAGAAGAAACTCAAATCTTTTTTTTTTTTTTTTGACATGAAGCCTCTCTCTGTTGCCTAGGCTCACTGCAGCCTCCACCTCCCTGGCTGAAGCAATCCTCCCACCTCAGCCTCCCAAGTAGCCAGGACTACAGGTGCACACCACCATACCCAGCTCATTTTTTATTTTTATTTTTTGTAGAAATGGGGGTCTCACTATGTTGCCCAGGCTGGTCTCCAACTCCTGGGCTCAAGTGATCCTCCTGCCTCAGCCTTCCAAAATGCTGGGGTTACAGGTGTGAGCCACCAAGCCTGGCCAAGAAATTCAAATCGTAAAATGAAGATTATCATTGTAACCACTCCACTGGTGAGAACAGGCTGCACCATATCACCACATGGAAAAAGATAAACTGCACCAAGTAATTTCATTGTGAGGTAAAGAACACAAGGTGAGCTCTGGACAGCTGCACAAAGCCCCGGGTTCAGACACCAGTTGGGCCCACTCACTAGCCAGGCCAAGGAACTTCACCTGGACAAGTAACCGCCTCTCCAGGCCTGGGTTCCTTGGAAACTGAAAATGAGAAGAAACCACCCACTTCATGAGGCTCCAAGGAATCAGATTAAACTACATAACACATGTGAGAGTTCCTGAGTCCCTGACACACATTTTCAAATTATAACCACTTAATAACAAATGCTTAACAGATTGTGAAATTCAATTTTTCTTTAATATCATTGCAGAAAATGCCAAAAGAGTTTATATAAAAATTTTTAATTTCCTTTTTTTTTTTTTTTTTGAGACAGAGTCTGGCTCTGTCATCACGGTGGCGTGCAGTGGCGCCATCTTGGCTCACTGCAACCTCCGCCTCCTGGGTTCAAATGATTCTCCTGCCTCAGCCTCCCGAGTAGCTGGGATTACAGGCACGCACCACCACACCCAGTTAATTTTTCTATTTTTAGTAGAGACGGGGTTTCACCATGTTGGCCAGGATGGTCTCGATCTCCTGACCTCGTGATCTGCCCGCCTCGGCCTCTCAAAGTGCTGGGATTACAGGTGTGAGCCACCGCGCCTAGCCTTAATTTCCTTTTTTAGAAAAACATTTTCCCTGTTCCCAATGCACCGGTGAAAAATACCTGTTTTCTTAGTTCTTTTATCTACCAGCTAAAAATGTGTACTCTCTCGGATTAGAGCCTCTTCCTATTTCTGTTTCCTGTGCACATCATTGCATGTGAGCAACTACCTCTATAACTAGAAAGGCCTCACTATAGAGCAACTACCTCTATAACTAGAAATGCATGCACTAAAAAAAAAAAGAAAAAATTACTTTGGCATTTTCTCTTATATACTTCAAGTGGTAACAAAAACGTTCTGTGGTCCCCACGTGCAATCTAAGAAACATAAGGACGCATCCAAAGGGGCGGGACAATTACCAAGGCCTCAGTGAGTGTGACCCTCAAAGTCGCAACACAGAACACAACAGAGGGACAAAGCTGCAGAATCAAAAGCTCTAAGTTCACGGGACAGCACGGGGAATCAACTATCAAGCCACAGAAGGGGATCAGGACTGCCAGTACCCAGCGCACAAGGAGGACTCAAGGAGGCGGGACAATGGCGCCGGACGAGGGAAAACTACAATTGTCTGAAAGAACTACCACCTAGTTTTCCTGCGCTAACTAACCCAATTTAAAGAAAAGTCACTGTTTCTAAACAATGTCAGTTTCCATTTTGGGGTAATATTGAAGAGCTTCAAATAAATCAAAACCGTTTCCCAGCCTACCTTCAGGGTGCAAGGGTGCACTTCCCTTCTAGCACCCACTCTGATGAGGGAGAAGGTCAGGCGACAGGAGGGTGTTTAAAGCAGCATCAATATGTTCAGGTTAAATTTCTTAAATATTGTGAAACGGAAGCACATTCTTTTCCTTTTCTGTTTCGTTTTAAGACTAGTCAAGTGCAGTAGTGAGAAAGGGGAAAGAGTGGAACAAGGAGTTCGATCTGTAATGGACTGAACAAGCAACAGAGAAAACTCACTCCCTTGGCACCAGCCACGAGCACATTCTTGAAGCCAAACTCATCCATCCGTACTGGGAGATAGATGATCATAGAAACATCAAGTGTGAGTCTGGTTTGAGTTTAAAACGAAAAGTGCTTTAGAGTTATGGAAACTTAGCTTCAAAGAAGAGGCACCAAGGATGCCGCGCGAAAACTCACGAGGCCACTTAACACAGGCTGCGTGGGAAACAGGGGCTCCGCGACTGCGCTCAGATTAACGGAAAAAGACACCCCTCTAGAGTCCGGCAGCAGCGGGCGGGCACCGGCGCCTTCTCCACACAGGAGAATCTCGGCGATTTACACCCCCAGGCTACGCAGAAAAAGCGGCTTCGGAATCCGCCGCAAGTCCCCTCCTCGGGTCGCCGGGGAAGTCTGGCCTCCCGCGTCTGGGTCCCCTTCGGGACGCCCCAAGGCCCCGTTTACCACGGCGACTCCCCGCCTCTCGCGCCACCGAACCACGGCGCGGGGCCACCAGGGCGGGCCTCGCCTCGTGCGGAAAAGTCGCCTCGACGGGCGGCGCAGACGGCGGAGGCAGGGGGACGTAGTCCACGCGCCCAGCTCGGAGCGCAGGGCCCCGCGCCCACGACCGCCCGCGCCCTCCACGTGCCGCGGGCAAAGCTCGGAGCCGGTGCGCCGAGGAATGGGCAGCGTGGACAAGAGAGGAGGGGGCGGCGGCGCGCTCCGCCCGGGCTCGGTACCTGAGCGCGGCCGCGGGGGTGCGGAGCGAGAAGACTGCCGGCCGCCCAGGCCCCGCTCGCTCAGGGCGACGCGCCTCAGCCGCGGCGGAACAAAACCGCGGCCGCCGCCCCGCCCCCTCCGGCCGCCCTCATTGGCCGCCCGCGCCCCGCCGCCGCCGCGAGCCCGTCAGCCGCCGCCTTCTCCACGCCGGCCCTCAGCCGCGCCGCGCCGACGGAGGGGGCGGGGCCTCCAGGCGCCCAGGCTCGCACCGCCCACCGAGTCCGCAGCGCGCCCTGTGCGAGGGTCTGGCCCCGCCCCCGGATCGACGCCCCGCCCCCTGCGCGCGTGCGTGCCTGGCACTCGGCGGCGTCCTCCAGGCCTAGAAGGCAAGACCTGTGGCGGCGGCGACCTGAGGCGGCGGGGCAGGACGCGCAGCGAGGAGGGCCCGGTCGGCACTAGCCGTGGCTCAGGCGGTGACCCAGCCCGGGGCGCGCGGTCTCGGGGCCCGAGGCTCGCCGCCGCCGCCTTCCCGCCTGCCGTCTGCCCGCTGTGTAGCCGTTGGCAGGTCGCTCGCCCTCTCGGGTCGCACTTCTGCACCTGCACAGTGTGAATTAGGCCCTCGCTCATGGTCGCCGAGGGCGGACCGTGCTGCAGGGCTCCTTCTGGCGATAGGCGGGGTTGGGGCCTGGTTCCGTCCGAGCACAGCAGGCCCAGGGAGACCGGACTCTTGGGGGGTCCCTAGGGATGAGCACCCTGCAGAGGAGAGGGTGGCGGGCAGCGGAAGGAGGCCGTGCCCCGCTCTCGGGGTCTCCAGCAAATTCCCAGGAAGGGGGTCCCTGCCTCCCTCTCCAGCCTCCCGTGCTGGGGCTCGGGTGTGTCCTGGCTGAGATGAGCCGCCTGACCCAGGGCGGGCCTCTGACGGCCAGGTGTGCTGGCCCTGGGCTGTGTGGATATCCGCCGACTCTGGAGATTCCACTGAGGTAGGGCGGGATTTATTTCAGACCAGATGATTTCTCAAAGGTGCAGGAGAACAATGCTCCCCACCCCTGGCGAGGGGCCCCTGGGGTGGGAGGGGCCTGAGGGACCCTGCGGTCCAGTGCCTCCCCATGTGCGTCCCCTGAGGGTTTGGTGGGGGTGGGGAGAAGGGGTGGTCTGACGGGAGAAAGAGCTACCTGTGTCCCCTGGCCACCGTGGGGCTCGGTGGCCACGTCCCACAGTGGACACTGTGGGCAGACAGATGCATGGAGGCCGGCTGGTTCCGGGAATAGGCTATGGGTGAGGCCATGCAGCACCCCTGGGGCTGGATGCTGGGGGAGGCATCGGGGCTCCCAGGGGTCAGGCTGGGGCCTCCCAACAGGTTCTGGGCCTGGTAAGGCTAGTCCGGTGCAGGCTGCGAAGCCAGGCCAGCTGACACCAGGACTGGCTGGAGTCAGCCTCACCTGTCTGGAAGAGTGGGAGTCCCAGCGGGGCTGGGGAGGGGAGAAGGGCTGGAGCAGGCGTCCAGGCCATTCTCTTCGCTGGGGTCCGGTAATCCCCCACCTGCAACAGTCAGGCTGTGCTGGCCAGGTTACCCAAAGACAAGTGTCTTTGTGACATGGACCAGAGCAGAAAGTGGCCAGAAGAGGATGAGGGCACCTGTGCCCGGGGCGAGGCTCTGCCCATGGCAGCCCCTCCTGAGCTGGGTTTCCATCCTGGCCCCTGTGGACTGGAGACAACCACTTCAAATCACAAACGTCAGAGCTGTGTGACTGATTAACTTATATCTACCCACCCCTCTCAGCCATTACTTGGATAATTATTAAGGGCTTTTAGTGGATTAAGAAATAGAGTCAGCCGGATGCGGTGGCTCATGCCTGTAATCCTAGCACTTTGGGAGGCCGAGGCGGGTGGATCACCTGAGGTCAGGAGTTCAAGATCAGCCTGGCCAACATGGTGAAACCCGGTCTCTACTAAAAATACAAAAATTAGCCGGGCGTGCTGGCGGGCGCCTATAATCCCAGCCACTTGGGAGGCTGAGACAGGAGAATCGCTTGAACCTGGGGAGCGCGGAGGTTGCAGTGAGCCGAAATCACATCACTCCAGCCTGGGGGAAAGAGCGAAACTCCGTCTCAAAAAAAAAAAAAAAAAAAAAAAAAGACAGAAATACGAGTCTGTGCCCCTTTAAAGTAATGTCCCATTTGCCTTGATGATCTCCATAAAACCGAAAAGCATTTCAAAGCCCTCCTACAGGGCAGATTACAGGGACACACTTGCTGGCCAGAGATGGTTGCTGGGTCTCAGGGCTTAGACCTCTCCCTTATGTGAGAGGAGTCAGATCAGGGCCGTGTTTCAGGCTGCTGTGGGGCAGTTGGCCTGCCGTGGCTGAGGGTCAGTCATCACAGTGCTGTGTAGCTAGCCCTTGCTGTGGACTAGCCCACGGGAAGGTGTTGGAATCCTCCCCATTTTACAGATAAGGAAGCTGAGCCTCAGAGCAAAGGGGTTTGTCCCACCATAGTGACAGTCTGTGGCTTTGCCACCACCTGCTCTCCTGATGGCCCTCTGAGAATGCTACCTGCTCCCATACAGGAGAAGCCGCCTTGTGTCAGGTCCATGGTGGTCTGGCGTTGATGAAGCCCTGAAGGGAAGGGCGGGGCTGGCCTGGTGCCCATGCCTTTCTGGTGCTGCAGGGCTGTTCTGGGCAGGTTCCCCAAAGCCACTGGGATGGGGCTGGCTTGGGTAGCAGGGACCCTAGGATAGGGCTGACCAAGTCTCCCTTGCCTGACTCTGGGACTGAAGAAACACTATCACAAAAGGTCACATGCTGGATGATTCCGTTTACATGCAATGTCCGGAATAGGCAAATAACAAGTGGATGCGCGAGTCTGGGGGGAATGGGGAGCAACTGCCTACTGGGTACAGGGTCTCCTTTTGAGGTGATGAAAATGTTTTGAAACTAGATAGAGGGAGTGGCCACACAACATTATGAATGTATCAATGCCACTACGTTGTATGCTTTAAGTGGTTTATTGTATATTAATTTCACCTCCATAAAAACTAACAAGACCAGGCGCGGTGGCTCACACCTGTAATCCCAGCACTTTGGGAGACCGAGGCGGGTGGATCATGAGGTCAGGAGTTCGAGATCAGCCTGGCCAAGATGGTGAAACCCCATCTCTACTAAAAATAGAATAATTAGCCGGACGCAGTGGCGGGCGCCTGTAATCCCAGCTACTCCAGAGGCTGAGGCAAGAGAATCGCTTGAACCCAGGAGGCAGAGGTTGCAGTGAGCCGAGATGGTGTCACTGCACTCTAGCCTGGGTGACAGAGCAAGATTCCATCTCAAAAAAAAAAAAAAAAAACTAACAAAAGGATCAGGAATTAACAAAAAGGATCTGGAAGCCATCTTGGCAAAGATTTCACAAAAGTGGTTATGTGTGCAGAGGCTTTATGTTATTTTCTATACTCTTCTGTATACCTCATGTATCTTTCACAATTTAAAAAAATTAAAGGCAAGGTGGCTCACACCTATTTCCTTATAGTTTTTTTAATCTACTTGTTCTATCAATTACTGAGGGAGCAGTGTTGAAATCTCCGAATGTAATTGTGGATTTGTCTTTTTTTTTTTTTTTTTTTTTTTGATACAGAGTCTCGCTCTGTCGCCCAGGCTGGAGTACAGTGGTGCGATCTCAGCTCACTGCAAGCTCCGCCTCCCGGGTTCACGCCATTCTCCTGCCTCAGCCTCTGGAGTAGCTGGGACGACAGGCGCTCGCCACCACACCTGGCTAATTTTTGTATTTTTTTAGTAGAGACGGGGTTTCACCGTGTTAGCCAGGATGGTCTCGATCTCCTGACCTCGTGATCCGCCCGCCTTGGCCTCCCAAAGTGCTGGGATTACAGGTGTGAGCCACCGCGTCCGGACCTTTTCATTCTTTTAACGGTATTTGGCAGAACCAAAGTTTTTATTTATTTATTTTTTGAGACAGGGTCTCACTCTGTCACCCAGGATGGGATGCACTGGTGTGATCGTAGTTCACTGCAGCCTCAAACTCCTGAGCTTAAGGGATCCTCCCACCTCAGCCTCCGGAGTAGCTGGGACTACAGGTCTGTGCCACCATGCCCAGCTAATTTTTATTTATTTATTTATTTATTTTTGAGACGGACTTTCACTCTTGTTGCCCAGGCTGGAGTAGAATGGCGCGATCTCGGCTCACCACAACCTCCACCTCCCAGGTTCAAGCGATTCTCCTGCCTCATCCTCTTGAGTAGCTAGGATTACAGGCATGCACCACCACACCCGGCTAATTTTGCATACAGACGGGGTTTCTCCATGTTGGTCAGGCTGGTCTCAAACTCCTGACCTCAGGTGATCCGCCCGCCTCAGCCTCCCAAAGTCCTAGGATTACAGGCATGAGCCACTGTGCCCAACCAGGCTAATTTTATTTTTATTTTTTTAGACGGAGTTTCGGTCTTCTTGTCCCGGCTGGAGTGCAATGGCACGATCTTGGCTCACTGCAACCTCCAACTCCCGGGTTCAAGCAATTCTCCTGCCTCAGCCTTCCCAGTAGCTGGGATTACAAGCATGCGCCACCATGCCTAGCTAATTTTGTATTTTCAGTAGAGACGGGGTTTCTTCATGTTGGTCAAACTGGTCTCAAACTCCCAACCTCAGGTGATCTGCCCACCTTGGCCTCCCAAAGTGCTGGGATTACAGGCGTGAGCCACCGCACCTGGTCCAGCTAATTTTTAAAAATTTTTTTGTAGAGATGGGATCTTGCCATGTTGCCAGGGCTGATCTCAAACTCATGGCCTCAAGCCATCCTCCTACCTCAGCCTCCCAAAGTGCTGGGATTACAGGCATGAGCCACCATGCCTAGCCACAAGTTTTTAATTTTGATGAAGCCCAATTTGTCCATTTTTCCTGTTATGGATTGTGATTCTGCTGTCCAGTCTATAAACTCTGCCTAGCCCTAGATGCCAACAATTTTCTGCAAGTTTTATATTTTACACTTTACATTTAAGCCTGTGATCCATTTTGAGTTAATTTTTCTATAAGATGTGAGACTTAGGTTGAGGCTTGCATTTTTGCTCTTGGATTTTGCTCCAGCCAATCTAGCACATTTGTTGAAAATACCATCCTTCTCCACTGAATTTTTTTTTTTTTTTTTTTTTTTTTTTGAGACAGAGTCTCACTCATCACCCAGGCTGGAGTGCGGTGGCGCGATCTCAGCTCACTGCAAGCTCCACCTCCCGGGTTCACGCCATTCTCCTGCCTCAGCCTCCTGAGTAGCTGGGACTACAGGCACCCGCCACCATGCCCAGCTAATTTGTTGTATTTTTAGTAGAGACGGGGTTTCACTGTGTTAGCCATGATGGTCTCGATCTCCTGACCCCGTGATCTGCCTGTGTTGGCCTCCAAAAGTGCTGGGATTACAGGCGTGAGCCACCACGCCCGGCCTCTCCACTGAATTTCTTTTGCACCTTTGCAAAAGTCAGTTTGCCAGACTTTTGTGGGTCTATTTCTGGGTTCTGTGTCCTGCTCCACTGATCTGTCTATCCCTCCACCGACACCACAGTCCTGATGTCATATAACCCTTGAAAAAGATAAGCTCATTCTATTCACCTTGTTCTTTTTCAAAACTTTCAACTATTCTAGTTCCTTTACATTCGCATAAATTTTAGAACCATCATCTACAAAAAATATTGCTGAGATTTTGATAGGAATTCCATTGTAACTACATACATCCATTTAGAAGAACTGACAATTTTTTTTTTTTTTTTGAGACGGAGTCTCGCTTTGTCACGCAGACTTGAGTGTACTGGTGCAATCTCGGCACACTGCAACCTCCGCCTCCCAGGTTCAAGCGATTCTCCTGCCTCCGCTTCCTGAGTAGCTGGGACTACAGGCGCACACCACCATGCTCAGCTAATTTTTTGTATTTTTAGTAGAGACAGGGTTTCATCATCTTGGCCAGGCTGGTCTTGAACTCCTGACCTCAGGTGATCCACCTGTCTTGGCCTCCCAAAGTGCTGGGATTACAATGTAAGCCACTGCACCTGGCAAAAATTGTTTTTTTTTTTTTTTTTGAGATGGAGTTTTACTCTTGTTGTTCAGGCTGGAGTGCAATGGCACAATCTAGGCTCACCACAACCTCCGCCTCCCAGGTTCAAGCGATTCTCCTGCCTCAGCCTCTCAAGTAGCTGGGATTACAGGCACGCGCCACCACACCTGGCTAGTTTTGTATTTTAGTAGAGATGATGTTTCTCCGTGTTGGTCAGGGTGGTCTCAAACTCCCCACCTCAGGTGATCCGCCCACCTCAGCCTCCCAAAGTGCTGGGATTACAGGCATGAGCCACTGCGCCCGGCCCAAGAATTGACATCTATATTGAGTCTTCCAATCCATGAACAAGTTACATTTCTCCACTTACTAGATCTTTGTTTCATCAGGGTTGTGCCGTTTTCAGCATACAGGTCCCATACATGTGTTGTTAGATTTGAAACTAAGCATTCTAGTTTAAAAAGCCCAGAATCTCACCTGAATCCACTGCCTTGTGGAGGAGGCTCCTGACAGCTCCTGTGTTGAGCCTCTCTCCATGTAAAGACTGTCCCCAGCCCCCACCACACACATGCACACACACACACACACACACCCCCACCGCAATGAACAGCGGGGACAGACCTAGGACACCTGCTGCAAATGCTCCCAGGAGTCCCTGGCCCACAGCAAGTCTGAAATCCAGCTGGGCACACATCACCTGGCAGTCCCCTAAGCCAGCCTCAGTCCTCCAGGCTCCTGGCTCCATCTCTGAATTATCCTTCTTTTTCACAAAAGGCAGCCTGTGTTTGCAGCTGGAGAGTTTTATCTTCCTACTTCCCGCTGGTAGGAACCTGAGGGTTCAAGGCCTCTTGTATTGCCTGGCCCTTTCAGTCCAGCCTGGCAGCAGCTTCCGCCCATGTTAATTCTGTGACTCTTAATAGGGTTCAGTTCATTAGAAGCCACACCTGTGGGGCTTTTCAGACTAGCACCATCTTGGGCTCCTGCAGAGGAGCAAGAAGTCTTATTGAGGGAAAGAAAGGTTCTAACAGCTGGGCGCGGTGGCTTACACCTGTAATCCTAGCACCTTGGGAGGCCGAGGAGGGCAGATCGCCTGAGGTCAAGACCAGCGTGGCCAACATGGCGAAACCCCAACTCTACTAAAACTACAACAATTGGCCAGGTGTGGTGGTTCACGCCTGTAATCCCAGCTACTCAGGAGACAGGCAGGAGAATTGCTTGAGCCAAAGGAGGTGGAGGTTGCAGTGAGCTGAAGGCACACCACTGCACTCCAGTGAAAAGAGAGAGAAAGGTTCAACTTTCTATGGTTAACAGAGGATTTCATGCCACACCCTCAGCTTTAGCTTAGATCACCTTTCCAGCTGTCTTCTGGATGTCATTTTTGCTTGGAAGCCACTGAATTTTAGCCTAAGAGCACTGAGTGCTGCTCATCGCTAAGGACCTGCTCACAGTTTAGGGGAAGTAGCTCCTTAGTGACAAACCCAGGAGAGCTGCTCTCCGTCAGTCATGATGGAGGCCACAGCACCACTGAACTGTCACCATCTAACAAGGACCTTCACCTCTGCCTTCTCAAGACTGAGGCTTGCAGTCAGGCCCCCAGAACTCCTCCCACATTTTAGGACTCTTGAAGTCAATGCTGAGTGCTCCCACTTCGTGGCCTCTGCTTGCTGCCCTCCCCAGATGTCACCTTTTATCAGGCACCTCCTACCACCCTGAAAGAGCTGGGTCTCCTCACCAGGGCATGTGCTACAACCCCAGTGTCTACCACCCTCCACCTGACACTGCTTGAGGTCTCCATAAACAAGCTAAGTAAACAAGAGCTTCTGCCCTCTTCAAGCTCCTAGAACAAAGTTACCTGAGCCCATCCCTGGCTTAAGACCAGCCCAGCATCACTTGGAGGGATCTCCGGGACAGGTCGCTGTGGCGTGGACTAGTGGTCACGTCTGCAGGCAGCAACCACGGTCCAAGGGTGAAGGCAGTGGGAGCAGGGCACCCTCAGACTGATGATTATCCTGCTGCAGGGTCTCTCCCAAGAGACAGGGAAGGCTGTCATGCCAGTGCTGATGAATAAGCATCAGACCAAATGTGACATGTGACACCTATTAAAGAAGGCCCCCGGCCACACGCAGTGGCTCAAACCTGTAATCCCAGCACGTTGGGAGGCCGAGGCAGGCAGATCACTTGAGGTCGGGAGATCGAGACCAGCCTGACCAGCATGGAGAAATCCTGTCTCTACTAAAAATACAAAATTAGCTGCGTGTGGTGGCACATACCTGTAATTTCAGCTACTTGGGAGGCTGAGGCAGAAGAATCGCTTGAACCCGGGAGACAGAGGTTGTAGTGGGCCATGATTGCACCATTGCACTCCAGCCTGGGCAACAAGAGCGAAACTCTCAAAAAATAAAATTAAAAAAATAAAGAAGGCCCTTTACCCAGCGCCACTCACTGAGTGCCACTTGCTTCAGACACAAGAAAGGCAGACACAATTCTGACCCTCCAAACATGTCAGCTCTCACGGCAGCTGGCCCACCTGGCAACAGCCCCAGTCAGTGAAAGAGGGTTCTTTCCTTTTTATTTTTGCAATATCCCATACAAAAGCAATAGAAACGTAACAGTCTTAACAAGAAGTTTACAATTGAATATTTGAACAGAAAATCTGTACACATTATCATTTACAGCAATTTTACATGGTAAATTAACTGATTGTTTTAAAATGTTCTTTCTAAATCGCTCCACTCTGCTGCCCTAACTCTTGGAGTATTCTAAAGAGTCTAACTAGTGCTATTTACAAGTACCAAATTAAGACCATATAACTTACATAAAACTCATTAGTTTAATAGCTCAATTTAACAATGTCTGACTTCAGAATGCTGTTATGACATATTGATAAAAGGCCAAAAATTAAGTTTCCATAAAGATATTAAAGGTGTCTGAGAATACTTTGATGCCTATAAAAGTAGCTGACTCTCAATTGGTCCCATGGATTACATGGTTAAATCCAAAACAGTCCACCTGACAAGCAATAACTGAAGATGCCTGTGGAAAACCAGTTATGTAGACGTGTCAGCTTACCCTGGAGGACAACAGGGATTACGCAATTAAGCTCGCTGGAAGAGAGCTTCAAGTACTTTCTTGGACTTAGCTCCATTTACAATTTAAAACATGCAAAATATACTCACTATACATAAAATTAATGTTTCTTAAGAAAGTAAGGCAAAAATAATTCAGCATGAGCTAATGGACTGCTAACAGAGAAACCACCAGGTACAAGTGCACACACATGCTTGGTGCCTGGCCAGCCTTCCACCTAGTCGGGGAGGAGCTGTTTCTCTTCCTGGCCGCCAGGGGGCAGTTAGCTCATGGCTGAGAAGTCTCTCAAGGGTTCAGTTAAACAAGCTTCCAAATCAAACTCATCCTCCACTTGACTGTCCATGTGTCTCACCTTGGTGGGTGTGCCAGAGTACACATCCTGGAAAACAGAAGCATGGCTCGGTTGACATTCATCTCACCCTGAAAACAGGGGCCCCTTCCTACACCCCACTCCTTATGTGGTAAATCATGTGATGTAATGCACAGCAAGGTGTACACTTCACGTGCAACTGAGACAGATTTTAATAATAACACTGCAAAGAGAAACCACATGTACCATTTACAAGACACTGACGTTTAGATGTGCACACATCCCATTGTGCTGGGATTACAGGAAGGAGTCACTAGTCACTGTGCCTGGCCATGTACATAGTTTATAAGCACAGAAAGAATTGTAAAAGCCTAGACAAAACCACAAATAGTGGCTGTCTCAGGACAGGAGACAGTATTTAAACTGATACATTTAAAAACGGTTTTCTTTTCTCTTGAGACAGAGTCTCACTCTGTCACACAGGGTGGAGGGCAGTGGTACAATTTCGGCTCATTGCCACCTCTGCCTCCCGGGTTCAAGTGATTCTCCTGCCTCAGCCTCCTGAGTAGCTGGGATTACATGCCTGCATGACCACACCCAGCTAGTTTTTGTATTTTTAGTAGAGACTGGGTTTCACTATGTTGGGCAGGCTGGTCTTGAACTCCTGACTTCAGGTGATCTGCCTGCCTCAGCCTCCCAAAGTGCTGGGATCACAGGCGTGAGCCACCACGCGCAGCACATGGTTTTCTTTCTTTTTTTTTTTTTGAGACAGAGTCTTGCTCTGTTGCCCAGGCTGGAGTGCAATGGCGCCATCTCAGCTCACTGCAACCTCCACCTCCTGGGTTCAAGCTATTCTCCCACCTCAGCCTCCTGAGTAGCACGGACTACAGGCACCCACCATCATACCTGGCTATTATTTGTATTTTTGTAGAAACAGGGTTTCACCATGTTGGCCAGGCTAGTCTTGAATTCCTGACTTCAGGTGATCCGCCTGCCTTGGCCTCCCAAGGTGCTGGGATTACAGGCGTGAGCCACCGTGCCCAGTCCAAACTTCAGTTTATAAGGCAGCATGTGTTATTAACAATTCACCTGCAACCCCCAAGCTGAAAGACTTATCCAAAGTACTTACAAAGTCATCCTGAGAGCTGGTCTGGGGCTCGGAGCTGCTTTCTGCAGATTCAAGGTCTACAGGGTGTCTGTTAAACAAGATCCAACATGTGCGTCAGGCACTAACTTAACAAAGCCAGGAGACGGGGCGCTACAGACAAACCCCATCCATATGGTACAGCCACAACACTGACAGTGTGCCCGAGGCTCCCTGAGGGGTCAGCTTTCAGTGACTATTTGACAGACTTAATCCCAGCCCAATCAATCCAGCAAAGAGAAAGCGGATGGCAATGAGAAGCAACAAAAAGATCTGCTGGGCTCACCACACAAGCATCCTTGGAAACAGAAACACTCATAAGCCCAATTTTTGAGGGGGAGAAATGAGCACTGTGATGAACATACTATGCATTATCACTAATTTTTCCAAGTTTCTACTCAGAGAATGGGACAATGGTGTCACACTGGGGGAAAAAACCCAAATGACATCTGTCAGGACAAACTGGTAAAGCCACTTACAATCGTTTCAAACATGCCAGTCTCTAAAAAATTTCCCAGCACAGAGGAGAAACTCTAATTGTTTGTTTAAAGAATGTGTCTGAGGAAGCGAGAGGCTCAGGACCAGAGGGGAGCTGAGAAGAAACCCCACATAGAGGGAGGGAGGTACACGATCATTCTCTCTACCTTCCTGGTCAGCAGGTATTGCCATGATGCAGCAAAAGTTCAGGCCTGAGACATTTCAACTAGGCACAAGTTTAAAGGCCAACGGGGCTGGGAGCAGTGGCTCACCCCTGTAATCCCAGCACTTTGGGAGGCTGAGGCGGGTAGATCACAAGGTCAGGAATTACATGGTGAAACCCCGTCTCCACTAAAAATACAAAAAATAGCTGGGCGTGGTGGCGCGTGCCTGTAATCCCAGCTACTCAGGAGGCTGAGGCAGGAGAACCACCTGAACCCAGAAGGTGAAGGTTGCAGTGAGCCGGGATCACGCCACTGCACTCCAGCCTCGGTGACAGAGCATCTCCCAAAAAAAAAAAGCCAACAGAGAAAGAAAGCCTTCCTTCCTTAATTAAGAACTTTTATTTTCATGGTTGAGCCGAAATGACTCAAATACTTTTTAGGATATTTATATTTAAAAAACAAATTCCAGAGATTATTGTAATTTTTAGGGGAAAAACAACTACAACAACAAAAACAGCAAAACAACAAACAAAAACTGTATTCCCAGATTGACTTTGCTTGAAAAAATAAATTCAATCCAGGAAGCAAACTCTTCCTTCCAGCTGCCTCCCTCCCAGTACAGAAGAACTCAGCACCGAGCTGCAGCAGCTGCTCTGCTCCCCAACAGCTGCTGGGGGACTTGGCACCAGACCTCCTGTCCCAGTGGTGCGCAGCTGCTCCAGTCACTGGACCAATCAGAGAATCACAGGACAAGAATGCAATAAAGACATACATTTCTTGCAAATCACATCCTTCTTCCGCTGGAGGATCCCAAAAATGCAGAGCCACCTTCCAGAGTTTGATTTGCTGGTCCCATGAACGTCGACTATACTTCTTAAATTTATTAGGGGTCTTGGGATGAATGCCAGGTTGTCGAAGGTGTCTACAGGAGAAAGATTATTCTAGCACATGCCCACATGCCACTCACATTTCCACATTAGCCTGAAGATTAACCAAACTATGAGATTAGTATTATTTTAAATATTACAGATCACCAGGCATGGTGGCTCATGCCTGTAATCCTAGCATTTTGGGAGGTCATGCCAAGATCACTTAAGCTCAGGAATTTAAAAATGGCCTGGGCAACACAGTGAGACCTCGTCTCTATTTAAAAAAAACAACAAAACAGAACAAAAAAACAGCTAGGGGCTGGGAGCGGTGGCTCACACCTATAATCCTAGCATTTTGGGAGGCCAAGGTGGGTGGATCACCTGAGGTCAGCAGTTCGAGACCAGCTTGGCCAACATGGTGAAACCCCGTCTCTACTAAAAATGCAAAAATTAGCCGGGCGTGGTGGCCTGTGCCTGTAATCCTAGCTATTAGGGGGCTGAGGGAGGAGGATCGCCTGAACCCGGGAGGCAGAGCTTGCAGTGAGCCGAGATCGTGCCACTGCACTCCAGCATGGGCAACACAGCGAGACTTCACCTCCAAAAAAAAAAAAAACAAACGCTGCTGGGTGTGGCAAATCACTTGAACTCAAGAGCCTGAGATCAGGCTGGCCAACATGATGAAACCTCATCTCTACTAAAAATACCAAAAATTAGCCAGTCATGGTGGCTTATGCCTTGAGTCCCAGCTACTCCAGCGGCTGAGGCAGAAGAATTGCTTGAACCTGGGAGGCGATGGTTGCAATGAGCCTAGATCATGCCACTGCAACTCCAGTCTGGTCAACAGAGCAAGACTCCACCTTAAAAAAAAAAAAAAAAAAAAAAAAAAAAAGCCGGGCACAGTGGTTCACGCTGTAATCCCAGCACTTTGGGAGGCTGAGGCAGGCAGATCACCTGAGATCAGAAGTTCAAGACCAGCCTGGCCAACAGGGTGAAACCCTGTCTCCACTAAAAATACAAAAAACTAGCCAGGCGTGGTGGTAGACACCTGTAATCCCAGCTACTCGGGAGGCTGAGGCAGGAGAATCACTTGAACCCATGAGGCGGAGGTTGCAGTGAGCCAAAATCGTGCCACTGCACTCCAGCCTGGTGACAGAGGGAGACTCCGTCTCAAAAATAAATAAATAAATAAAAAATCAACTGAGATCCTACAAAATGAACAAATATGTTTAAAAAAATTAAAAAATTAAAAAGCACTATCCGGGCCGGGTGCGGTGGCTCACACCTGTAATCCCAGCACTTTGGGAGGCCGAGGCAGGCAGATCACCCAAAGTCAGGAGTTCGAGACCAGCCTGACCAACATGGAGAAACACCATCTGTACTAAAAATACAAAAAAATTAGCCCAGGCATGGTGGCGCATGCCTGTAATTCCAGCTACTTGGGAGGCTGAGGCAGGAGAATCGCTTGAACCTGGGAGGCGGAGGTTGCGGTGAGCCAAGATTGCACCATTGTACTCCAGCCTGGACTAGAGTGAAACTCGGTCTCAAAAAAATCACTATCCGCTGGGCACAGTGGCTCACGCTTGTAATCACAGTACTTTGGGAGGACTACTTGAGGCCAGGAGTTCAAGACCAGCCTGGGCGACATAGGGAGACTCCCATCTCTATAAAAATTTAAAAGTTTAGCCAGGTGTGGCGGCATGCACCGCTGGTCCCAGCTACTCAGGAGGTTGAGGTAGGAGGATTGCTTGAGGCCAGGAGTTAAGACTACAGTGAGCCATGATGGTTGGGCGTGGTGGCTCACCCCTGTAATCCCAGCACTGTGGGAGGCAGAGACAGACGGATCACGAGATCAGCAGTGCGAGACCAGCCTGGCCAATATGGTAAAACCCCATCTCTACTGAAAATACGAAAATTAACCAAGTGTGGTGGCAGGCGCCTGTGGAGGCTGAGGCAGGAGAATCGCTTGAACCCGAGAGGTGGAGTTGAAATTGCGCCACTGCACTCCAGCCTGGGCAACAGAGCAAGATTCCGTCTCAAAAAAATGAATACACAGTGAGACATGATATAACACTGCACTTCAGCCTAGGTAACAGCAAGACTCGGTCAGGAGGGAAAAAAAAAAGCACCATCACATTGAATCTTACTATTCCTTTGCCAGCTATGTTCCAAAAAAGTAAAAAAAAAAAAAAAAAATTGTTTTTTTTGAGATGGAGTCTTGCTCTGTGACCCAGGCTGGAGTGCAGTGGTGCAATCTCGGCTCACTGCAACCTCCTCCTCCCAGGTTCAAGTGATTCTCCTGCCTCAGCCTCCCGAGTAGCTGGGACTACAAATGTGTGCCACCACGCCCAGCAAATTTCTTGTATTTTTAGTAGAGACGGGGTTCCACCGTGTTAGCCAGGGTGGTCTCGATCTCCTGACCTCATGATCCGCACTCCTCGGCCTCCCAAAGTGCTGGGATTACAGGCATGAGCCACTGCACTCAGCCAAAAGTAAAATTTTTTTTTTTAAGAGACAAAGTCTCATACTCTGCAGCCCAGGCTGGAGTGCAGTGGTGTGATTAATGGTTCACTGTAACGTTGAATTCCTGGGCTGAAGCAGTTCTCCCACCTGTCTCCCAAGTAGCTGGGACTACAGGTGCAAACCACCACACCTGGCTAATTTTTAAATTTTTTGTAGAGATGAGGTCTCCTTATATTGCCCAGGCTAGTCTCCTGGCCTCAAGCAGTCCTCTCGGCCTCCCAAAGTGCTGGAATTACAAGCATGAGCCATTGCACCTGGCCCAGAAATGTAAATTTCAACCCCAATCCTGCCAAAAAGTTCAGGAAAACACTAAAGCTTTCTTTATATCCTTCTGTGTCTGTGTGTTTGAGGGACCAGGATAGGCAAGAACATGCTGCTTAAAGACAATAGGGCAATGCCAATTTTTTTTTCTCCAATTAGAATTTTACAATATTTAACTTGAACTTCATTTTTCCCCATCATGTATTTTAATAAGCTTACATCTATGATTGCTGACTCCTAAGAAATAAAATGTTATCTAACATTCAAAATTATATGAAAATGATTTTTAAAATCTTCATGTCTTTAGTTTTCCAGTTGCCAATCCATTCTTTATTTACGTCATAAGCCCCAGTAAGTCCCTATTAAATAGCTCTTAGCAGGTGTGAACTATCCCCAGCATCATTTGTACTACCCAATCTAAGCAACTCTTTAGAAACGCAATGCCACACAGCTTGTTCAAGACATGCCACTGAAACAAGACTACCTTGGGACTTCTTTAATATAACGATCGTAGGCAATTGTGTTCTTCCCATAGTTGATCTGCTTCTGTCTCCTCATTAGGACACTTTCATCTGTCTCAAAGTCAGCCGGCACAGTAGACATAGACTCCTTTGAATCAGAACTGAAAAAACAACAGATTAACAGAATAAGCCCTGCAATTAAGATCACCATGTATGTAAGGTAAGCCAAGAAAATGTCAAAACACAATAATGGAAGATTCACTCCAGATTCCCAACCATATGAATCCTAAATAGTCCGGAGACTGCATGTATGGGAATTTAGTACACAACAGATACAGTATTTCAAATTAGTGAAAAAGGTATTAATAAATGCTACTGCGACAGTCAGCATTTCTGACAGTCACAATTTTTTTTTTTTAACAAATTACAGGTCTATCAAATTAGAAAAGAAACATTTACACAGCCTTTACCTTCCTGATGATGATTTTCTCTCTCTTCCAAAGTCATTGATGAGGAGTTTCCTTTTATATCTGAGGGCAAAATAAATATTGCTGTTTTTAAAAAAGATATAAAAATAAAGCAGCCAGGTCTGAGGAAGCTCCACCCTGATGCCCGCAGGCACACCATCCTATGCAATCCAGAAGCTCCGTGGGCCAAAAGAAATCTTTGTCAGGTTCAGTTTAAGTAGTGAGATCCACACAACAAAAATTTACATTCCCTAAAACTTGGCAGCCTTAAAAAAAGAAAAACAAAACATAAATTGAAATAAATTATTTTAAAAACACCAAACTTACTAATGGGACTCATATGCCTACTGGGCACTGCATACCTTCTCCAATCCTGGAGACCAAACGTGCCCCCTTTTCTCTTGTTCCTCATGAACTTCCTGAGGCATCTGCTTTCTATTGCAGTCATTACCAGAACGCAGTTTTGCAAAAAAAAAAGTATGACATCTCCAAAAGGAGTCTAGCGCAATCTGACGTTGAAACCACGAGCTACCTTGAGCTCCAAGTTCATGTGAGTATCTTTTTTTTTTTGAGATGGGGTCTCACTCTGTCACCCAGGCTAGAGTACAGTAGCACGATCATGGCTTACCACAGCCTCATATTCCTGGGCTGAAGCAATCATCTCACCTCAGCCTCCCAAGCAGCTAGGACTCCAGGCAAGTGCCGCCACAACCATCTCCAAAAAAATTTTTTTCTTTTTTTGGAGACATGGAGGTCTGTGTTGCCCAGGCTGCTCTTGAACTCCTGAGCTCAAGCAATCCTCCCGCCTCAGCCTCTCAAAAGTACTGAGATCAGGAGTGAGCCACCACCCCTGGCCTGTCATGCAGGTATCTAAATTATGTCATGTATTACTGTGCCTCCTCTCAAAATCTAAAATCCACCCAAGTTTGCTGAGGTGTTCAGTGCAGTTTGGACGCCAGAAGGTAATGAAGTAATTTATCTCCCGTGCATCTAGAGTAGCACTGGCTATATAACACCATCTTTGTACGATTCAGAGATTAGTCCTGCAAATCATTTGCTGCAGGGCCTCATTCTCTCCAGTACCACAGATGAGAAAGACTGGTTTTCAGGTATGATGAAAATCCATTTTCTTTTTTTTCTTTTTTTTTTTTTTTTTGAGACGGAGTTCCCTCTTGTTGCCCAGACTGGAGTGCAATGGCGAGATCTCGGCTCAGTGCAACCTCCGCCTCCCGGGTCCAAGCGATTCTCCTGCCTCAGCCTCCTGAGTAGCTGAGATTACAGGTTGCTGCCACCACGCCTGGCTAATTTTTAGTATTTTTAGTAGAGACGGGGTTTCTCCATGTTCGTCAGGCTGGTCTCGAACTCCTGATCTCAGGTGATCCGCCCGCCTTGGCCTCCCAAAGTACTGCGATTACAGGTGTGAGCCACCATGCCATGCAGAAAATCCATTTTCATACTCTTATATTGCTAGTTTGTAGTCTGTTAGTCTCCTTAAAGCATAGTAAGCTGACATTTCATACCGCTCTTACTGTCAGGAAGTAAGCCGGCCTGTCAGTAATGGCTCACTAAAGGGCCAGCAGTTTAAATTACACAGGTTGCACTAAAAGCTGCAGCTTTGGCCAGGCAAGGTGGATCACGCCTATAATCCCAACACTTTGGGAGGCCGAGGCGGGCAAATCACCTGAGGTCAGGAGTTCAAGACCAGCCTGGCCAATATGGTGAAACCTAGCCTCTACTAAAAATACAAAAATTAGCCGGACGTGGTGGCACACAGCTATAATCCCAGCTACTCGAGAGGCTGAGGCAGGAGAATCGCTTGAACCTAGGAAGCGGAAGTTGCAGTGAGCTGAGATTGCATCATTACACTCCAGCCTGGGAAACAGAGCAAGACTCCATCTCAAAAAAATAAGTAAGTAAATAAAAGCCGTAGCTTTCCATCACAAAGGGTATAATCAACAGAGCAGCCCAAACAGTGCTGTTTTCCAAAACAGGACAATTTTCAGGCACAGACCCATGAGATATCTGAAGAACAAATAGGGTCCACTCACAGGACAATCTGGACAGGTGGAATACGCATGAATAAGAGCTGCAGATAACCCCTGGCAAGGGGTGACTTGAGGGAGCAACTAGGCTATCGGTATGCAAGAACTGTTCTAAGACTTGTGCATGCAACACAAACTATACAAGTCAAGTCAAACATTCTAATTTTATAATTGAGGAAGTCAAGACCTATATAAATGCAATAATTCACTAAAAACACTGGTACTCTCATCTGTGAACTCCTAGTTCATTTCTTCTACCAAGGCATACATCCACCCACACATTTTGATACCAGAAGAAATGACAAATAACTCCCCCAAATGTTCAATAACCAATTCCCACATATTCCCGTCCCTTTTCAAAGGAGGCTGATATAAATACCATCACTGGCTGCCAAAATGAAAACAGGTAGTCTAGGTATCGTTCCGCGGCTGACACGCAAGACACATTTTTCTTGAGACCCTGTTTATCAGCCACTTGTTGGCTAAAATTATCTTGTAAAATACTTCAACCAATTATGAGCCACATTTTAACTGGGTTTGAATAAACCCAGTCCTTGCAACTGGGTTTGAGTTAGACAACTCATCAAAAGAGAAAGGATCAACACACTGATAATCAAGGGAGATTAAACATGGTTAAGGATGCATTAGGTAATGAGTCAACGAAGACGAAGTAGCTTAGTTTGCAAGAACTTGGATACACACAACAATCTTGTGTGCAACTGCAAGAGGTTCACAGAATCCAAGTTTGAGACCTTTCCTTGTATGTTGGCATTTCTGAGCTGTTTGTTGCCTAAGCCAAGTGTCAATGTATTCCTTCATCTGGAGAGAGCACTCCATCTACTGTGCTGGGTTGTGTGAGCACCGCACACAGAAGGTCGGTGGTAACAAATGACTATAGTAAGTTCCTGATAGTTAGGCCGGGCACAGTGACTCATGCCTGTAATCCCAGCACTTTGGGAGGCCGAGGTGGGCGGATCAGGAGTTCAAGACCAGCCTGACAAACATAGTGAAACCCCATCTCTACAAAAAATACAAAAATTAGCCAGGCGTGGTGGCCTGTGCCTGTAATCTCAGCTACTCAGGAGGCTGAGGCAAGAGAATCGCTTGAACCCGGGAGGCAGAGGTTGCAGTGAGCCGAGATCTTGTCACTGTACTCCAGCCCGGGCAACAGAGCGAGACTGTCTCAAAAAAAAAAAAAAAAAAAGAAAGTTAGTTCTGATAGTCCTCCAGCCTGCAATCCAGCAGTAACACCATTGTGCACCTACTTCCACTCTTGGAAGGATTACCACCAAGAGGACAGTGGTCTTCAAGCTTGAAAGAGTGGACCCGCCTGGAGGGCTTTTCACAGGATGGCCAGGCCCCACCCCATTCGCAGGCCCAGGGAAGGGTCTGAGAATCTGTATTTCTAACAAGTTCCCAGGAAATGTTGATGCCTTTGGTCTGGAGCCCAGACCTTTGAAAACCACTGTTCTAAGACAAATATCAAATTTAATGTGTTACTGAAAACGCCACAGATTAACACTTCAAGGTGGTCCAAAATGTGTACCTTGCCATTTCTTTGTTAACTCTGGTCCTCATTTCATCTTCTTCAACTGCACTTGCCCAGTCAGAGCATCTGGAACGGGGTTTAGGGCCTTCAGGAGTGGTAAAGCTGCAATAAAAGGAAAATGCTACTGAACCATGACACATACTTTGTTTTCTTTCAAACTGTATGTCAAGAAATATTCAAAGGCTGGTGGGACACAGTGGCTTGTGCCTGTAATACCAGCACTTTGGAAACTGAGGTAGGAGGATCACTTGAACCCAGGAGTTCAAGACCAGCATGGGCAAGATAGTGAGACCTCATCTCTGTCCCCCACCCAAAAAAATAAAAGCATTATATCAGTGAACTATGTGTATCAAACCATACTAAACTGGAGTTTAGCAGGACAAAAGCAAACTAGATGTAGAACATAACCTATCAGCTGCATCTGTCTATCCAGGGCTGTCTTACTAGAGCAGAAGTCATGGAGCTCCTTGGCAGTGTGCCCACTGTGTTTGGGGGTCTAATAAAACCAACTAGATTTTAGACTTCAAACTAAATTATGATTCCTTTTGGGTGTCCACACTTCAGTAGTCCAGGGCTATCATATGGCTGAAATCAACTTATTTCGTTCATCTCTGGTATGTGTTTATAAAGTCATTAAGATGGGAGATTTGCTTCAAATTTTTGCAGTGTGTGTGGCAGTCAGAAAAACCCATATCTAGTTTTCAGCTTCAGTTCTGGCATTTCTATGGGTTAACCTTATCTCATTGATCCAACATCCGGCCTGATGCTGGAGCTTATGAAGTTGACTCTAAGAAGTTCAGAGAGTGTAGAGTTTCCCATCTTGTATTTAATTTGTCTCTATGCCATTAGTCCCAGCTTGAAGTCATTACCAATGTCAATGTTGACAGGATTGTGACAATATTGCCTTTCATAAAACCGACCACCAAAGAATTCCATTATTCTAACAAAGCCCGAGTTTCACAGATCGCGGGCACATCTAGACAGATGTGTGCATGCTTGACGGTGCAGAGCAACTACTCACTTCCAGCAACCTCGTGCTTCCCCTGGCTGGCCATACAGAGGGATTCGCTGTCATACTGAGAAGGCTCTGCAAGGTAAGTCTCTAATTGAGGCTATCTCAGGTGGGTGTTTCCGCTGTGTAGTCCCAAGCCTGTATCCATATAATAAAAGTGCAGGTCTGGCATTCCTCCAGGTTATCTGGCCAGTGTAGACTCCTCCATCTGAATATGAACCTCCAGGGTAAGAATTTTCCAGACATGTCTATACTAAACAGTATGATCCTGTACTTGCCAAATGTCTGCCTCCTCCTGTTCTGCACTGACCCATTCTTTTTTTTTTTTCTTTTTGAGACGGAGTCTCACTCTTGTTGCCAAGACTGCAGTGCAATGGCATGATCTCAGCTCACTGCAACCTCTGCCTCCCAGGTTCAAGCGATTCTCCTGCCTCAGCCTCCCGAGTAGCTGAAATTACAGGCATGAGCCACCACGTCCAGCTAATTTTGTATTTTTAATACAGGCTGAGTTTCTCCATGTTGGCCAGGCTGGTCTCGAACTCCTGACCTCAGGTGATCCACCTGCCTCGGCCTCCCAAAGTACTGGGATTATAGCTGTGAGCCACCGTACCCAGACTGCACTGACCCATCCTAATTCCTGTTAAGTGTGAGAAGAATTGTCTTCTGTTCTCTCTCCATTCTCATTCATGATGAGATTACTGATCCATTAACCAGTTGAGAAATGACTGATGCTGAAGAAATGGTATTCTATTGGCAAGGCTTATTAACAAACTTCTGATAATGAAGCAGGCTACCAAAAACTTATCCAGCCCACCCCAGGAGTGTTTGGATTTGATCATGGATGTAGCACACACCAAAATCACTAAGACTTTAGACTACTTGTTTTATTTTGTCAGATTATCATGGGACTGTCTTTAGTTCTGAATTATCTGTAAGTCTGAGTACTTCATAGAATTATAAAGCAGGTACAGCTGACACCTTCTCACCATGTTGTAAATATTTACTGAGACTGGGTACAGTACTGAGGGATGATAATCTTCTGATTTATCCAATGCTGACTGTCTACAGCAAATTGTCCACTCTGCAAATGGTCCTGTAACGTGTATGAATGTATTTCTGGGTGCCTTAGAAGTTGTCTTTTTCATGTGTGCTAATATGCAGTATTTATACATTGTGAGAAGTTGATTTTAATAAAAAGGTTGGAACGTCATCTCCAAAATAAATAAATACCCAAGCATGGTGGGGCGTGCCTGTAGTCCCAGCTACACAGGAGGCCCAGGCAGGAGGATCACTCTAGCCCAGGAGGTCAAGGCTGTGTGAGCCATGATCCTGGCACTGCACTCCAGTCTGGGCAACAGGGCAAGACCATATCTCAAAAAAATATATATGGTGGCAGAGGACAGTGGCTCATACTTGTAATCCCAGCACTTTGGGGACGCCGAGGCGGGTGGATGACCCAAGGTAAGGAGTTTGAGACCAGCCTGGCTAACATGGCGAAACCCCATCTCTAATAAAAATACAAAAATTAGCCAGGTGCAGTGGTGCGCACCAGTAGGCCCCAGCTACTAGGGAGGCTGAGGCAGGAGAACTGCTTGAACCCCAGAGACGGAGGTTGCAGTGAGCCGAAATTGCACCACTGCTCCTCCAGCCTCAGCAAGAGACTCCGTCTCAGAAAATAAATAAAATACAGAATAGCTAGCATATCCATTTACCTTTCGGGCGCATGTAATTAATAATTCAGAATGTTATGTACACTATGATTACAATGTGTATGGAGGAGTATATGTCAGAGTCCTTGCTGTGTCAGGACTCCGTCTACTGGCAAAGTACCCCCTGTGCTTGAGTTAAACCACATCCAGGAGCTCAGTTCCATCTCAAGTTCAAGATAGTCTTCAGTCAATATTGGGAAATTTATGGCCAGGCAGTGGCTCACTCCTGTAATCCTAGCACCTCGGGAGGCTGAGGCTGGCAGACTGCCTGGGCTCAGGAGTTCCAGACCAGCCAGGGCAACATGGTGAAACCCAGCGTCTACCAAAATACAAAAACTTGGCTAGGCGTGGCAGCGCGTGTCTGTAATCCCAGCTACTAGGGAGGCTGAGGCAGGAGAATCCCTTGGACCCAGGAGGTGGAAGTTGCAGTGATCCACCAGGCGGAGTTGCAGTGAGCCGAGATCGTGCACTGCACTCCAGCCTGGGGGAGAGAGACCCCGTCTCAAAAAATAAATGAATAAATAAATAATAGTCCGGGCGTGGTGGCTCACACCTGTAATCCCAGCACTTTGGGAGGCCGAGGTAGGTAGATCACCTGAGGTCAAGAGTTCAAGACCAGGCCGGGCGCAGTGGCTCACGCCTGTAATCCCAGCACTTTGGGAGGCCGAGGCGGGTGGATCATGAGGTCAGGAGATCGAGACCATCCTGGCTAACAAGGTGAAACCCCGTCTCTACTAAAAATACAAAAAATTAGCCGGGCGCGGTGGCGGGCGCCTGTAGTCCCAGCTACTGGGGAGGCTGAGGCAGGAGAATGGCGTGAACCCGGGAAGCGGAGCTTGCAGTGAGCCGAGATTGCGCCACTGCAGTCCGCAGTCCGGCCTGGGCGACAGAGCGAGACTCCGTCTCAAAAAAAAAAAAAAAAAAAAAAAAAAAAAAAAAAAAAAAAAAAAAAAAAAAAAAAAAAAAAAAAAAAAAAAAGAGTTCAAGACCAGCCTGGCTAACATGGTGAAACGCTGTCTCTACTAAAAATACAAAAATCAGCTGGGTGTGGTGGTGGGTGCCTATAATCCCAGCTACTCGGGAGGCTAAGGCAGGAGAATCACTTGAACCTGGGAGGTGGAGGTTGCACTCCAGCCTGGGCAACAGAACGAGATTCCATCTAAAAAAAATAATAATTAAAATTTAAAAAATAATAATCAGGAAATCCAAAAGCTTAAGGCTTCGAGCCCCAAATTCTGGCAGTTCAAATTGATGTATCTTATTTATACATCAGACATAAACTCACATTTTTATTTTTCTACCCCATTTTTCTGTTGATCACTACTGACATTAAAACTAGATACTGGGCCGGGTGCACAGGCTCATGCCTGTGACCCCAGCACTTTAGAAGGCTGAGGCGGGCGGATCACAAGATCGGGAGTTTGAGACCAGCCTGGCCAACATGATGAAACCCTGCCTCTACTAAAAATACAAAAATTAGGATAGGCATAGTGGCTCACACCTGTAATCCCAGCACTTTGGGAGGCTAAAGCAGGCTGATCACTAAGTCAGGAGTTCGAGACTAGCCTGACAAACATGGTGAAATCTAGTCTCTACTAAAAATACAAAAATTAGCCAGGCGTGGTGGTGCGCACCTGTAATCTCAGCTACTCAGGAGGCTGAGGCAGGAGAATTGCTTGAACCCGGGAGGCAGAGGTTGCAGTGAGCTGAGATCGCGCCACTGCACTCCAGCCTGGGCGACAGAGCAAGACTCTATCTCAAAAACGAAAAAAAAAAAAAAAAAATCAGGCGGGCGTGGTGGCGCATGCCTGTAGTCCCAGCTACTTGGAGGCTGAAGCAGGAGAACTGCTTGAACTTGGAAGGCAGAGGTTACAGTGAGGTGAGATCACACCACTGAACTCCAGCCTGGTTGACAGTTATGCCCCGTCACAAAAAAATACACTAGATACTAACTTTAATTACAACAAATAAGCAACCTATTTTAGCTGTAAACCAAATGCTGTGCTTTGAAAATGCAATTGCAGTAACAAATGAATAATCCTCTTATGTAATTATCATTTCTTCCCTTACAGTCACACAACTCAGATAAACTTAAATTGGATTTCTAAAAGTAAATTTCCAGATTCTAAAAATGGTAGAAAGTTATGAAATCAAATTAGGTAATTAACTGAAAATTAAATTGACTCAATAGAGGTTTGTCCAGGATTGGATACAAGCATCCTCACTAGTGTATCAAGAGGTTCAAGTCTGGGTCTGCCAACATAACAAATTCCTGAACTACAAGAATAATTTAAAGCCTGTGTATGTGAATGACCATATACTACATGCCATATTTTGGTATCTTTAAGTCCATTTCTTAGATTAAGTAGGTTATATTCATAATCTACCCTATCTTGGGACAACAAAGCCTAATTTTACACACTAAGCTAACAACCTTCCAAAGAGTACTTCTAGATCTTATCCATCAACGAGCTGGCTCTATTTGTCAGGTGCCTCCAGGCATTATCCACAATGTGCAAATACCAAGTGCAAAGGCCCTAGGACAGAAGCATTCCTATAGTTTGAGGAATGAGGACACCAAAAACTTCCATAACTTCTAAAGCACTGTAAGGATTTAATATTTTTATCTTCAGCTAAATGAGACCACTGGAGAGTTCAGAGCTTGATCTCAATAAGGTTTGTTTACCTTCCCTTCATATCTGGACCTAGGGCCTCTTCTGTACCCACCCGTAGACCCAAGTCTTTTGTCTTTTTTTTTTTTTTGAGACAGTTTCACTCTTATTGCCCAGGCTGGAAGGCAATGGCGTGATCTCGGCTCACCGCAACCTCCACCTCCTGGGTTCAAGGGATTCTCCTGCCTCAACCTCCCGAGTAGCTGGGATTACAGGCATGCGCCACCATGCCCGACTAATTTTGTATTTTTAGTAGAGATGGGGTGTTGGGAAAAAGGCTTATCGAGTGCCTGTATAAGCTGGCCATAAAAATATGGCACAGTAAGTTGTGAAAAGCCACAAGAGGCCTCTGAGGAGGAAAGCCTCCTAATTGCCATCATGTTCCCATGCTCAGAGCGAGACCTGCTCTCTTATCTGTAAACAGTGTTCAAGAAGAAAGACATTCCTTTAAAGCACTGGAATGTGGACAGATTTGCAGGCTCCTAGTTAAGCCCGCTCCCACTAGCTACTCTCCAATAAGTTAGATATGCTGTTTGAGCACAAAGGAGATTCATTGAAACCGCTATAATTACGCCTATGACGCCTGCCTCCCTTTCACTGTTTCACCCTGAACATCTACTTCTTTTTTTTTTTTTTTTGAGACGGAGTCTCGCTCTATTGCCCCAGCTGGAGTGTAGTGGGGCGATCTCGGCTCATCGCAAGCTCCGCCTCCCGGGTTCACACCATTCTCCTGCCTCAGCCTCCTGAGTAGCTGGGACTACAGGCGCCCGCTACCACGCCCGGCTAATTTTTTGTATTTTTAGTAGAGACGGGTTTTCACCGTGTTAGCCAGGATGGTCTCCATCTCCTGACCTCGTGATCCACCCGCCTTTTGCCAAGGCGCTGGGATTACAGGCATGAGCCACCGCGCCCGGCCTACTTCTTAAAGTGATTGTACTCAATAAATAGTGTGGAGACCGCAACTCCGGGCCTTTTGCAGCCTCCATTTTCCAACTGGTCCCCTGGCTCCCACCTTTATGAGCTCTTAACCTGTCTCTTCTCATTCCGGGTAAGTGTCGAGGCTGGTCCCCAACAATGGGGTTTCTCCATGTTAGTCAGGCTGGTGTCGAACTCCTGACCTCAGGTGATGGGCCCGCCTTGGCCTCCCAAAGTGCTGGGATTACAGGCAGGAGCCACTGCGCCCAGCCCCCTAGACCCAAGTCTCTAAATATCATCTCTATGTCCTGGTAACTCACTGTGCCTGAAGATGCCTCCCATGTAGACTCCTACACTCCGTTACCTTTCTTGACATCTCCTTTGCTTCTCTAAGCAGCTTCTCAAGCCTCACAACTTCCCATGCCTAGCTGCTCCAGCCCATCTTCTCTATCTTAGCAAATGGCCCCAATCAACAGCGTTCAGACCTAAAGGCTTGAGTCATTCTTGATGCCTCTTTCCTGTGTAAACCAAAAAGTGTCTGAGACAGGTCTCAATTGCTTTAGGAATTTAGCTAATGTTAAGGACATACCTAGAAGAACACGAAATTACAGAAAGAGTCTGTGGTCTGTGCCTTTCTCCAGAGATGACTGTCAGGGCTTCAATATTTAAAAGAGAAAAGTAGGTTGAAGGAGAAAGATCTACATGTTCCAAGAGAAAAGGAGCAGGTAGGGGAATAGTCAATTATGTATTCCTAGTGTGCTCAGTAAGTCGCCACTTAAAGTGAACAGAGTTCACCCGTGGAGATATTTAATCTTGTATCTGTAGGTATCTGCTTAGAAAAAAAAAAAGAAACACAAAGGTGGCCGGGCGCGGTGGCTCACACCTGTAATCCCAGCACTTTGGGTGGCCAAGGTGGGTGGATCACTTGAGGTCAGGAGTTCGACACCAGTCTGGTCAACATGGTGAAACCCTGTCTCTACTACAAATACAAAAAGTTAGCCGGGCGCGGTGGCATGCGCCTGTAATCCTAGCTGCTGGGGAGGCTGAGGCAGGAGAATCACTTGAACCCGGGAGGGGGAGGCTGCAGTGAGCCAAGATCGCGTCACCGCACTCCAGCCTGTGAGACAGAGTGAGACCCTGTCTTTAAAAAAAAAAAAAAAAAAAAAAAAGTAACGCAAAGGTAGTTTCTTGCATGATTCCGCGCTCAGCATAATTTTTTCCTTTTGGCACAGTGAAGTTGGGTCCGATTTTTTTTTTTCCTTTCACGCCTCCCATCCCCAACCCATCAGCAAGTCTCACAGGTCCTGCCTTCAGAAGCCTATCCCGAACCACGCATTTCCCTCCACCTTCACTGCTCCATCTCGGCCAAGTCACCACGCCTTTCAGGGAACTCAGGAGCAACAAGCCCCCAGTGCGGGACGAGCCACCCCAAAGCCCCTCGAGAAGTTTTCTCTAACCACAGCCCCGAAAAGCCCCGCCACTACGACCACTGGCACCCCTGCTTATTTCCTCCAGACCCTCCTCGGCCGTCCCACCCCATCAAGCCCTCCTTTCGCTCGCATCTCCACCCTCCCTGCACACTGCCTAACCCAGAAAATGGCCAAGCAGGTAAGCCCTGTCAACTCACTTCTCCTCGGGACTCGGGTGTCCCTGACTTCCACGTGTTCACGAGAAGCTCGTCAGAGACCCTGACCTCTCCCGGGAGCACAACACAGACTCGAACTGGCTAACTCGGGCTGACGCCGGTTCAGCTGACTCCCATCCTGGCAAGAGGCTTCCGGAGTGTTCCAGCGCCTCCCAGGCCTGCTGCGGCCGCCCCAGTCCACGGGCCGCGCGGAGACCAAGATAAAAGGACGCAGGGTGCCGACCTGACCGATCCCGGCACCGCGAGAGCGCGACGAGGTCCCTGGAGCCCGCGGCCTCGTCAAGGGCCCCACCGCGCCCCGACCCCCGGGTCCCGCGCCCACCTCTCGGGTCTGCGCTCGGCGCCGCGGTGCTCTGCCTCCTCGGCGTCTTCGGGCCTCCAGCGCCTGCCGTCGGCTCTGCGCTTCCGTCCCAGGCTCCATCGCGCGGGGGACGGCGGGCTGCGGGGAGGGACGCGGTCGGCTGGGCACGGGAGGTTCGGGACCGCCTTACAACCTCCGCCCTCCCACACCCCGGCCCCGCACAACCCCCGCCCCACGGGGCACGCGCTCCCTCGCCCGCCGCGCAGCCCGGCCTCACCTGGCGTCACCGTCGCAGCGGCTCTGATGCCTCGGCGGGCTTCGCGGGCGGCAGGCCATGGCAGCACGGGCCGGGCGCGCAGCGCAGGGCCGAGGCTGAGGCGGCGGCGGCGCGGGCAGAGAGCGCAGAGTAGAGCAGGGCAGGGCCTGAGGCAGAAACCCGCGTCCCCGCGCCGGCGCTCACGAGCTCTGCGCGCCCCGCCCCCAACCGCCTTTATGTGGGCGCCGGGCCCCGCCCCTCGGCCTCCCGCGCGCGCCGGGTCGGGCGAGACCATCGGGCCACGCCGCAGGGGTCCACTCAGCTGTGCGCGCCTCGCGAGCCGACTGGGGCTAGGGCGAGGCCTCGGGACCGCGGGCAGCCGCGAAGCCCGACTGCCCGGCCCTCGGCTCGGGAGCCAGATGGACGCCGTGGGCTGAGGAGAGGCCTGAGGAAAAGGTTGCCCCCACCCGCGGGATTGAGGCGGCCGGGCCGCCGCGGGCCTCTGCGACGCTGATAGGTCGCGCCTTGGCGGGCGGGGGCAGCTTTGGCGGGAGATTCGGCCGCGCGCGACGCGGCGCAGGTCGTGGGGGAAGGGTAAGCGGCACGTTTCTCGGCCTGGGTCGTGGCGCATCTCCCATTGGTTCCGGCCTGGGTGGAGCGCGGCTCTGCTTGGTTCCTGCCCAGGTGGGGGCGTGTCTCCTCCCTGGCGGGAACCCGGAACCCGGAACCCGGAAGGCGCGGCCTGTGGCGGGTACTGACTGCTTCCCACGGTCCCGTGGCCGCTGCAGGCCCCGTACGCGCCGTCTATTGTTTTGAGCCGCTTAAAGTTTTGGAGTAACCTTTTAGGTCGCAACAGTTGACAACTACACTGAGTCTTTCCGGTCCCACTGCCCTGGCCGTTGACCGCACACCGGCCACCGACTGAGCCGCTAGTTTCGGTTGCCGCTGCCTCCCTGCCCGTCCATGACGTCCTCCACTGTGTCGCCGGTGCATGACGCTCCCACCCTCTGCCTGGAGTTGACTGGGTTTGTATCCTGAAGAATCCCTGGCTCAGCAGGTAGGTTCCACCTGGAGGCGAGGTCCTGTAGATCCGCACCATCCCGTCCCGCTTCCCCGCCGTCACAGTTGCAGCTGACGGCCCCGCGGATCCAGCCAACTAGAACCCCAACGGGTGCACTACACCTGAGAACAGGTTCCCACAGCTTCCTGTTGGGGACAACGTGAGGGATGCAGGGGAGAGTGGAACCAGCCAAAAGAGTGGGCAGTGGGGTCAGGTCCAGGAGGCTGAGCCCCAGGGATGCTTGGGATCCCTCTAAGGCCTTACACCTCTGGGAGGGCCGGACTTTTGCACCTGCTGCCCTCAGGACTGTGCCTTGGTGCGTCCACCGCCCCCTTTTGAACTCAAAAAAGTCATCCTCAGACTAGGACGGACACATCCTGTCCCCTTCCTCCCCAGGCCCTGGGCATCCCATAACCCTCAACACTGTAAACTAAAAATAAAATCCTGGCAGGGCGCGGTGGCTCATGCCTGTAATTCCAACACTTTGGGAGGCCGAGGCGGGAGGATCATCTGAGGTTGGGAGTTCGAGACTAGCCTGACCAACATGGAGAAACCCTGTCTCTACTAAAAATACAAAATTAGCCTGGCATGGTGACGCATGCTTGTAATCCCAGCTACTCGGGTGGCTGAGGCAGGAGAATTGTTTGAACCCGGGAGGCAGTGGGCTAAGATTGCACCACTGTACTCCAACCTGGGCAACAAGAGCAGAACTCTGTCTCAAAAAAAATTAAAATCCTAAGCCCCCAACAACTGAATGGACCCCCTTGCGGTCAAGGGGACACCAGTGGCAATAAGATACCAAATTATGAATAGGACCTAAGGTCATGCCAGGCAAGGGTTAAGTCACACACCCTACATTTAAACTATATTCCTACTGCCACACTGCTTTTCTTTTCCTCTTAGTAGCTCAATAAGCACTGGCCTTGAGCTAAGCAATATTGGAACAGTGCAGTGGCCGAGATGATGGCTCATGCCTGTGATCCCAACACTTTGGGAGGCTGAAGCCTCCAAAAGGATTGCTTCAGGTCCAGAGTTTAAGACCAGCCTGGGTAACAGCGAGACCCTATCTTTACAAAAAACTTAAACAAAAAGGCTAGGCACTGTGGCTCACACCTGTAATCCCAGCATTTTGGGAGGCTGAGGTGGGAGGATCGCTTGAGCTCAGGAATTCGAGACCAGCCTGGGCAACATAGCAAGACTTCATCTTTACTAAAAATCAAAAAAATTAGCCGGCCATGGTGGTGTGTGCCTGTGATCCCAGCTACTCGGAAGCTGAAGTGGGAGGATTCCTTGAACCTGGGAGGTCAAGGCTACAGTGAGCCCAGATGGCGCCACTGCACTCCAGCCTGGGCGACAGAGTAAGACCCTGTCTCAAAACAATAAAAACCAATTTGCAGTTCCACCGGATGCTGACTGATCCCCCAGCCCCTATTCCACCAGCCATAACTACAGTTTCATTGGACAAGAGACTGATTTCAGTAACTTGGTCCAGATAAGAGACCACAGTGATGGACCACTTCTGGCCTGTGTAGAACCTCATTATAATACATTTTAAATGTTAAGTCTCCACCCCAAAGTGAATGTGGATTGTATGTTTGTTCAGGATGCATGCGTCAGGACTGCCTTCATGAATATTCATAGCTCCTCCTGTCACCTGCTGAATATGCATGTTTAGCCAACCCATTCAGCATAAACCTCCTGCCCCAACCCCTCCTCCTCCTCCTCTGAAGTGCCCATCTCTGGTCTTGGCCAGAGGCTGTGCTTTCCAGTCTGAGGGATGGCCATCTTGCAGGCTGTTAACTATTTTTATTTTGAGACAGTCTCACTCTGTCGCCCAGGCTGGAGTGTAGTGACGCGATCTCGGCTCACTGCAATCTCTGCTATCCAGGTTCAAGCGATTCTCGTCAGGCTGTAACTTTTTAGAAGAAATAAACTCTTCTCTAAGTTAACAGTACAGAGCCAAAGAGTCCCAAGTACCTGTGAGTCACAGGGCCTGGCACAGTCAGGGCCCATAACAGCCCCTCAGTAGATGCTCACTGGATCTCTGTTGTTGGTTAAAGCAGCGCCTGGCTGTGTATGCAAAAGAATGCCAGTGAAAGTACCAGGCTGGAAAGAATCTGAAGACACTCGTAGCGCAGGAAACTAGAGCCCACTGTCATATCTTTCAATAGGATTACGTGTACTGTTTCCCCAAGAACCATCCTGTGGGTCAAGAAGCAGAATGGGGAAAAGGCAGCAAGCACTCACTGTCCGGTTGCTGGGGTGCTCACCTGAGGGCCCAGTGCTGTGGGGAACCCCAGGCTGCTGTCTTGGCTGCCCTAGGTGCTCGGCTGGCAATTCCTGGGCCACCCTGACCCACAGTGAGGTCAGTAGAGACAGCCTGGTGTCCTCACAGGACGCAGCTGCAAACATAAGTGAACCGGAAAGGCTGCTCACTCCTTGGCTACCCATGTGTCCCCACATCAGTTCCTGCATCTGGAAGCAGCCGCAGTGGCGACCACACAGTGACTTCCCCCAGGACGTGTCTCTGCCCCTCCCACCCTGCTCCTGCAGAGGGCCCTGGGTCAGGGGTTCTCAAGACCCCAGAGTCCCTAACCAGAAATCAGAGGGGAAGGTTCCTACTGTACCCGCCTCCCAACCAATGGGTTTTTCCTCCTTATTCTGAACAAAGCACGCCACGCACGCAATTCCACCTCTAAGGTGGCTTCTCCAATACCCACAGGCCATTCTCCAACTATGACAAAAGTTTGGTTTTAATATCGGGCAACACAAAACACAGTACATCACTTCAGACTAAATTTTATTAAATATGGTGTCATTTGGCTACAATCGGTTTGTCTTTATAAAACTAAGTAACTTATTTTGTAGTAAAAACAACCCCAACCCACTGCCCCTCTTTGGCAGCCCTTGAAACTCAGTTCAAAGCTAGGCCTGGCTCCCGGCCATGGCCCCTGCTGCCTTCACCTGCTGAGCGCTCTAGGAAGCCTCCCAAATCCCAAGTGTCAGGCCCCCGGAGTCCATCACCTCTGCCTCAAACAGCCAAGCCCAGGGGCTTTGGGGCCGCAGGTATGAAGGCCCCTCCAGTAGCCACACCTGTGTCAGGGCTGTGCCCTGGGGCCTGGCCAACATCCCCCCTCCCCTTGAACCATCAGGAACTGGGCAAGACGCCCACCAGAGGCTTGACCACAGGGGGCGTGCATCCCCTTCTGAGCCTGGGAGACCCTAGGGGAGTGGGTAGCCTGGGCTGGACCCCTGGTGGGCTTGTGTTCTGGATGTCGCTATGGCACTTTGGTCCTCAACTCAAACCCCCACCCCTACCCAGGAGTCTGAGACCTCGGCCTTCCCTGGACTTGTTGGGCAGAAAAAGGCACCAAGGACAGGATGAGAAACCCGGAGGGGCAGCCCCACAAATGAGGGCGCTCTGACCTGTCCTCCCATTGCCACCCCACCCAGGAACAGCCCCTCAACTGGTCACAGCCACCAGGAAGCCCCAGGACTGCTCCCACACCACAGCAGTGCCCTCTTCTCCATCCCACCCTCAGGACCTACCCAGGGTCCTCCAGGCAGCCAGGGGCCAGCTCCAGGACAGGGCAGGAGAATGCGGTCCAGGTCTGGCACGTAACTGAGGGTGGGTATGCTCCAGAGAAGTAAGGCAAATGGCCCAGATGACGACCACCTGGGGTAGACCCAGGGTCTCCAGGGAATGGCTCGGGGGCAGACGCTGTGTCTGTGTGTGCAGGATCTGCCCCCACCAGCAGGAAAGGGGCAGGAGGGAGGCAAAGAGGAGGTGCCCAGGACTTGTACCCTGGCTGCCAAGCAGGGTGGGGTGTTTTCATGAGGATTGCTTTTAACCAAAAGTCCTCAGCCTTCTGCAGACCCAGGGCAGAGGCGAGTTGCTCTACATCATGTGCTTTAAGTAGAGCCCTTTGCCAGCCAGGAGGCCCAGCCACCCCCTTCCCTGCCCTGTGGCTTTGGGGGGAGACACAGAGTCACCTCAAGGCCCCAGCCCACTCAGCGCACGGTGCACACATCCAGGATGCAGAAGCGTGCGCGGCAGGTGGGGCAGGGCACGCGGCTGGCCAGCCAGGTGTCAGGGCGCAGGGGGTCCTGGCGGCTGGCGAACCACTTGCCCATGCAGGTGAGGCACCACATGGGGCGGCAGTAACACTGCTGGCACTCGCCTGTGGCTGCCTCCTGGCAGGTCTTCACCAGCTTCACGCTGGCACGTGTCTGCATGCAGCCTATGCAGGCCTCCAGCTCCTGCGGGCAGGTGGAGCGTCACCAGGAGCCCAGGCAGACACCCGTGGGCACCCACCCATCCACCCGGCCCTGGCCCAGGCCCCCCACCTGGCTGCTGGGCACTGAGTAGGCCGGGTTGACCTCTACCAGGGAGGCAAATGTCTCCAGGAACAGGTCGCCCAGGCTCTGGTGGATGACCACATGGGCTGCCCTGCGGATGGGTGCCCGGAGCTTCTCGCAGAGCTCCCCGTACTCAGTGGAGTTCAGCCTGCAGGGAGGAGAGCTGCTGGGCCCCTCTGCAGGGCAAAGGGAGCGGAAGATGGAGGCTACACCCCAAGGAGTGACAGGGCAGCTGTCGCACCAGGACCAACCAGGAGAGATGGCCCTAAGGCCAGAGCCCACGGACCCAGTGCCAGACAGCCCAGCCTGGGCACGGGACGGACCTAGGAGCAAGGCAGCTGTCCAGCCTGAGGGCTGCACTGTCCTGAGTGCTCCCCAAGAATCTGGGGGAGGTGGCTCCAGGGAGTGGAAGGGGAGGCCAAGAGTGCAGGGGGACCCGAGGGAGGGCTATGCGGGAGGGCTCAGTGACTGGTGTCTTGTGGACACCTTGCCTGGTGTCACACAAGCCCAGGAGTGTTGGAGTCCACACCAGCTACACCCAGCACCTCCCAGGGGTCGTGGCACCAGAGCCTGGCTCTGGCCTGCCATGTGCCCTCCGCAGCCCCACAGGCACCACACTCTTACCAGATGTCAAAGGCCTGCACAGCAGGGTTGGTGCTGGCCACACGGATGGTGAGGAGCTGCACGGGCAAGTTCGAGTCTGGCGAGAGCTCATGCTGCCGAGACTCCGTCACAGTCAGGTGCACGTCCTGCTGCTGGGCCACGTGCACTCGGTAGGTGGTTACCTTCATCACCCACGTGTCTGTCACAATCACACGGGCACCTGGTGCACCGGTGGCAAACTTGTCAATCCGCCGGAACTCAGTGTTGACAGAGGAGGCAACAGCCTGCCAGCCAGACTGTGGGAGGGCGTAGAGGGCCAGGGTGCGCGCCAGTGGGTGGCAGGCCCACCGGTCACGGGACCAGTAGTAGATCAGGATGCAGGCGATGGAGGGGAGGGTCACGGCCAGCAGCAGGAAGAGCCGCCAGGCCTCAGGGGCCTGGCTGAGGGCGTGGAGCCGCTTTTCTGAAGCCGCAAGGCACATGCCCACATAGTAGCCTGCAAAGGACAGGGTGAGCCTCAGGGGAAAGTGAGTGGCAGGCCGCTGTCCACCCCCCGACAGCCCTGGACCTGGCCCTCTGCCCGGGTTCCAGGGTCAGCTCCCAGGGTAATTGGGCTTTACCCACTCTGCACTTCCCCAGCCGGCCACTCTCTCCCTGCCTGTGGCAAAGGCAGGATATATTAGCGGAAAAGGTTTTTAATTTGCTGCTTTAGTTTCACACAATACGTAAGTGTTGAAAAAACTACAAAAGCCTAGAAAGGGAAAAATAAACACAATCAGGTGTCACCTCAGGCAGAGCTGACCCCTGGCCTGCCAGGGCAGCTGCCTGGACAGGATCTCAGTCTCTCAATCTCACCCGCTCTGAGGAGGCTGATCAAATGTGGTGCATCCCAGAGCTGAAAAGTTATGTGCGAGAAAGGAAGCAAGTCTCAAAGAATGATGGGACATGTCCAGAGGACACGGAGCCAGCTTCAGGGCCCTGCTGGCCAGATCGAGGACAATTTGAAGGTCCAAATAAGCCATGGAGATGGTGAGGAGTTGCACCAGCAGGTTCCAGTTGGCAAAAAGTAATAGTCCACATTTGGAGTTGGCCCAGTCACTGCATTTCAAGGTAACATGACATATAACAATAGGTAACTAGGGGCCGGGTGCAGTGGCTCACACCTGTAATCCCAGCACTTTGGGAAGCCGAGGCGGACGGATCACGAGGTCAGATCGAGACCATCCTGGCTAACACGGTGAAACCCCATCTCCACTAAAAAATACAAAAAATTAGCCGGGCGTGGTGGCGGGCGCCTGTAGTCCCAGCTACTCAGGAGGCCGAAGTTGCAGTGAGCCGAGATCATGCCACTGCACTCCAGCCTGGGTGACAGAGCGAGGCTCCGTCTCAAAAAGTAAAAATAAAAATAAAACAGGTAACTAATACCTAATAAAGCTTGAAAACTTTCAAACTAAGTTAAAAATAAAAAGAGCTTGACATCCGACTGTGAGGCCAGCTGTGCTGTCTGCTCCAGGTGTGGCTGCCACAATTCACTTGTGGTCCCTCATAGGCCTCTGGGGAGGGTGCAGCTGGAAGGGCTACAGAAACCCACCCAGTAGCCCTAGAAAGTGGCCTGGTCAGGGCCCCAGCCCCACTCAGCCCCATCCATCTCTCAAGTGGGCCCCCAGCCCACCCTCTCCATGAGGCAGGCCTGGGCGCCTCCACCCGACACCTGCCTCCAGTTCTTCTGGGCCCAGGCAGCTGCATCCTCAAACCAGGATGTGGAGGGTCACCCCTCTTGTATCCCCAGAGTGGCAAACCTGGCCAGCCACTGGCCATCTGTCCTCCCAGGGCTGCGTCTGCCCCCGTGTCCTCCAGAGGTACCCCCTTGAAATCCCCCTCCAGCCACTGCACACCCCACCTCCCACCTGTCCGTCATCCAATCAGCTGAGAGAGGGACCTTCCAGAGCCCCAGCTAGCACCTGGGGCCCAGCCCAGCACCCCCCTGGACAACTCTGAGCGTCCCACCTGCACTGCACAGAGGCCCTCCCCAGCCTCTGCCCCTGTGGCGCCCCCAAACTGGAACTGCCTCCAAATCCGCCTGTTCTCTCCACACCCACCTTCCAAGGCCTAGTGCAGTGCCACCCTCCACACAGCCCCTCCGACCCCTTCCGTTGGACTCAATCAACAGTTGCCTTCTCCTGGCCACTGCCCCCAACCACGACAAGCAAGGGCTGCTTGGCCTTGCAACCCCCAGGCACGTGACGGTTCAGGACTTGGTGGGCCGGAGCATCCCTTGCCCAAGGTTCTGAACTTGGGTTCCCGTCACCTGCAAGTCAGTGCCGGCGGCGCCCCTAAGCGCGCTCAGCCCACGCCGCGGTCCCTCTGGATGAGGACCGGCGCCTCTCCCCAGCTGCGCCCAGGCGCTTTCGGGGCCTCGGGGAGCTGGCGGAGGCCTCCTCCTGACCTCCCAGCAAGCCCTGCGCAGGAGAGGATGCGGCCGGCCGGCCCGAGCAGCCTCACCGAGCGGCAGCAGCGAGTGGCACAACAGCGTGGCGGCCGTGCGGCGCAAGTGGAAGGGCACGAAGGCGGCGTCCTCGCTGCCCAGCCAGCCCGACAGCAGGTTCTGCACCGTGAGCCCCGCCGCGTGGAACTCGTTGGGCGTGAACACGAAGCACACGGCGAACACCAGATAGGCGAGAGTGAAGGTCACCTCGGGGCTGTCCATCGCGCAGCCGCCGGGAAGCTGTCGAGCTAGGCCCCCGCCCCGGCGCGCGGACGAGGCCGCAGCGCCCAGTCCCGGACCTGTCGGTTGCGGCGGCCGCCGCCCGGCCGCCCGCGGGGCACTCTAGGACATGGAGTCCCGCCGCCCGGCCGCCCGCGGGGCACTCTAGGACATGGAGTCCCGCCGCCCGGCCGCCCGCGGGGCACTCTAGGACATGGAGTCCCGCCGCCCGGCCGCCCGCGGGGCACTCTAGGGCATGGAGTCCCGCCGCTCGGCCGCTCGCGGGGCGCTCTGGGAGATGCAGTCCCCGTGCGGGTGCGGCCTCTCTTCTCGGCCGGCCCTGGAGGCGGCACCGCACCTGTGCATTGAGCACAGGTGGGGAAACTTAGGCCTGAGCGAGGCCCTGGCCATGAAGCCCCGCCCAGTAGCGTCAGTTGCGGAACTCGAAATTCATGGGGCGACTGCGAGCCCGGGGTCTCAGCTTCAGACACCCTGGCGTGCCCTCCACTCCGGAAACGGAACCGTCGGCGCCCGAGCGGGGGGTGGGGGGGGAGGGAGGGCGGAGCCGGCGAGGCACAGCTTCCCATTGGACGCCCGCCCTCCTGCGGTCCTGCCCCCGGCCGCGCGCTGATTGGCCGCGCGAAGGCAACCGTCGGCGTTTGAAACTCCGGCGCGCCGGCGGCCATCAAGGGCTAGAAGCGCGACGGCGGTAGCAGCTAGGCTTGGCCCCCGGCGTGGAGCAGACGCGGACCCCTCCTTCCTGGCGGCGGCGGCGCGGGCTCAGAGCCCGGCAACGGGCGGGCGGGCAGGTAGGAGAGCGGCTACACGGCGCGGGGAGGCTGGGGTCCTGGGGGCGCGAGGCCGTCCCGCCCCGCCCCGCCCTCGGCCCTCGCCCTCCCGCCCCGGCCGCCGCTTTCCCCGGGAAGCGTCCCCCACGGCTCCTCCTGGGGCCGCCGCCAGAACCTGTACCGCGCCCTGTCATGGGACCCGGCCCTAGACCGACCGCCGGGCTGGGCCCCCTGGATGGTGGCCAGGGGCGGCTAGAGCTGGGCCAAGACCGACGGCGGAGCGGGCGCCCCGAGGTGCTTTGCTCTCCTCGACCCTCTCCTGTCTCTCGGTCGCCCACCTTGGCTCTTTGTTGGCTCCCAGCACGCGGACCCTCCTGTTGTTCTTTGGTCCCTTCCGGCCTCCGTCCTGGGGCCAACTCCATCTAGGCCGCCTGCGGCGGACACCTGGGCCCCTACCGCTTCCCCGCACCTGCTGCGCCGCTCCACCTTCCCCCCGCACCGCATCCCTCTTGTGCACCAGAGTAGCACCAAAGCACCAGCCTGGGGCCGGTCCCTTCTCTGCCCAGAGCCCCTCCCGGGCCTCCATAGTCAGTAAAGGCCCCTCCTGACTAAGGCTGGGTCTGCTGCTCTCCCGAGCTCCTCCAGGCCGCCAGAAGGCTTCCTCCGAGTCACTTTCTCCCTGAGTTCGAGGCTTGCGGGTCCCCCAGCGATCCAGCACCCCTTCCCCTGCCCTGTACCCAGTTATTCAGGGCGAAAACCTAAGCGTCGTCCGTAAGTCCCATATGTGCCAGTGGCCAGGCCCGGGTCTGGTCTGGCATCTACTCCTTGGGCTCCAGAAGCCTGTGGTTTCCCTGCTTCCCTTCTGCTCTTAACCTCCCCACCCACACACAGCACCACAGTGGGCTTCTCAAGCTGCAGCACCGACCTGCCGGGGCTGCCCCCTCTCTCTTCTCCAGGACCCTCCCCAACTTTGCTCTTCTTCAAATCAAAGCCTCCCCAGGTCCCCCTCCACCACCAGGTGCCTGTGGGGTTCCTGCCCTGGTCGACACTCGGTTCTCTCTGGCAGCCTTTTTCCCTACGTCATTCCCTAGACTGGGAACGCTGTAGACAGAAAGGGTGGCAAGTGTGTGGGTGACCGGCGTGAGGACCTGGGCAGCCCTGGAACCTGGGACTGACTGGAGGCTCTGATGTGGAAGTTCCTTGGCACCTGTTGCTCAGCTCTGGGCTTCCCTTGTTTGCGCATCGTCTCCCAGCTCCTCCTCTGGGCCTTCACCCTCTCAGCCTGGTCTTGTCCCGCTGCCTAGCCCGGTGGGAGAGAGCAGACCAGAGCCGCTGTCCTGCTTTTCTGCCCTCTACTGCCCGGTCCTGCCTCACGTCACACGCAGAGGCCTGTGGGGAGACCAGGGCTTCCTCTGGCTCATCCGGGTTTCTTATTGGCCCGGGCTTTTCCGTCTCTTGACTTCTGCTTGATATAGTAATACAGCAGTAGAGATTATGCAGGCTTGGGTTTTCTTTCTCACCATCTCAGCCTGAAGGCCCTTTAGCTCTTGGTCCCAGGAAGCAGCAGTGCTGCCCATGGCTCCCCCTGCCAGGCTGGAGAGTGAGTCTCTGAAGCAAGATGGGGACTCAGTCTGAGGCTTTCTCTGCCAAGAGACACGTGTGGGAGGTGTGAGTTCCAGAGCAATGAGCACACCTGTGTGGGAAGTGGTCGTGCCCCTTGCAGCAGCTGTCACGTCTGTGTCTGGACAATGTGGTAGTGTTGCCCTCACACTGACACAAACATGTTCTGCTTTTCCAGAATGAGTCTGCAGGTCTTAAACGACAAAAATGTCAGCAATGAAAAAAATACAGAAAATTGCGACTTCCTGTTTTCGCCACCAGAAGTTACCGGAAGATCGTCTGTTCTTCGTGTGTCACAGAAAGAAAATGTGCCACCCAAGAACCTGGCCAAAGCTATGAAGGTAAGTGTGACCTGTACAGTGTGTGGCTGGCCAGGTTGCCCTAGGGCCTGCTTTCTTGGTGACCTCTGAGCTGCAGGACACTGCTGGTGTGGCTGTAACAGCTTGAACTAATGAATAGGTGCTCTCCTCCTCACTCCGCAACAGGTGACTTTTCAGACACCTCTGCGGGATCCACAGACGCACAGGATTCTAAGTCCTAGCATGGCCAGCAAACTTGAGGCTCCTTTCACTCAGGATGACACCCTTGGACTGGAAAACTCACACCCGGTCTGGACACAGAAAGAGAAGTAAGTGTTGGTGCTGCTGGACATGCTGGAGCTTCACCCTCTCTGTCCGATGGTTCTTGCAGGAAAGTGCTGTCTTGTTCTATCAGGCCTTGGCTGGATTTTTTGTTTGTTTGTTTGAGATGGAGTCTCGCTCTGTTGCCCACGCTGGAGTGCAGTGGCGCGATGTCCGCTCACTGCAAGCTCCGCCCCCCAGGTTCATGCCATTCTCCTGCCTCAGCCTTCCAAGTAGCTGGGACTACAGGCGCCTGCCACCACGCCCGGCTAATTTTTTTGTATTTTTAGTAAAGAAGGGGTTTCACCGTGTTAGCCAGGATGGTCTTGATCTCCTCCTGACCTCATGATGCGCCCGCCTTGGCCTCACAAAGTGCTGGGATTACAGGTGTGAGCCACCACGCCCGGCCGGCCTTGGCTGGATTTCTCCTGAAATCTGCACTGAGTGTATGCAGCATATGGCCAGTTCACTAACAGAAAAGTCGATCATCAGATACTTGGATAACTTCATACTTCACTTTTTTTTTTTTTTTTTTTTTTTTTTCTGGAGACAGAGTCTGGCTCTGTCACCCAGGCTGGAGTGCAGTGGCTCGATTTCGGCTCACTGCAAACTCCACCTCCCAGGTTCATGCCATTCTCCTGCCTCAGCCTCCCGAGTAGCTGGGGCTACAGGCGCCCGCCGCCACCACTCCCGGCTAATTTTTTAGCCGACCTGATTCTTAACTGCAAGTGGATGGCGAGGCGGTGTCTGTCTTTGCCTAGAAAGGGAGGATCCTGGTGGCAGCTCTTTACTCTGCGGCTGAACTAATCTGTCTGGGCACCCAGGAACACCTCATCTGCATCCAGGGTGGGAAGGGACCCCAGAGGCATGATTTTCTGTTGGTTTTTTGCTGATGTAACTGTTGTTGCTGTTGTTTTGAGACAGAGTTTCGCTCTGTCACCCAGGCTGGAGTGCCGTGGTGCCATCACAGCTCACTGCAGCCTCAACCTCCTGGGCTCAAGCAGTCCTCCACCTTGGCCTCCTTAGTAGCTGGGACTACAACTGTGAGCCACCATGCCCGGCCAATTTTTTTTTTTTTTTTTTTTTTACACGGAGTTTCATTCTTGTTGCTCAGGCTGGAGTGCAATGGTGCGATCTTAACTCACCACAACCTCCGCCTCCCAGGTTCAAACGATTCTCCTGCCTCAGCCTCCGAGTAGCTGGGATTACAGGCATGCGCCACCACACCTGGCTAATTTTGTGTATTTTTAGTAAATATGGGGTTTATCCGTGTTGGTCAGGCTGGTCTTGAACTCCCGACCTCAGGTGATCTGCCGGCCTCGGCCTCCCAAAGTGCTGGGATTACAGGCATGAGCCACCACGCCCGGCTGGCCCAAAACTTTTAAGCAGATTTTAGATGTGCAGAGAAAAGCATAAGGAACAGAATACCACTGATGCTTCTCACCCCCTGAGATAAAATGTCACCAGTAAGTGCAGGCAGCATTTCCTACATCCTTCTCTGGGCCCTGGGTCCGTCTCCCCTCTACCCCTCCAGCCTGAATTTGCAGTTCTTCCCATGTCTGCTTGCTACTTTTCAACTTTGTTTTTTGCCCCTTTTGAAATTTGGTCAAACGAAGCGAGAATGAATCAAACATTGGTTTACAACGACCCCAAGAAGGAAGGGAGACCCAGCAGCAGAGAAGTCGCCTCCCAGCTGCCATGGGTGTGATCCGTCCCAGAGCCACAGATCCCCTGCCTCTCCCCTATGCCTCCAGGATCACCCAGCAGCCTCCATAGGGCAGAGGGTGTAGAGGAGCTGGGAGGGGCTTGAGAGGTTGGCCCTGAGGGGCTCCAGCCAGAGTGACTCTGAGCTTGTGGCTTGGACTCGTGGCTGTCATCTCCTTTCTGGAACTCTGCTGAGGCCCAGGTGGTGGTCACTGTGGTGCTCCCACGTCAGTGGGATGAGACCAAGAGCAGCCGCTGCGTGCAGCTGCCCACGTGTCATTCAGAGGACAGCCGAGTGGCCGCCTGGGAAGGCAGTGCCGCCCCAAGGTGGCAGCTGGGCAGCAGAGGAGTTGTGAGCAGTCTGACAGGTCCCTCACCCTCAGTTTCTCAGTTTTGACATCTTCAAACTTAGAGTTGGAAGAGAAGGGCAGGTGACATGGGCCCCTTATCTGAGGCACTGGCACATGACCCTGCGTCTTCTCAGGGACCTGAAGGCTGGGGAACAGGTGAAACAGTGTTTGTGCCCTCTGTGTTGTAGTCCAGCCCCAACCATCCCAACAGCCGCCTCTTCTGTCAGGGGCCCTGCGCCATGCAGTCCCACATTGTGAGCAGCGAGTGCCCCAGAGACAGGTGGGTCCCTGGGAAGGTGTTCTCTGCACCTGTGCCACTCCACTGTAGCAGGCGCCATCCCAGGGAGGCGTCGCAGAGGCCACTCAGGTCCTTCTGTGCCTGCAGGTGGCATCCTGCACCTCAGCCCTGCCCTTCAGTGAAGGCTTTGACTGTCCCTGGCCACAGCACTGCCAGTCCCCGACTTGAAGGGGAAAGCAGATTCATGCAGAAAACCTTTGTTTACCACGCCCCCTGCTGGCCATCCTGGGGCCTGCAAGTCCCCAGGACTGATCTGTTGGGCATGTCCTCGGGTGAGGTTTAAGCCACAGGACAATGTTGACTGAGCTTTCTTGTTTTGCTTGTAGCTGATGTTTTCACGCAGATTAAAGTGTTATCGGAATGCTGTCAGGTCCCTTAATGTTAGAATTCAGGGTCATTAAGTGGTGCACACCCTTCAGTGATTAGGAGAAACACAGGCGGAAATAATGATTATATGACTTACAGGCCCACAGCAGGCTGGAGGCCACACAGAGGACTGGGGCCAGGCCCTGGAGCATAGGCAGGGGACAGCTGAGAGGGTGGCAGCCAGCCTTGTCTATCGGGGAGTAGGGTGGGGTCACTGTATGCTGGTGGGCAGGTGCTCGAATGGATTTTTTACAGGAAATGGTGGATGCCGGGTGCGGTGGCTCCTGCCTGTAATCCTAGCACTGGGAGGCCGAGGCGGGTGGATCACCTAAGGTCAGGAGTTTGAGACCAGGCTGACCAACATGATGAAAACCTGTCTCTACTAAAAATACAAAACAAAATTAGCCAGACATGGTGGCGGGCACCTGTAATCCCAGCTACTTGGGAGGCTGAGGCAGGAGAATCGCTTGAACCCCAGAGGTGGAGGTTGCAGTGAGCCGAGATCATGCCATTACACTCCAGCCTTGGCAACAGAGCAAAAATCCGTCTCAAAAAAAAAAAACATAAAAATAAAGGAAGTGGTGGGAAATTGAGGAGCCCAGTCTACCAGGTGGGAGAGATGCCTCCAGGCTTCTTTCTCTGGCATCAGCTTGAGGCATTTGGGTGTGCTGTCCCACATCTGACCCCCCAGGCAGCAGCCTGTGCTGTGTGCATGCTGTGGGCCTGGGGGCAGACCTCGTGCATGATGACGAGTGCTGTTTGGGTGGCAGAGGCTGCTGGAGGAGTCTGGGTCCAGCACCTGGCAAAGCGCGTGATGAGCACAATTAAACAGGCAAGCAGCCCAGAGGCACCCCTGTAACTTGGAACCCCAAGAAGCATGAGGGCGGGGTCAGCGAGGAAGTCACGTGGTTGTGTCCAGCCGTTCCACCGGGAGCTGGTCCCTGGGAGGACAGGAAGGAACTACATTGAGGAACTGAGGTGGGGGGTGGAGAACGGGAAGCCGTGCCAAGGGTGACTCAGCCCTGCTTCTGGTGTGAGAATGTTAAACCTATGTTGAGAATGAATGCTGAGGCCCCTAACCTCACCAGGTACTCGCTGCTTCACGTTGATTAAGTCTCTTTTAAAAGCCAACAGCTCATCAAGGAAGTGGATGCCAAAACTACTCATGGAATTCTACAGAAACCAGTGGAGGCTGACACCGACCTCCTGGGGGATGCAAGCCCAGCCTTTGGGAGTGGCAGCTCCAGCGAGTCTGGCCCAGGTGCCCTGGCTGACCTGGACTGCTCAAGCTCTTCCCAGAGCCCAGGAAGTTCTGAGAACCAAATGGTGTCTCCAGGAAAAGTGTCTGGCAGCCCTGAGCAAGCCGTGGAGGAAAACCTTAGTTCCTATTCCTTAGACAGAAGAGTGACACCCGCCTCTGAGACCCTAGAAGACCCTTGCAGGACAGAGTCCCAGCACAAAGCGGAGACTCCGCACGGAGCCGAGGAAGAATGCAAAGCGGAGACTCCGCACGGAGCCGAGGAGGAATGCCGGCACGGTGGGGTCTGTGCTCCCGCAGCAGTGGCCACTTCGCCTCCTGGTGCAATCCCTAAGGAAGCCTGCGGAGGAGCACCCCTGCAGGGTCTGCCTGGCGAAGCCCTGGGCTGCCCTGCGGGTGTGGGCACCCCCGTGCCAGCAGATGGCACTCAGACCCTTACCTGTGCACACACCTCTGCTCCTGAGAGCACAGCCCCAACCAACCACCTGGTGGCTGGCAGGGCCATGACCCTGAGTCCTCAGGAAGAAGTGGCTGCAGGCCAAATGGCCAGCTCCTCGAGGAGCGGACCTGTAAAACTAGAATTTGATGTATCTGATGGCGCCACCAGCAAAAGGGCACCCCCACCAAGGAGACTGGGAGAGAGGTCCGGCCTCAAGCCTCCCTTGAGGAAAGCAGCAGTGAGGCAGCAAAAGGCCCCGCAGGAGGTGGAGGAGGACGACGGTAGGAGCGGAGCAGGAGAGGACCCCCCCATGCCAGCTTCTCGGGGCTCTTACCACCTCGACTGGGACAAAATGGATGACCCAAACTTCATCCCGTTCGGAGGTGACACCAAGTCTGGTTGCAGTGAGGCCCAGCCCCCAGAAAGCCCTGAGACCAGGCTGGGCCAGCCAGCGGCTGAACAGTTGCATGCTGGGCCTGCCACGGAGGAGCCAGGTCCCTGTCTGAGCCAGTAAGTGTGAGGATGGGATGGGGAGCGTGGCGTGGGGCAGCTGCCCTGCAGTGTATGTGGTCCAGGACCCGAGGCCAGAAGTGTCATCAGATACTCCTTTGAGGCCGGGTAGGTTCTGCCTGAGGAGGGGCCTCTGGATAAAAACAGGGCTCAGGTGGCTCCCAGCTGAGGGTGCTTGGCCTTGCCTTGGCTGCCATGCATCTCTTTAGTGCTCCTGGCCTAAGGAGGGATCCAATAAGGGCGGGCTCAGGCCAGAAGCCAAATGCAACCAACCCTGGGCAGGACCCTGTCCCCCAGTCATGTTCCTCCTCAGGTGAACTTGACTTGGGTGTGTAACTCCAAAAGCCAGGCAAAGCCTGTTACTGCCTGGGTGGCGTCCGCTGCTTGCTGGGGTCTTGGCCGTGGGTCTGCTGCCTCCTGGCTGAATGGTCTTAGGCTACATCTCCTAGAGTTGCTCAGTGGGAGATTGTCCTGCCTGTAGGGTCCAGCCCTACTGGGTCTGTGGGTTTTTTCTCCTCGTGTGCATAGACAAGAGATTGTACAAATAAAGACACAAGAAAAAGACAGAAGAAAAGACAGCTGGGCCCGGGGGACCACTACCACCAAGGCACGGAGATCGGTAATGGCCCCGAATGTCTGGCTGCGCTGTTACTTATTGGATACAAGGCAAGGGGACAGGTTAAGGAGTGTGAGCCATCTCCAATGATAGGTCAGGTCACGCAAGTCACGTGTCCACTGGGCCCTTCCCTGTTTGGCAGCCAAGGCGGAGAGAGAGGACAGCTGACGCCATTATTTTTTCTATGTATTTCAAAGACTTTAGCACTTTGACTAATTCTGCTACTGCTATCTAGAAGACAGAGCCAGGTGTACAGAGCGGATCATGAAAGTGGACCAGGAGCGTGACTGCTGAAGCACAGCATCACAGGGACACAGGCCTCTGGATGGCTGCGGGCGGGCCTGACTGATTCCACAAGAGATGGTGGAGCAGAGTCTTCTCTAACTCCCCCAGGGAAAGGGAGACTCCCTTTCCCAGTCTAATTAACGGGTGCCTTCCCAGGCACTGGTGCTACCGCTAGACCAAGCTAGGTAACGGGTGCCTTCCCAAGTGCTGGTGTTACCGCTAGACCAGGGAGCCCTCCAGTGGCCCTGTCCGGGCGTGACAGAGGGCTCACACACCTCTTCCGGTCACTTTCTCACCGTGTGCCTTCACCTCCTATCTCTATATGGCCTGGTTTTTCCTAGGGTTATTTGTTTGTTTGTTTGTTTTTTGAGACAGAGTCTCGCTCTGTCACCCAGGCTGGAGCGCAGTGGCGTGATCTCGCCTCACTGCGAGTTCTGCCTCCCGGGTTCACACCATTCTCCTGCCTCAGCCTCCCGAGTAGCTGGGACTGCAGGCACCCGCCACCATGCCCGGCTAATTTTTTTGTATTTTTTAGTAGAGACGGGGTTTCACCGTGTTAGCCAGGATGGTCTAGATATGACCTCGTGATCCGACCGCCTCGGCCTCCCAAAGTGCTGGGATTACATGCGTGAGCCACCGCACCCGGCGTTTCCTAGGTTATTATTGTAGAACAAAGATTATTATAATATTAGAATAAAGAGTAAAGCTACAAACTAATGATTAACGATATTCATATATAATCATATCTATAATCTATTTCTAGTATAACTATTCTTATTCTGTATATTTATGATACTGGAACAGCTTGTGCCCTTGGTGTCTTGCCTTGGCCCCTGGGTGGCTTGCTGCCCACACCTGCCCCAGCCTCCACATTTGAAGCCTTTTGTCAGTTTCACAGTAAAAGGGATGTACTCATCCTTGTGATTCCCTTTGGCTGCATCGTGCTGACTTTAGAGCTCCCAGCCTGCTTCTCCCAGAGCTGGCAGGCAAGGCGCGTGTTTTCCTGCTGGGTGAGGTTGGTGAGGCAGTTTTGTGGCCAGGTCGCTTGGGACAGCCCCATGCCTGGCACGCTCTAGCTGAATGTTCACGTGGCCGGCACAGCAGTGCAGGGAAAGGCGATGGCAGCTCAGTGCTGGAGCAGGGGACGCCGGGGTTATGGGGTGGGGGGCATGGGCCTCTGCTGACTCTGTCTCCCCAGGCAGCTGCATTCAGCCTCAGCGGAGGACACGCCTGTGGTGCAGTTGGCAGCCGAGACCCCAACAGCAGAGAGCAAGGTAAGGGGTGCTTGTGTGGGTACCTGTGCTCCTGGCCTGGTCGTGTAGAAGAGTAGCAGGCAGTGGAAGCCCCCAGCAGCCTTGGGTGACGGGGTGGGATGTCCCGCTCCCTCTCCCCCAAGTCTACTTCAACAAGGTTGTGGGGAGGCAAAGCCACACCCCAAGTACCTTGACTGCACTGCACAGGGTGACTCTGCCCTTTCCTCCAGGAGAGAGCCTTGAACTCTGCCAGCACCTCGCTTCCCACAAGCTGTCCAGGCAGTGAGCCAGTGCCCACCCATCAGCAGGGGCAGCCTGCCTTGGAGCTGAAAGAGGAGAGCTTCAGAGACCCCGCTGAGGGTACGTTGCCTGGCACAGACGTCACACACAGTCTGCCCGGAGGGGATCCCGTGAGCACTTGGGCAGCTCGAGACACCTGCATCATCGGCAGGTGGTCATTTCGCAGGCAGTTGGGTCCCTTGACTTTGAATGACTCATGCACAAACTTGTGGTTTGTCAAAACTTAGTCAGTGTTAGGAGAGCAGGGCTCATACCTTTAACATAAAAGACTTCTAGAAATGGAAACTGTAGACTCAGGAAAATGAGCAGGAGAGGTGAACAATGCAGTGCGCTAATGAGATACAAGTGTAGAGTCAACAACTGGATACTCGATCATCAGAAATACTGCTTGAAACGACCTTCTTTTTTTTTTCTGAGATAGTCTCGCTCTGTCACCCAGCCTGGAATGCAGTGGCACAATCTGGGTTCAATGCAACCTCCACTTCCCAGGTTCAAGAGATTCTCCTGCTCAGCCTCCCAAGTAGCTGGGATTACAAGCATGTACCACCACATCCAGCTAATTTTTGTACTTTTAGTGGCAACGGGGTTTCACCATGTTGGCCAGGCTGGTCTCAAACTCTGACCTCAAGTGATCCACCTGCCTCGGCCTCCCAAAGTGCTGGGATTGCACGCGTGAGCCCCCGCGCCCGGCCCAGAACCCCTTGATAATGAAATGTGAAGCCTGAACCTTAGACACCAGACTGCAGTTAAATACGGTTTGTCCGTAAGACTGGAGGCTGCAGTTGAATACGGTTTGTCCATAAGATTGGAGGCTGCACTTGAATACGGTTTGTCTGTAAGATTGGAGGCTGCAGTTAAACATGGTTTGTCCATAAGATTGGAGGCTGCACTTGAATACGGTTTGTCTGTAAGATTGGAGGCTGCAGTTAAATAAATACGGCTTGTCCGTAAGATTGGAGGCTGCAGTTAAATAAATACGGTTTGTCCGTAAGATTGGAGGCTGCAGTTAAATAAATACGGTTTGTCCGTAAGATTGGAGGCTGCAGTTAAATAAATACGGTTTGTCCGTAAGATTGGAGGCTGCAGTTGAATACGGTTTGTCCGTAAGATTGGAGGCTGCAGTTGAATACGGTTTGTCCGTAAGATTGGAGGCTGCAGTTAAATAAATACAGTTTGTCCGTAAGATTGGAGGCTGCAGTTAAATAAATACGGTTTGTCCGTAAGATTGGAAGGTGGAACGGTCCTTAAATTAAAGTGCATTTGGTAGGAATTGATGGCTGAGTTGTTTTAAAGGACACACAGCCAGGTGGGTATAAGATCTCAATTTAGAGAACTGAAAACCCAGGCACACAGCAGACACGAATGGCATGTAGGGTTTGTCGCTGACAGGATAGTTGTGGGCCGCCACCATGTGGGGATATCAGCTCAGCTGGGATGGGCCTGTCACCCTCACGCAGGATCCCTGGAATCACACAGCACGGCCTTCTGTGTCCGGCGTCTCCCTCGGGGAGGTGTGTTTCCGAGTCCTGGCCATGCTGGAGCAGGTGTGGGTGCTCCTGTCCTTGCCGTGGCAGCTTGGCTTCACATCATCTTATCCATTCATTCATGGATTTGCTGGTTTCTGCTTTTTAGCTGTCAGGAGTAGTGCTGCCTCGAATGTTCAGGTGTAAGTTCTATGTGGATGTATTCTTCCATTTCTCCTGGATACATAGCTAGGAGTGGAGTCGCTGGTCACAGTAACTCTGCTCACCTTTTAGCTACCAGGTGGCCTTCCAGAGTGGCTGCAGTGTTTCACATTCCCACTGGCAGTTATAAGAGAGCTCCAGTTTCTCCACATCCTCGCCAGCGCTGCTTGTCTGTCTTGTTGATCCTAGACTTCCAGCGGGTGGGAAGCGGATCTGGTTGCGGTTTTGATTTGCAGTTCCCAGGTGGCTCATGAACGAGCGTCTTTTTATGTGCTCGTTGGATATCTTCTTTGGGAAAGTGTCTGTCGAGATCCCTTGTCCATTGAGCCACTTATGTTTTTATTACTGAGTTTTAAGAGGTAAATCCCTTTTATTCAAGAAGTGAGGGAAAGGAAAAAATACAAAGTTAAGTCCCTTATCAGATGATGTTTCAAAGTATTGGCTTTTGGCCAGGCATAGGGGCCCACACTTGTAATCTCAGCATTTTGCGGGGCCGAGGCAGGATTGTTTGAGCCCTGTAGTTTGAGACTAACCTGGGCAACATGGCAAGACCTCATCTCTACCAAAAAAAACCTTTTTTTTTATTACCTGGCATGGTGGCGTACACCTATAGTCCCAGCTGCTCGGGAAGCTGAGATGGGAGGCTCGCTTGAGCCAGGAGGTCAAGGCTGCAGTGAGCCATGATTGCACTACTGCACTCCAGTCTGGGCGACAGCGAGACCCTATCTGAAGGAAAGAAAAAAAAGGCAGAAATGAAAACTGACAACAAGGCTAGGTGCGGTGGCTCACGCCCGTAATCCTAGCACTTTGGGAGGCTGAGGAGGGCGAATCACCTGAGATCAAGAGTTTGAGATCAGCCTGGCCAACATGGTGAAACCTCATCTCTACTAAAAATACAAAAATTAGCTGGGTGTGTTGGCACATGCCTGTAATCCTAGCTACTTGGGAGGCTGAGGCGGGAGAATCGCTTGAACCCAGGAGGCGGAGGTTGCAGTGAGCCGAGATGGCGCCACCGCACTCCACCTGAGCAACAGAGCAAGACTCTGTCTCAAAAAAAAAAAAAAGAAAAGAAAACTGACAAGGCCATAGCAGAGAAGGACCTACAAGTTTTTGCTAGACTAAATAATTGGCAACCGTTTTTTAGCTTAATTGAGAAAAGGAGAGAATGAGCAAATACTGCTAGGCATGAAGAAAGGGACAAAACTAGAGATGCCTCAGCCTGGATCTCAGCCAGATCAAGACCCTGTCTTAAAGTACCAGTTTGGTTTGTTTTTTTCCCGAGACGGAGTCTTGCTCTGTCGCCCAGGCTGGAGTGCAGTAGCATGATCTCAGCTTGTTGCAACCTCCGCCTCCTGGGTTCAAGCGATTCTCCTGCCTCAGCCTCCCAAGTAGCTGGGATTACAGGCTCATGCCACCGTGCCCAACTAATTTTTGCATTTTTCGTAGAGACAGGGTTTCCCCATGTTGGCCAGGCTGGCCTCAAACTCCTGACCTCAGGTGATCCACCTGCCTTGGCCTCCCAAAGTGCTGGGATTACAGATGTGAGCTACTGCGCCCAGCCACAGTTTAAGAGTTTTATAGTTTTAGAGGCCGAGACCGGAGGATCACTTGAAGTCAGGAGTTCAAGACCAGCCCTGGCAACGTAGCAAGACTCCTCCTCTACCAAAACAAAAAGTAGGATAGTTTTAACTCTCACAGTTAGGGTGTTGATCCATTCTGAGTTAATCTTTGTATGTGGTATGAGGCACCTTTTCTTTTTTTTTGCAACAGTTTTCCCTCCGCTGCCCAGGTTGGAGTGCAGTGGCATAATCTCAGCTCAGTGCAGCCTCCACCTCCCAGGCTCAAGGAGTTCTCCTGCCTCAGCCTCCCTGTAATAGGAGTGCAGCACCGCGCCTAGCTAATTTTTGTATTTTTTGTACAGACAAGGTTTTGCCCTGTTGAACTCCTGGGCTCAAGTGATCCACTCGCCTCAGCCTCCACCCTTAGTTTTAATCAAAAGTTATATTATCAAAAATTAAAAGACTTGTCTAGGGTAATTTTAAAGACTAATAGTTCTCAACCAGAGCAGTTTTGCCCCCGCCTTTCCCCAGATGTTTGTGGTTGTCACACCTGGAGGTGCTGCTGGCAGGGAGTGGGTAGAGGCTGGGGATGCCGCTCAGCACCCTGCGGTGCCCAGGAGGCGCCTGCCGCAGACAGCAGTCAGGCCCCGAACATCCACACCTCCAAGGGAGGAAATACTGCTGGCTGGAATGATCCTGCCTCACTGAGTGCTGAGGGAGACACCAGCCCGCCGCCCTTAGGGCCCTGGTGAGGGGCGATGGCGGCGGCATGATTCACTCCTCTCAGTTCTAGGCACGGGCGCGGAGGTGGATTACCTGGAGCAGTTTGGAACTTCCTCGGTAGGTACCAGGCAATTCCGCGAAGCCTCACCCACAGGGTGTCCGAGAGCAGCCACGGCAGGTCTTGCCCCCGGAGCGTCCCTTGGTGCCCACGTCCCCCCAGCTGCACACAGGCCCAGGCATTGTGGCGGGCTGTGAATCCAGGGCCCCTTCTGCAGCACCTCCTCTAAGTGGTGTCCTGTGGCAGGGCTCTAGGGCTCTCTACCTGGTGCCTAGCCCAGGATGAAACTCTGACACGCTGTGCTGCTGGGAATGGTGGTGTCTCGGGCAGGGTTGTGGGTGACCGGGGGTGGGAGTGTGCGGGTGACCGGGGGTGGGAGTGTGCAGGTGACCTCCCTGGCCCTTAGCCCCCGTGTGTGTTAGGGGATGGCAGTCAGACCTGATCACTTGCCCTCTTGTCCCCAGTTTAAGGAGTCGGCCTTGAGGAAGCAGTCCTTATACCTCAAGTTCGACCCCCTCCTGAGGGACAGTCCTGGTAGACCAGTGCCCGTGGCCACCGAGACCAGCAGGTATGTGCGCCGGCCCTCCCTCATGCATGAAGCCTTGAGTGTGGGAAGACTGGAGGCTGTTCCTAGGTGTGCTGTCTGCACAGAGGCTTCTAGACCGGGGGGAGATGATCAGAACTGGAAAGGAGCTGTGCTAGGGGTGGGCTGGGCAGCAAGGCCAGAGCAGCCCTTGTGTGTCTGGCAGGAGCAACGGCAGCCTACCCTCCAGCCACAGGGCTGCTGCCTTGCTGGTTACAGCCACCGTTCTAGGTATATTAAAGATCTAAACTTAAATCTTTTAAGAGTACTTCCTCTAAAACAGAGGTCGGCAGGCCAGGCGCGGTGGCTTACGCCTGTAATCCCAGCACTTTGGGAGGCCGAGGTGGATGGATAGCCTCAGCTCAGGAGTTTGCCACCAGCCTGGGCAACATGTTGAAACCCCGTCTCTACTAAAATACAAAAATTAGCCGGGTGTGACGGCATGCACCTGTAGTCTCAGCTACTTGGGAAGCCGAGGCAGGAGAATTGCTTGAACCCAGGAGGCGGAGGTTGCAGTGAGCTGAGATTGCGCCACTGCACTCCAGCCTGGGCAACAGAGTGAGACTCCATCTCAAAAAAAAAAAAAAAAAAAAAAACCAAAAAATAGAGGTCAGCAAACTATCACCTGTGGGCCAGACTTGGCCACTGCCTGTTTGTGTAAAGTTTTATCGTCACAGAGCCATGCCCGTTCCTTTGCAAATTGTGGCAACTTTCACACTACAAGGCCAGAACTGAGTAGTGTGACAGAGGCTGTGTGGCCTTCAAATCCTAACACATGGCCGGGCGCAGTGGCTCACACCTGGAATCCCAGCCCTTTGGGAGGCTGAGGCGGGTGGATCGCCTGAGGTCAGGAGTTTGAGACCAGCCTGGCCAACATAGTGAACCCCCATCTCTACTAAAAATAACAAAAATTAGCCGGGTGAGGCGGCAGGCGCCTGTAATCCCAGCTACTTGGGTTGCTGAAGCAGGAGAATCGGGTGAGCCTGGGAGGCAGGGGTTGCAGGGAGCCGAGATCATGCCACTGCACTCCAATCTGGGTGACAGAGTGAGACCCTGTCTCGGAAAAAGAAAAAAAAAAAGGCTCTGAGCTGTGAACAGCCCCCTGATGAGGCAGCACTGGCTCCGCTCAGCCTGCAGTGGGTAATGAAGCGTCACCGTGCTCTCCCGGAAGGACAAGCAGCCACGTGGGATGGGCAGGTGAGGGAGGGGGGCACGGAGCAGCAGAGAGGCCGGGCATGCTGGATGCGGGTCTGCGTTTTCTACCACTACCCTGACTTGAGTGGTTTTAAACTAAAAAGCAAAGAGCCCGGTTAGCTTGTCCACATGGTCCTCTGTGTCCTACTCAACACTGGGAGGGCCTAGTGACTGAGGCTGCCTCTGCTTGGTGGCAGCATGCACGGTGCAAATGAGACTCCCTCAGGACGTCCGCGGGAAGCCAAGCTTGTGGAGTTCGATTTCTTGGGAGCACTGGACATTCCTGTAAGTCCTTGAGTCCCTCTTGAACTGTCTTGTGTGTGGTCTGAGGGAACGAGTTGTTTTAAGGGCCTATATTTTCTATTCCTGGGGGTCTGAGCCTTTGGTTTTGTTGGGGGCATGGGGCCGCTGTGCTGTTCCCTCGCCGCACTGTCTCGGGTCCCTCATGCACTGTCTGAGGCTCTTGGCCTGTGTGGGCCTTTCCTCCCTCACACTAGGTCAGAGGTAAGAGGCAAGGGCGAAATGGGTTCCTGTTTCATCCCCATCTCCCGCAGGTGCCAGGCCCACCCCCAGGTGTTCCCGCGCCTGGGGGCCCACCCCTGTCCACCGGACCTATAGTGGACCTGCTCCAGTACAGCCAGAAGGACCTGGATGCAGTGGTAAGGACGCAGGTAGTAGCTATTCCACAGAACCTGCAGGCCGCTCTGGGGCTTGGCCAACAGTGGGCAGGGGTCCAACAGCCTGACCCGCCATCCCTGCCATCCCTGCCCCTGCTGGTTGGGGTGGAATTGCAGAGAGCTGCCGGCCCCTGGCCTGTCACTACTGCCCAGGTCGCTGAGGGTCCAGGCTTCCACCCAGTGTCCCCGCAGTCAGCTGCCCACCAGCAGCCTCCCCGGGACTCTCCGGCCTGGGCATGGCGTTGGCCTCTGGTGGCCTTGCAGCAGTGAGTGTGGTTCTTGCTGCCGTGAGCCCGAGTGTCGCCCCTTTCCTCCCGCCCTCCCACGAGTCCAGACGCATCTCCTGGCAGCTTAGGAAGCTCCATCTTCACCCACCCCACATCTGAGGGTCCCGTGCCTTGTCTCCCTCCATCCTCACTGTACATGCCAGGCTTCAGCCTGTTCTAACTCCGGGCCTAAATTGTCCCTAAGAGAGCTGTAGGCACACAAAGGGGCTGGGTGTCTGCAGGCACCACTGTGAGCTACCGTCGCCAGATGGTCCCCAGGGAGGTGCAGACAGGGTGGTTCCGGAGGCCGGCTGGCAGGGCTGGGTTCAAGCCCCAACATCCACACCAGTGTTGTTCACAGTGGCCCCAGGTGTCATCTCCGCAGAGGCCTGTGATGTGGCCCTGACCCCGTACCCCAACAACCTCCTTCCCTGTGTCAGAGCCCGTGTGAGTAACCCAATAGCAGGCCTGGGGACCACAGTGTGGCTGGCCCCCTCCTCTGCAGGCCTGGGCTCCGGGGGCAGGTGGCCCCTGCATGTAACTTATGTTAGAAATGCACAATGCTTGTTCTCTGGTGCCACAAAGAAATAGTGCTCGAACATTAATTTTCTCAGCAAGGCAGTTTTTACTTTCTGCAGAAAGGGTGCCCCTCGCAGATGGAGCAATGGCAAGAGCACACCTGAACAAGGGAGGGGAAGGGGTTCTTATTCCTGACACAGGTAGCCCTACTGCTGTGTTGTTCCCCTGTTGGCTAAGGTTGGACCACACAGTCTAAGCCAATTCCAATTGGCTATTTTAAAGAGGGCAGGGTAAGAGTCAGAGTGGTGGGGTGAGTAGTTTGACGGGAAGGACGGTTAGGAACAGGTAACTCAAGGTGACTTAGGTCAGAGCAGGTGACCGGGATGAGTCAGGATGGAGCAGGTGACCAGGGAACAGATGTGAACTACTGATTAGGACTGGCGGGAAAATTGTTTACTGAAACTAGAAGCAAGGGGCGAAGAGAACCAGGAATTTTAAATGGAGAATCAAAGAAGAGATCTGGCCGGGTGCAGTGGGTCACGCCTGTAATCCCAGTACTTTGGGAGGCCGAGGTGGGCGGATCACGAGGTCAAGAGATGGAGACCATCCTGGCTAACACGGTGAAACCCTGTCTCTACTAAAAAATACAAAAATTAGCCGGGCGTGGTGGTGGGCACCTGTAGTCCCACCTACTCGGGAGGCCGAAGCAAGACAATGGCTTGAACCCGGGAGGCGGAGCTTGCAGCAAGCAGAGATCACGTGACTGCACTCCAGCCTGGGCGACAGAGTGAGACTCTTGTCTCAAAAAAAAAAAAAGAGATCTGAACATACTGACTTACTGATTCTTTGAAGACAAACTTGGAGTTCACTATATTTAACACTTAGGACCCCTAGTATCTGCCACTGGGCTGCGGGGGCAGCTGCAGGGACACACACCTGTTGGGTGCCTGCTGGTTCCACCCAGGAGCACAGCCAGCAGCCTCATGCCTCCTGCCCCCTGGCAGTCGGGTGCACGTGGAGCAGGTGGCCTTGGCCTCGACAGGGTTCCCAGGGTCCCACTGGAAGCCCCACATGGAACTGTGCCTCTGGGACATTGCTCCAGGGACCTCGGGTGCGGGCTGGCCCCATCCTGTGGGGAGGTCCTGGGAGGGTCAGTCTGGCCCGCCTGCCTGCTGACTTGGGTGTGGCCTGAGCAGGTAAAGGCGACACAGGAGGAGAACCGGGAGCTGAGGAGCAGGTGTGAGGAGCTCCACGGGAAGAACCTGGAACTGGGGTAAGGAGGCCCCGTCTCCTGTCCTCCCCGTCCCCATCCCCCTCGCCATCCTTGTCCCCATCCCCCTCGCCATCCTTGTCCCCATCCCCCTCGCCATCCCTGTCCCCGTCCCCATCCCCACCTGGCCTGGGACCGCTGGGCACCCGAGGCAATGGCTGTGTGTCTGTTCTCCTCCCACAGGAAGATCATGGACAGGTTCGAAGAGGTTGTGTACCAGGCCATGGGTGAGTGCCCGGGCCACCGAGGCCACGTGCCTCCACGAGGGGCTGCCTATGCCCCACCCTGGCCCTGCCCTGCACCCTGCCTAGGACCCCACCCTCCTGAGGCCCCTTTTCCTAACACACGAGTCCCTTCAACATGGGCCCGGCCGTGGAAGCACTGAGGCGAGTTGCGGGGAAGCTGGTGGTAGTGAGGCTGGTGGCTCCCACGGAGCCAGGGCTTGGCAGGCCCCACAGTTGTGCAGATGCTGAGCTAGCAGTGGGGCTGTGGTGGGAGCAGAGTCTGTCCCGCCGTGGCCTACCCCACTCCACCCTGCCCTCGCCGTGCGGCTATGTCTAGCAGCAGCCTCTGTAGGTGTCTGGCAGGACGGGAACACCAGGCCTCATCTGGCCTCCCAAAAGCTTGGGCTCCTGGAGGTGCTACTGTGGGGATCTGTCTTAGGCTGAGTGTCAGCCGGCGGCAGGTGACCGCCTGGCCCTTGCAGTCCCTCCAGGACCACCACGAAGCACGACGCACATCCTGGAGCTCGCCATACCGGCTCCCAGGCCTCACCCTAGGCTCTAGGGTGTTGGGCGCCGCCTCTTCAGGGACCTCTGGCCCAGGCTCCAGTTCCCTGCGGATCTGATGTGGAGGAAACAGCTGTTTCCTGGGCTTTGCATCCGGCCTAGAAGATCCTGGGTGGAGGGACCCATCACCCTCCGAGGCTCACACCCACTGCCCACCTCTCCTCCTGGCGCTCGAGTCCCTTGCCTCATTCCTTGGGCTGTCTCTGGCACCCATCGTTTCGGTTGCCTCCTCATCCTGAACGTTTGCTTTTCTTTTCTCAAGAGGAAGTTCAGAAGCAGAAGGAACTTTCCAAAGCTGAAATCCAGAAAGTTCTAAAAGAAAAAGACCAACTTACCACAGATCTGAACTCCATGGAGAAGTCCTTCTCCGACCTCTTCAAGCGTTTTGAGAAACAGAAAGAGGTGATCGAGGGCTACCGCAAGGTATGTCTCCGCCACCCTGGTGTCCTCACCTCGGAGGCTGATGGACTCATGGTCCAAGCCAGCGGGGCTACAAGCTGCTGTCTTTGCACCTTGGTCCTTGGCCAAGCCTCCCCTTGCCACGGGGGCATGGGATGACCTGTGAACGAGACAGGGTGCAGGAGTCACAGCATAGCTGGTTTGCGAGGCAGCTGAGGGCGGCAGGAGGCAGAGTGAGCAGGGAGGCCATCTGAGCCGTCCGCTGTTGTGTGACAGACGACTCGGCTATGATCAGGCATCTGTGAGATTTGAGACAGCGCTGGTGCACCGGGGCCTGGGGCACCTCGGAAAGGTGTCTGGGCTGTCCGAGCGCTTGGGTCCCAAGGGTTGGGGACCCAGGGCATGCAGTATCCAAGGCGGGAGGCCCACTGAAAGGTGGTCACGGCTGTGCAAGGCCACCCTGGTGTCCTCCTGGCCACGGGACTCTGAGCGCCCCCCACCTTCTGTGCTGGGCAAGGCCCACATGCTTGCTGGAAGGAGGGATGTCTGGGCCATCCATCTGCCCAGAGCAGGCCTGGAAGGTGCCTGCGAGGCCGCCAGAGGGTTCTGCCCACAGCAGCAATGTTGGAGCGGAGGTGCTCAACGCCTCCTGTGGAGGAGCTGGACCTGCAGGTGCAGCTGGAAGAGGGGCTGTCACTGTTGGTGCAAGGGGGTTGGGGACACCAGATGGGTCCCCTGGGAGTCAGACTAAACTGGAAAAGCGGCCCTTGCAGGGCCTGCTGAGCCACACCTCATCTGAGTCCTGAAGTCAGGTGGGTGTCAGTGGCTGGGGCCCAGCTGCCTAACAGAAGCAAGCCTGAATACTCTAGGGAAGAAGGTATCTTATGCTTTAAATTGCTGCTGCAGTTTTAAATTAGTGTCTGGCACAGAATAACCAAGTGTGAAAGGAACAGGAAACATGAGTGAAAATCAGACCCGTTATTAGAGTGAGGCATGGTGATGTACACCTGTGGTCCCAGCTACTAGGGAGGCTGAGGTGGGAGGATCATTTGAGCCCGGGAGGTCGAAGCTGCAGTGAGCCATGATTGTATCACTGCACCCCCAGCCTGGGCAATAGACCAAGACCCCCATCTCTAAAATTAAAAAACAAAAACAAAAACTGTTGATAGACCCACAGGAGCCCCAGACGCTGGAGTTGGCACCGGCAGGTGGTGCCTCAGGTCTGCAGGGAGCAGATGGGAAGGGCCCTGTGGCAGCAGAGTGCCCACCGGCAGCAGAGTACAGCAGTCTGGCCCAGCACAGACGCTTGGAGAGGCAGGACTCTTCACACGGTGCTGCTGGCTTGAGGACACAGCGGCTTTGCTGACCTTCCCTCAGGTTGGGCTGTGGTGTGAGCAGCTGCCTTGGCCTCGCCTCTCCCCGGGGCAGGCCTGTGCCTCAGCTCCCACTGGCCACCTCCCTACTTCCTCATGGAGGCTCCTTTGCACATCTAATCCCATCTTGGACGACCCAGTGCAGACTTTAAAGTAATTGTCTTCTGTATTCAGAAGAGTATTGCTTCAATAGAGACCTTGAAACTAGAAAAGAATCCCCTTCGGGAGACCGAGACGGGTGGATCACTTGAGGTCAGGAGTTCGAGACCAGCCTGGGTTACATGATGAAACTCCGTCTCCTAAAAATACAAAAATTAGCTGGGCAGGGTGGCATTTGCCTGTAGTCCCAGCTACTCAGGAGGCTGAGGTAGGAGAATCACTTGAACCCAGGAAGTAGAGGTTGCAGTGAGCCAAGATCGTGCCACTGCACTCCAGCCTGGGCGACAGAGTGAGACTCCATCTCAAAAAAAAAAAATACAAAAATTAGTTAGGCATGGTGGTGTGCACCTATAGTCCCAGCTACTCAGGAAACTGAGACAGAAAATCATTTGAACCTGGGAGACAGAGGTTGCAGTGAGCCGATATGGCACCATTGCACTCCAGCCTGGGCGACAGAGCGAGACTCTCTCAGAAAACAAAAAATACAGAAAAACTAGGCCGGCTTATGCCTGTAATCCCAGCACTTTGGGAGGCCAAGGCGGGAGGATCATGAGGTCAGGAGTTCAAGACCATTCTGGCCAACATGGTGAAACCCTTTCTGTACTAAAAATACAAAAATTAGCTGGGCATGGTGGCAGGCACCTGTAGTCCCAGCTACTTGGGAGGCTGAGGCAGGAGAATCAATCAGGAGGTGGAGGTTGCAATGAGCCAAGATCGCGCCATCACACTATGGCCTGGCGATAGAGCGAGACTCCGTCTCAAAAAAAAAAAAAAAAAAGCCTGGGCACAGTGGCTCACGCCTGTAATCCCAGCACTTTGGGAGGCCGAGGCGGGTGGATCACGAGATCAGGAGTTTGAGACCAGCCTGACCAACATGGTGAAACCCTGTCTCTTCTAAAGATACAAAAATTAGCCGGGCATGGTGGCACGCACCTGTAGTCCCAGCTACTTGTGAGGCTGAGGCAGGAGAATCGCTTGAATCCGGGAGGCGGAGGTTGCAGTGAGCCGAGATCATGCCACTTCACTCCAGCCTGAGTGACAGAGTGAGTCTCCGTCTAAAAAAAAAAAACAGAAACTAGAAAAGAACCAAATGGAAATTTCTAACAGGTACACAGTTAACAACATTAACAATTCAAAGGGTACAGGTCAGATGAGGGAAGCAGAGGCTGAGTTGGGAACCAGTGTGTGGACGGCAGCCCCCAGAGCCAGAGGGAGAGACGCCGCTGTGGCGGGAGGCTTGACCTGTGCACACGTGAGAGCTTCCGGATGCCGCCTCCCGGACAGACGCTGTTGGGAATTTTCCACAGCAGAGAAACACAGTGCTGTGGGTTTAAGGGAGGCGTGACCTCCGCAGGACATCAGGGGCTGCATGCTGGGTAGGGGCTCAGGGAGAGGCTGCAGTGCTGAGGGTGCTTCTGGGATACAGGGCTGCGACAGAGGAGTGAGGATGGCTGGGCTGTGAGGCCGCTGGGGGCACTGCAGGAAGAAGGCAGGTAGGCTGAGCCTTCCCAAGCAGAGGCCACTCGGGGACCCAGGAACCCCTCAGTTAGGGCTTCTCAGTCACTGAGCGGAAGGTGCCCCCAGAGGGGGCAGCAGCCTGTGAGGAGCAGGCGTGTCTGGGTAACCATGTGGCTCCTGCTGGCCTCCCCTGCCTGTCCCCAAAGCACAGGGCTCAGCTCCAGAGGGAGACGGGCTGGGCTGTCAGTGGTCCCAGGTGCATCCCACTTTCCAGCAGCACTTGGTGCCAGCAGAGGCTGCAGGTGTGGCAGGAGGGGGCCCAGCCGTGAGGGCACCAGGTTCAGGCCCGGCATCTCAGGGTGGAGAGCCAGGGCTGTCCTGAACCTCCAGAGGGGGTGAGCTGGGAACTTGTGTGAAGGGGCTTTTTCCAAAAGGAAAACGGGAGCTACTGGCTCACGGCTGATGCCCCAGACAGCCTCGAGGATCTGCAGGTCCCCAGACACCAAGCCTGGGTGCTCTCCAGCAGACGGCGTGGTACCCACAGCTAATGCCTGCCCCTTCCTAGAACGAAGAGTCACTGAAGAAGTGCGTGGAGGATTACCTGGCAAGGATCACCCAGGAGGGCCAGAGGTACCAAGCCCTGAAGGCCCACGCGGAGGAGAAGCTGCAGCTGTGAGTGCTGGGCGAGGCCCCACCCTGGAGGGAGAATCTGAGCACCTGGGCCCCAGCTCAGCCTCTGCCCCGCCCCTACCCCTCCAGGGCAAACGAGGAGATCGCCCAGGTCCGGAGCAAGGCCCAGGCGGAAGCGTTGGCCCTCCAGGCCAGCCTGAGGAAGGAGCAGATGCGCATCCAGTCGCTGGAGAAGACAGTGGAGCAGAAGGTGGGTGCGGGAAGCCCAGCTCAAGGGGCCGTCTGGCAGCACCTTCTAGAAGGCCCTTGGGCCTGCTGCTCCCTCCAAGCAGGGAGAAGCCCCGCAACTCATCTTCCTCCTCCAGACTAAAGAGAACGAGGAGCTGACCAGGATCTGCGACGACCTCATCTCCAAGATGGAGAAGATCTGACCTCCACGGAGCCGCTGTCCCCGCCCCCCTGCTCCCGTCTGTCTGTCCTGTCTGATTCTCTTAGGTGTCATGTTCTTTTTTCTGTCTTGTCTTCAACTTTTTTAAAAACTAGATTGCTTTGAAAACATGACTCAATAAAAGTTTCCTTTCAATTTAAACACTGAAGCCGCTCTGGTCTTGATGAAGCAAAGGTTTCCCAGCTCTAGCCTGAGGCTGAGCCGACCCGCAGGTGCCCTCCCTTCCCCTCAGAGCTGGCCACTTGGTCCCTGCCTACCCCAGGCTCAGGCCACCCTGCCGAGGGGCAGGGACAGCCAGTGGATAGAGGAGGCTCAGGCCTGCCCAGTCTGCCCCGGCCACCTCGGGTTGGCTACATGGTCCTGGCCTCAGGTACACACATCAAAGTCCAAATGGACTCGTTTTTTTGTTTGTTTTTTTGTTTTTTGTTTTTTTTGAGACAGTCTCTCACCCACGCTGGAGTGCAGTGGCGTGAACTCGGCTCACTGTAAGCTCCGCCTCCCAGGTTCACGCCATTCTCCTGCTTCAGCCTCCCGAGTAGCTGGAACTACAGGCGCCCGCCACCACGCCCGGCTAATTTTTTGTATTTTTAGTAGAGACGGGGAAGTTTTCATATAAAACAAAAACTGTGAACAGCCAGGCATGCATGCCGGTGGCTCTGATTCTGGTGCCGACCTGGCGAGCCTGCAGCCCCAGCTAATTGAGCGCTCACCTGGGTGTGGGTGTGGAGGGAGGCCCCCTGCAGGTGCAGCTGCTCAGCTCCTGTCGTCCTCGTCCTTGGGGGCGTGGAGACTTCAGAGCAAAACAGGCTTCCCTGAGGAAGTTCTGTCTCCACACGGCAGGGCTTCCTCCCCGACCCTAACCCCATCTCCAGCAGTCCCGTCCTGCGGATCTCAAACTCAGACAGGCACACTGGAACCCAAGGCAGTTCCAGGAGCCCTTCTGGTCAGGCAGAGGCTTGGCCCAGCTGGGGCATCCCGGGAACCTGGGTACCGAGCTGAGAGATGCTGGTCACTGGGTTCAGCCATGGCACCTAGGACCCCAGCACCAGCCAGAGGGCCAGGGCCTCCTGAGGGGCCAGGCAAGACCAAGGGTTGACGCTGTAACCTGTTTCCAGGGGTCGGTGCTGCTGCTGTGCCCAGATCACGCCGTCCAGAAAAGCCGTTTTCTCCCATCAGTGAAGAGTGGGGCTCCCCACATAGGGAGGGACCCAGGCCGAGATCTGGCCGCAGTCACCTGGCCCCAGTAGTGTCTGAGCCTGGGGGTTGCAGTCCCAGGACCTGCTTCCAAGGCTCTGCGAGTCTGCCCCTTGGCCTGGTGAGCAGCACTGCAGTACTGACCTCGGGTGGGCGCAACAACACCCCCAGCCGCCGCCAGGGGTCGCTTGCCGCCATGGGCCATGCAGGGACCGGACCAGGTGGGTGACACCCTGAAGGGGCGGGGCACGGGTGCCAAGAAGCCGCATGGACCGCCAGGGAGGCTGAGGGGCGGGCAGGGGCTTCAGCCTGGGTGGCCAGTGGGGTGTCCCCAAGGGCATGAGGGTGCATTTGTTCTTAGCACGTTTGGAGGAGGGGGCCTGGCACAGGGATGGACGGCCACAGCGGGCCATGGCCAGTCACGGCTGGGGCAGGGACTGGGCCAGCCTCAGGGGGGCCTGGGGGCCACTCCCTCCCCCTCCACAGCCCACCTGTGCTCCTGCGGCACCTCCTGACTGGCTTCCCAGGACCATCGCGCCCCTCCCTCCCGTGGGCAGCAACCCCCATCTCAGCCCCGAGCCTGGGTAACAATAGGGTGTAATCCCTGGCTGAGGGGCCTCTGAGAGCCTTCCGTGGCCCACTTCACAGACGAGAAACCGAGGCCCACAGACCAGTGGCCATTGGCCGGGGGAGACGGGCCAAGCACAGGGTGTGGGCCCCCTCTCCTGCTTGGGGTTGAGGATATGGGGGAGAAGAAGGGCCCTCGAGCCTCCAGAGCTCACCAGCTGCCCTATGGGCAGCACGGCCCGCCTCGGCCTCCCCGCTGCCCACAGGCATGTCCGGCCGCAGGACTCCCACCTCTCTTTGCCGGGTCAGCTCTGCTCTGACAAGGTCTCAGGACACAAGGCGGCTGCCAGGTCCTCCTCCTCACTCAGCCCTGCCGGTCTGGCCTTCTGGCTCCTCTGACAGCTGCCCAGGGCCCTGTCCCCTGCTGGGGCCTCTCTGAGCCAAGCCGGGAGCCTGCCCGGAGAAGGCCGTGCAGGGCGGCTGAACGTGTCAGGGCACCTGGCCGGGCCTGGGGCCGCGCCGAGGACACCGGCCACCAGGCAGCGTCCTGGGCCGGGAGCCTCTCTCCCAGGACAAAGGGGCCTTGTGTGGCTGAATGGGTGTTTATCCTGGAGCCTGAGTTAACTCAGGGCTGCGAGGCCGGGCGGGGGCCCTGGCACTGGCCTGCCTGGTAAACATGACCTGAGCTGGGCACGCAGCCGTGGCCTGGACTTCCGCAGCCCCGGACCCCCTGCACATCCACGCAGTCGCCTTGTGGGGGGCTCAAGGAAACAGGAGCTGTCCTGGGGGCTGCCTCCGTGGGAGTCCTCATACACAGTCATGGAGGCAGCGCTCGGCTCTGCCCTTCCCACAGCTCAGGGCAGGGCTCAGAAACACCCCCCCGACGTGCCCCATTGGAAGGAGGGGTGAGGGTTAGACGAGGTCGTGAGGGTGAGGCCCTGGTCTGCTGGGATTAGTGTCCTTGCGGGAAGGCAGCAGGCCGGGAGAGCACTTTGGAGGAACTGACCCGCCAGCACCCTGATGGCGGACTTGGCGCCTCCAGAACCCAGAGAAACACGTGTCTGTGGTGCAAGCCATCTGGTCCCAGGCAGGATGAGACCCCGCCGTCCGAGGGGCTGTCCAGCCTGGTGCCCACCCACTGCCCAGCTCCCCCTGCAGCCAATATCCAAATCCCGAGGGGAGTGCAGGGCTCAGCCCACATGGAGAAGCTAGGTCTGTGGGGCACCCCCACCCCTCTAAGGCCACCTAGGAGTGGAA